>NC_000007.14:67658294-67961324 GCF_000001405.40 Homo sapiens
TCCTCACACGCCATCTACCTGGGGATCTGGGAATTATTTCAGGCCTTTAACGAACAGGCCGATTGCATACCTCTTCTCTGGCAAGGTAGAACTGGTGTCCATCCCTTGGAGGTTCCATATCTTGAGGGAGGGGGGTATGTGGTAAAGGAAAAAGGGGATGAAATGAGGATGGGAGGACTCAGCTTTCAAGGGGCACAGATAACCTCTTTTGGTGACTGGGACTTGTTCGGCTTTCCTCTGGTAACTAAGGTAACTTCTCAGTACCCTTTTCACTGGGAAAGAAGTCTCTCCATCAGCCCCTCAGCCACCACCACCCTGCTTCTTCCATCTGCCTCTTGTAGACCTAAACTAACAAATGCCACAAACTTCCCCTCTATCGCTGAGCCCTTCTACAACATCTGTTTGTCTCACCTTGTACATTTGTTGGGGGTTCATGTTTGGAAAGGGCTCTTTTATTCAGAGACTTTATCTTTCCTACAATTTAAGGGCTAAAAAGCTTTACTTTTATGCAATGATGGTGATATTGCCTGTTACTTGGCTGAAGGAAGAGTTGGCAGCAATATGCAGGCTCCAAAAAAAAATTGCAGATTTTATCTGAGCATGAAAAATGAAGTTCTAGAACATTCTGCTATCTGCTCATTTAGGGAAGAGGGGCTGAGACCTAAAGGTATGTTATTGATCAAGCACCTGAGAATGGCAGATTGCTGATCTCACCAGGAATTTAAAAAATGACAAATGAAAAGATCAGAGGCTTGACTTCATTTGGATCTTAAACTGTCCTTACTTGAGTCCTTTCTAGGTGTTACAAAGATGGTGATGCTGACAAGAATTCCCAAACAATCATTCTCTGTCATCACCCACCCCCATGCAGGAAATTTACAGCCACTCTTAAGTTGCTCCTGAGTAGAAGCATAAAAATGCAGAGGTTGTCTTTGGTCTATGAGTAACACAAGCTACCTGCTAGTTTCCTTCTTCCTGCTTCAGTGGGCTGTGCACACATCTCTAGGACTTATTCATGTCTAATTTGCCACATCTAAGGCTGATGCTGGCCAAAGGCTTCTCTCTGGCTGCTGTCTAGTGGTGAGTGTGTCCACATCAAAGTTTAGGGTATAAATGCTTACTGTTACCCATTGTAGTCAGCTGAACAATGATCCCCCAAGTGATCTTTTCCTTGCAGACATCCATTCTCAGGGAATGCTGTTACCAGGTCTCAATCTCTGGAACCTGTAAACTTAAAGTTTACCTTATTCAGAGAAAGAGTCTTTGCAGATGCAATCAAGTTAAGGATTTTGAAATGGGGAGACGATTATGTAGGTGGACCCTATATGCAATCACACATATCTTTTTTTTTTTTGAGACAGAGTCTCGCTCTGTCAACCAGGCTGGAGCGCAGTGGCATGATCTCGGCTTACTGCAACTGCCACCTCCTGGGTTCAAGTGATTCTTGTGCCTCAGCCTCCTGAGTAGGTAGGATTACAGGCTTGCACAATCACGCCTGGCTAACTTTTGTATTTTTAGTAGAGACAGTGTTTCGCCATGATGACAAGGCTGGTCTTGAACTCCTGACCTCAGGTGATCCACCCACCTCAGCCTCCCAAAGTGCTGGGATTACAGATGTGAGCCACCGCACCTGGCCACATGTATCCTTATGAGGGAGGGAGAGGGAAATTTAACACATGCAGAGGAGAAGGCTATAGAAGATGGAGCAGAGACAGAGATTTGAAGATGCTGTTCTTAAAGATTGGAGTGATGTGGGCATAAGTCAAGGAATGCCAGCAGCCACCAGAAGTTGGAAAAGGTGAGAAATGAATTCTTTCTTAGAACCTTTAGAGGGAGTGTGTCTCTGCCAACACCTTGATTTTGGTCAAGTGACATAGATTTTTGACTTCTGACCACCAGAACTGGAGGCCAGCAGGGTGTTATTTTAAGTGACCCAACTTGTGGTCATTGAAAACAAATGGCCGCTGACATCTGCAGGAGGACTTCCAAGGCCAAAGTTGAGGGCCTGATATTTAGACACCCATGCTAGGATCTGTTTGCAGGCATTCATGGCTCATTGTCATCCTACATGAACTTCACAGAAGACCCAGACAATTCTGGCTCACAGATACTAGTAGATTTGGCTAATCTAGAAAACTAGGCCAAACATCATGAAAGGCAGGGCCTGAGGAAGGCTGCATTCTCAACAGAGGTCATGAAAGAAAGAAGACAGCTCTGCCTTCTGCAGGCAGCTGCTCCCCACTTTCAGCTCCTTGCCACACTCTGAAAACCCATATCCTATGTCAGGGAATGCAACATGACCAGGAAAGAGAGGATACATTAGCCTTCCATTGAGATACTGACTTTGAACTCAGATATGCCTGTTGTGGGAAGGCTGTCCCTCTTCTCCTTGAAAGTTGTTGGATCACAAGACCCTCAGCTTAACAGCTGCATATTTATGTCCTTCTCTACGGCCAGCAGCTATAATCAGAAAATACCTAGCATTATGCATACCTCACATATTAATCTGGGGAAAGGCGGAACGGCTTTGTTAGATATGTGACGGCAAGTAGGTGGAGACTGTGACCTGGTCAGGCACAAGTGGTCTTTCCTGTGCCAAACAAAGCCAGGCTGGCCAGTGTTTATTGGCCTTTTGACTGCAATATCCCCTTCTTAGGACAGAGGCAAGAGGTTCCTGTGGAGAGGTGGGCCAAGGGCCCATCATCATGACAGGCAGCTGTCTCTGCTCAGAATATTTCCTCTTCTGAGTTGATCATTGCCCTGGAATCAGATTTTGCAGTTCTTTCTCAGGTGGCTTCTTTATTCAATTGACCATTAGAAGGTCAATCCACTAATCTTCTACACATTGGATGTCTAGATGCTGAGGCTCAAGCTGGGATCCTTCTTTTATATTTTAGAGACAATGTAAAAATCTGCCTCTACAAATGAATTGCCTCTTCTGCCTCACTGCCCAAGGAAGAACAGGCTGTGGTGATAGGCAGGCCATAATGACAGTGTGGACAGTTTCAGAATTGTATATATAATGCTGGACATTGGAATAATTTGGGTAGCCTTTTGTTGGAATGTCTGTTTTTAACCTTGCCTAAATCCCTGAGGTCTGGGGGTAAAATGCTCCTTACTTTGCAGTCACTGATCCACTTTAAATTTGCTAAGCCCAAGATTTGTTATCAAAATGGAAAATAGCACTGGCTTCCTGCCTTCATCCTCCTTTAGATGATTAAAACCAGCTTCTGTGAGCAGAATTTCACCTTCAATGTTCCCCATCCTTCTCCTCCATCACCTGCACTAACTGTCAAATGGTATTTTCTCTTGGTCATGTCTGTACAAGCTTGAGTTTATTCATACCAAGAAAGTTTTATAAGCTGAATTTTTAAAATTTATTTTTAAATTTTGAAACAATCAAACTTATATGTTGAAGGTTCAACTAAAATGACTTTTTTTTTTGTTCTGAAACAATGGAGAATAAATTATCTACCGGCTGCTCTGTTATTCCTGAATATTTTTGTGTGTCATTCCTACAAACAAGTACATTCTCCTACAGAATCACAACACAACCGTCACAATCAGAAAGTTAACATTGATGCATGTCTATCATCTAATCCTCTGAACACGCTCAGCTTTGCTGATTGTCTCAATCATGTTTTTTGCCAGCCAGAATCCTGCGTTGCATTGAAATATGAGGTCTCTTTAGTCACCTTTAGTTTGGAATGTTTCTTCCTCAGCCTTTCCTTGACTTTCATAGCTTTGATATCTAGGCTGAATTTTTTTTTTTTTTTTTTTTTGAGATGGAGTCTCACTCTGTTGCCCAGACTGGAGTGCAGTGGCACGATCGTGGCTCACTGCAACCTCTGCTTTTTGGGTTCAAGTGATTCTCCTGCCTCAGCCTCCCAAGTAGCTGGGATTACAGGCATGTGCCACCAAGCCCGGCTAAGTTTTGTATTTTTAGTAGAGACGGGGTTTCGCCATGTTGGCCAGGCTGGTCTTGAATTCCTGATCTCAGGTGATCTGTCTGGGGTGAATTTTTAACCACCCTCCACCTCCCTCATCCTCAGACTTTGGCTGGTCATTGTGAGAAAGTCATTGTCCTTAAAGAAATATTTCCCTTGTCTTGCTTCACCTCATCCTAGCCTTAATAGCAGCTTGGGAAGAACACTGTACTGGGCGGTCAGAAACTTCTCTTCCTACTTTGACTTCCCCCTCACAATATTGTCCCTGTGTTGCCCCCATGAACTGAATTTACCCTTAGTGAGACTCCAAGGAACTCTGCCCATTGTCAGGAGAATAAAGTACCCCATAGATCTTAAGAGTGTCCACTAGAGAGAAGCTGTTGCTATTTCATTACATAACATACTGTCCCCCTCACTGTAGTATAAATAAACATATCCTTTTCTCCAGTAATTTTTTTTTCATTTTATGGACATTGTTAACTGCTAAGGTGTCTTCTTTCACAATATTTATGACAGTTGGCTCATGGTAGTAAATGTCGTGAACCATTTTGATGTTTTCAACCTTATATTCACTGTATCCCTTGTTTATATTTATTCCTTTTTTCCATTTGGCATTATTTTTACACTCTTTTAAGATGTCTTATATAAATAAGCAAATCCCAGTATACAATACTTTATACATCAAGTTCTGACTCTGTGAAATCAACAAACTCTGGTTTGTTCCTCACAAGATGGCTGCCCCCATGCATGCTCAAGATGGCTGCTACTTGCACATGCTCAAGATGGCTGCCACCCATAAGTGCTCATTGCGTGTTGAGAGAACAGATCTGTGTCATCTGAAGGCAGTAGGCTGGGCCTTCCACCCTGTTTGCCAGATACCTAAAATAGACTTCAGTTTGGGATTCAGTAAGCTGTTTTGTAGCCATGGCTAGCATTTGATTAAAGTCACTGTCATGTGGGGGTCTATGGACAAGCATCTTTTCCTTGCAGACATCCATTCTCAGGGAATGCTCTTACCAAGCTGTTCTGCTTGGAGCATTTGTGTTTTAGTCTTGTGGGAGTCCTGAGCTTTACATTCCACTCAAGAAAGAAAGGACTGAGATGATAGACAGACAGACAACACTGTCACCCCAGCAGAGCCATTATTTCCTCCCACAGAACTCCAAATGATAGGAGTCCTGGTACCTGGAGTTCCTGCTACAGCAGTAGAGACCTGACACATAGGCACCACCCATTCAGAGTTTTAGCTTTACTTGTCTTTTTGGCTTGAAAGCACCTGGAGGCAACAGATGTGTGCATCTGAAGATGCTCGGGGACAAGATGTGTTAAGGTGGATGCAAGAATTTGCTACGTCAACAAGTCAAAACAGCATGCTATAACCTGCCCACAGATTGTGTGTGCAGGGACAACTGTCCCTGACCTGCAGACAAGACAGGACTTTGCAGCCAAGCTACTGGACATGGGTGGGGGAAAAGCAGGTTAGTAAAAGGAGAGTGTAGTAATTTCCTGTGGCTGCTGTGATACATCACCACAAACGAGGAACTTAAACACTGTAAGAAAGAGGAAAGAAACACAAAAGGTGGCTTGATGGTTAAGACAGGCTTATTTTAGAGAAAACAATCCTGAGAGGGGCATCTGGCCATGTTAGTTCAGAGGCACACTCTCTTACAGACTAAGAGTTTTTAAGGATTTAGGGTGGAAAAGTTTATCAGAGGCTTAGACTGCTTCTGTGTCTCTTTGTTGTGCTTATATGGGAGGGAGAGTTGTGTGCCTGTTCCCATACATCTTTCTGCAGCTTCAGGCATATCACTCCAGTCTGCTTTTTGCTTTTCTATCTTAGTGGACTTGAAGGGAAAGGAATGCGCTTATTAAGGCCCACTGTTTTACTGGGGCCCATTGTATGAGGGTGAAGTTTGGTAGTTACCCAAGAGACTTTCCCCCCACCTCCCTCTGTGCCCGAGCTGTCTGATCTGTGTTTTACTGTCTGCTCTTTCTGGTTGCTTATAGTTAGAAAAGAAGTGATTTCCTTGAAATGCATGAGGCTAGAAAGGGAGCTGGAACTTAAAGTGGCAGTGTTTGTCCGAGATGACAGTCCTCCTGCTCTATCAAACACCAGGAGTTTCTTCTCTCATGGTTCTGGAGGTTAGAAGTCTGATATCAAGGTGTCAGCAGGACTGCACTCCTCCAAAGGCTCTAGGAGAGAATCCTTTCTTGTCTCTCTCAGATTCTGGTTGCTCCAGGTGTTCCTTGACTTGTGGCCACATCACTCCAATCCCTGCCTCTGCAGTAACATGGCCTCCTGTTATGTGTCTCTCTCAAAACTGATTCCCTTTGCCTCTTTCCTTTAATCTTTTTTTTTTGTGGTTACATTGTAGGTGTCTATATTTATAGGGTACATGAGATATTTTACAATGTGAAGTAATCACATCAGTGTAAATGCATGCAATGTCAAATAATCACATCAGAGTAAGTAAGGTATGCATCGCTTCAAGCATTTATCCTTTGTATTACAAACAATCCAATCATACCCTTTTAGTTATTCCAAAATGTACAATTAAATTACTGTTGACTGTAGTCACTCTGTTGTGTTATCACAAACTAGATCTCATTTATTCTATCTAGCTATATTGTTGTACCCATTAACCATCCCCACACCCTTCCTAACTCCATAACTACCCTTCTCAGTCTCAGGTAACCATCATTCTACTATCCCTGGTAGTTTGATTATTTTAATTTTTAGCTCCTACAAAGGAATGAGAACATGCAAAGTTTGTTACATGCAAAGTTACATGCAAAGTTGATTATCCCACTCGATAATCCAGGATAACTTCTCTTGAGATCCTTCATTACATCTTTTGCCACAGGAGATAATATCCACTCTTTTGCCATATGAGGTAATATTCACAGGTTCTAGGGAATAAGATATGGATATATCTTTTTGGGGGCAAGCTATAGAGATGAAGTCTCTAATCTTGTTGACTAAATACAAACATGAAGTTAGAGGAGGCTGGAGATGGGGGCAAAATTGATTTAACATGGTCCTGTTTTGAGTGTGTATTTTGTGTAGTGCCTTCTAATCTCAAGTATAAATTAATATTCAGGAAATAATCACTGCATTAGATTTGGTAAGGACCATAGTCAGGTAGAAAAAAAAAGTATCCTAGTGTTTCATTGAAGCTTCTGACATCCCTGACCATTTTGAGTTCATTATCTACATCCGTGTGCATTCCTGAATGGTAAAATTCATTAATTTGGCCAGTATTTATGAAGCATCTTTATAACAGTTCAACCAGTTACATATTTAAGCAATTAAATTTTTCTATAGTGAGTTAAAAATGGTTGTGAGTGTTTCAGTTTTGTTCTTAGTTGTAACAGCTTGGACTTTTTAAAAGTTATCCAGTAATGATCACCTCTTGTCAAAAACCAGGTTTAAGAAGATGCCATTTGATTTTGTGCAAACCTCACTTCCCAAGTCACACCAATTTCTTGTTTGAGAAAAGCATTTGATCATAGATCTGTGACTTGGCTAGTCAGGTGGCTTATACTTAAAAGCATTATTTTTTGAGAAAACATTTTTTGTCTATGTTTTTGCTTCAACCCTCCAGACTTTTAAAGCAAGAAGAACGTGTTTCATTGGTATTTTTAGTTTTTTAAAAAAATACTTGTTGCACTGTATTTGCTTCAGATTATTTAAAAGCCCTTTAATATTAATATATTGAATAAATGGTCCTGAAACCACAGTAGTGAAATCTGAGTGCGTATTATTATCCCATTCCACTCATGGGAAGACTGAGTCCCAGAGGTCTCAGCTGAGGGAATATTCCCTTATTAGTATCACAGCTGGGACTGAAATTCAGATCTCCTAAATCTTAGGCCACGACACAGATGGCACAGGGCTTCTGACATGTCATCTCAATTTTACGAGATTCTCAAGGTTTGGAAATGACTTAGAGACCTCAATATTAGTGATTTGCAGGGATAGACAAACTGCAGATAAATCTTCCTGTGTATCGACTTAAAAAAAAACAAAACAAAACAACAACAAAAAAACCACTAGATTTTCTATTTGGTTCCAACGTTGACAGGTTCTTTCCTCTGTAGACCTATGTGAATTGATGACATCAGCTCAGCCCCAGATCAGTGTCTTCTTGGGTTGTTTGGGACAGTTTTCTCTTCCACTGTCCCCTTCAGTGTGCATTGCATGTGACTGGCTGGTGAGAAGTCCGGGATATGCTTCACTCTGAACAGGTCGATCTGGGGTGAATTATTAGCTGCATGCTGACTTGTAAGTGGAAATCTATATCTTGCCTAGTTCTGCTCTGTGCAAACCTTGTCGTCTTACTTTGTAAATATTGATTGTATTTAAACAGGATTTTGCCCCAGGCCTGGTCAAGGCACCAATTAGATGTTGACTCTCATGCCGCTTGCATAAGGCTATCTATGATTATGGATATGGGACTGGTTCCAACATGCAGCCCTTTCAGAAAGGAAAGATGCTTTAGCCTCAATAATTTATTGGAAACCCCTTTCTAGCACAAAAACAGGAGTAGAGTGAGCTCACCAAGAGCTCACCTGTTCAGAGTGAAGCATATCCCGGACTTCTCACCAGCCAGTCACATGCAATGCACACTGAAGGGGACAGTGGAAGAGAAAACTGTCCCAAACAACCCAAGAAGACACTGATCTGGGGCTGAGCTGATGTCATCAATTCACATAGGTCTACAGAGGAAAGAACCTGTCAACGTTGGAACCAAATAGAAAATCTAGTGGTTTTTTTGTTGTTGTTTTGTTTTGTTTTTTTTTAAGTCGATACACAGGAAGATTTATCTGCAGTTTGTCTATCCCTGCAAATCACTAATATTGAGGTCTCTAAGTCATTTCCAAACCTTGAGAATCTCGTAAAATTGAGATGACATGTCAGTATGTTGCAACTTCTCCTTTCCCTAGTCGCATTCTGTCTTCTCTCATGTGCTCAGTTTTTACTTAATAAAATAAATCACTTTTTTGCGGGGTGGGGAGAGATTTCTCAGGCAACGTTCTGAATTCCCAACAAGAAAGATTGAACCACATGATTTATTTTGATATAATGACTGACGGAACAGATATTTGATAGTTACAGGAGGACTTCGCTTCTTTGGCATCTTTGTACTTAATTCTTTGTTTGTGAACCTTCAAAAGCAAAATCTTTTAAAAAGTACATTAAAAAAATAGCCTGTCAGGTGCAGTGGCTCAGGCCTGTAATCCTGGCATTTTGGGATGCCAAGGTAAGCAGATTGCTTGATCCCAGGAGTTTGAGACAAGCAGATTGCTTGATCCCAGGAGTTTGAGACTAGCCTGGGCAACTTAGCAAGATCCCCATCTCTACAAAAAGTAAAAAAATAGGCAAATGTGTTTTCAAAACTTTCCCACTATTTTTAAAGATCTAGAAAGATTGAAAATTGAGAAAACATAGAGAATAATTTAACAAATTATAATGCCCCTAGCACCCACAATGAACAACTAGAGGTCTTAGCATAATGGTTTTAGATATTTTAAAAAATGAAATGAAAGGTAAATTTGAAGTTCCATATTTATACCTTCTTAATATCATTACCCTTTTTCTCCAGGAGTAAACATTATCTCATATATATATACACACATATATATATGTATATATATATACACACACACATATATGTATATATATACACACACATATATATGTATATATACACACACACATATATATGTATATATATACACACATACATATGTATACCCACACATATGTATATATACACACATATATGTATATATACACACATATATATACACACATATATATGTATGTGTGTGTGTATATATATATATATATATATATATATATTTGCTTGTTTGTTTTTGGGAGTCTTACTCTGTTGCCCAGGCTGGAGTGTAGTGGTACAATCTCGACTCATTGCAACCTCCGCCTCCTAGGTTCAAGCTATTCCACTGATTCAGCCTCCCGAGTAACTGGAATTACAGGCATGTGCCACAATGCCTGTATAATTTTTGTATTTTTAGTAGAGACAGGATTCACCATGTTGGCCAGGCTGGTCTCAAACTCCTGACCTCAAGTGATCTGCCTGCCTCAACCTTCCAAAGTTCCAAAGTGCTGGGATTACAGGCATGTGCCACCACGCCCGGCTAATTTTTATATTTTTAGTAGAGATGAGGCTTCTCCATGTTGACCAGGCTGGTCTCAAACTCCTGGGCTCAAGTGATCCTGCCACCTCGGCCTCCCAAAGTGCTGGGATTTACAGGCATGAGTGACTGTGCTCGGCCCTGCAACTCTTTTTCATTCTTGGTTTGGTTTATGGTAGCTATCCACTTGATGCACCTCAATTTAATTAATTTAACAATTAACAATTTTATGTTTGGATATACTGAAATTTATTTCAATTTTTATTTTTGATAAAAATTATTCTTTCTAATTTATTGCTACTATTAACAAGGCTGCTAAAAATTTCTTATAAATATATAACCTTTGAGTGCTCATGAGAAAATCTCTTTAGCATAAGCATACAAGTAATTATTAAAGTTTCAGTTTTAGCAGACTTTGCCAGATTGCTCTCCCAAGGGGATGTATTATATTACAGCCCCTCTGCTCTAGCGAGGCTTAAAGTTTCCACTTCACGTTTCATCACATTCTCATCAACATTTGATATTGTGCGATTTTATCTCAGTTTTAATTTGCGCTTCCCTGACCACCAGTGACACGAGGATGAATACTGCTTCATTTGTTTATTACCCACTCAGGGTCATCCCTCCTTTCTGGATTGCATTTTCCTATCTTTTGTTCCTATTTGTATTTGCTTTGTTTATCTTTACCTTTATAATCTACAGAAACTCTGGATACTAATTTTTGTAGGTTACGTGGACTGTGAACATTTACCCCAAATCTGTTGCTTTTAATTTTGCCTGAAGTAGGATTCAAAAAAATTAATTTTTGATCTATTTAAGCTATGTTTTTTTTCTGTTTAAAAAATATATAGAAATCTCTACTGTAGGTCATAGAATTATTTTCCAATATTTTCTTGTAATGACTTTCAGGTTTATCTCTCATGTTTATATCTTTAATCCACCTAGAATTTATTTGCTTATTTATTTGTTTGTTTATTTTTGGCTTGGGGTGAGCTGCTGCTCTAGCTCTGTACAGCCTGTTCCCCAAGAATTCTTGCTGTGGGTCAGAAATAATCCTCTTCTGTAAGTCACTGTTGGTTGGAATTTCTATTACTTGTAGCCTAACACCTTCCAATTGCTACACTTATTCTCTCTCCCCACTCCTTTTAGAATTCTCCTTTTATGCATCTTGGAGCTCATAGTTCTTTTTTTCCATTTTTATTTTCTATTTGTGTGTGTATGCATATATGCTGTGTAATGTATATGGTTTTTACAAAATTCAAATTGCATAGCTAAGGTCAAAACAGCTTGTATGTGTGTATATATGTATATATATATGTGCCTTATTTTGGGAGATTGCCCAGCTGTGTACTTCAGTTCACCAATTCTCTCTTTGGCTAGCTCTAGTTGTCTGTTTAAATTCTCCATTGTATATTTTTCTCAAATCACTGTATTTTTTTTTTTACTTCTATAATTTCCAGTAGTTCTTTTTTCGAATCTACCTTTTTTGTTTTCATTATATCTTTTTCATGCCTGATAGACTTTATTTCTTTCTCCATATATGTATATTTCAAGTAAACTTATTTTAAAGTTCCACTCATATTGATTTATTATTTATGGTTTCTTGGGTATGGCCATTTATTGTTTGCTGATGATGTCCTATAGCATTTGATGTTTTCAAATGCTGTCTGGACTGTATCTTCAGCATGAACCATTTTTTACACCTGTGGCACATATTCTGGCTTTCAGAGACTCTTCCATGAGAATTTTCATAATTGCCTCTATTGGGGCTACAGAGAAAATCTCAGGGCCAAAGTTTTACATTTATATCTAGGCTCATTGTTTTTGCACCTTGTAGGCAGTCAGGTTAAGAATTCTGATCTCATAGTCTCAGGCAGGGCCAATTGAGAGGTTGAGGGGTTCTATTTCTTAAAGGCTATGGGTTTGAGTCAGTGATAAAGTTCTTCTAATTCCATTTCAAGGACAGAAAAGACATTTACTGGTGCCTGGCTTCTGCTAAGGGGTTCAGTTTCTGCTCCTGTGCCAAATGTGGAGCCTTGGCTTCAACTCCATCCCCCATGGAGGCTTTAAAACCTCTACCCACACAGGTATATATCTGGTTTAGTTACTTCCATGGCTAAACAGTTTCAACTTCTACTCATTGCAATGTTTCTGGTACCTGCAGGTTCTCATTCTTGCTTTTGGGCTTAGCTATGCATTTCGAATTTTGTAAAAACCATGTACATTATGCAGTATTCCTATGTGGTTTGAAAGGGAGGAGGGCTTCATGCATTCATGCAGTCTGCCATCTTGACCTGGAATCTCGTCCATTTCTTTATCAGTAGTTTCCAAGTTGCACATGGGTTTGTGCCCTAAATATTCCTTAGTATGTTACCAATTTTGAAGTTAGCATATATTTTCCCATTTAAAGACAGGGATATGGAGATTAATGAATGACAGTGTAAGCTTCACTGCTTGGACAGGTGAGCTTCAAGGTTTGAGTTTCATTAAGAGAAATCCAGGTAGCTTCAGGATGCATTCTAAACCATTCAAAATCTAGCTTTCAGTCTTTCAGGTCCAGAAATGCAATTTATTTGCACATCAATTGCAGATCCATCTCTTAGAAAGAGATTCACTCAGGCAGCAGAGTCTGAAGTGTAAAACCAGAATGCCAGTTTTAAAGTTCACCGTGGGAACGACAACTGCTGAGAAATTGGACACTTAAGAGACTTCCTGCATCACATTCTCTCCCTGGAGGCAAGCTTGGTGAGGAGCCATATAACCATTGGGAGGTCTCCCGTGGAGCACGGAACCTAAACAAAGAGGTTTTTAATTATGTGATCTTGAAAGTTTAATGGCTTCAGGGTCTGACAGCTTGCTGAGTCATGTCTGTAAGGGGGCTCTTTTGCCAATGGGACCATCACATTCAAAACCCATGTGATAAGACATCCCTTCCTCTGGACAGAGCTTAGGCAGTCACTGTCAACATTTATTTCCCTGCAAGTCTTGGATCAAGACTGGGGTATTGCAGAGTGCCCTAGGTCACCACTTGTCTTCAGGATGCCAGGCCTGTCTCTCAGACAACCAAAGGATGTTCTTTTTTTTTTTTTTCTGAGAGAGCTTACTGCACTCTCTGCACATATTTAGGCCTGCTTTGTTCAAAGCCTGGTGAATATGAAGGATTTTCAACCAGTCTTGTGTTCTCAGGACACATGTAGGCCTCTAGTCACCCTTGGGGCAGGGCTATACTCCAGGAAATTCTTGCTAAGAAAGGTAAGACCATAAACCAATAAATATCTTCTCTGCTCATATCAGAACATTTCTGAAAACCAATTTATTGAAGCAATAGTTTCCCCCTTGGGGCAAAACAGCTCTGATATGGTTTGGCTTTGTGTCCCCACCCAAATCTCATCTCGAATTGTAATCCCCGGGTGTTGAGGGAGAGAACTTGTAGGAGGTGATTGGATCATGGGGGAAGTTTCCCCCATGCTGTTCTTGTGATAGTGAGGGAATTTTCATGAGATCTGATGGTTTTATAAGTGTTTGACATTTCCTCCTGTACATGCTGTCTCTTCTCTCTCCTGCTGCCTTGTGAAGAGGTGCCTGCTTCCCCTTCCACCATAATTGTAAGTTTCCTGAGGCTTCACCAGCCATGTAGAAATGTGAGTCAATTAAATCTCTTTCCTTTATAAACTACCTAGTCTTGGGTAGTATCTTTATAGCCGTGTCAAAATGACTAATACAAATTCAATGATCAAATAACTGTATACTTATTCAGACTCTCTGCGCCCATCAATTCTAAATTATTACAACATGAATTTTTTCCCAATGCCAGTAAGATTGCCACATTGAAAGGCCCACCTGAAGTCTCTTAAGCCCAGACCCCTGAGTCTTATAAATATCTGCTTCTGACTTTTGTGGTGCTTCTGAGAGTCTCTGCTAAGACGATGCTCTCTCTGACTGCAACAGATCAATAAACCTAGTTTTGCTTCATCAACAGGTAATTCTGGTGGTCTTTTAAGGAGGTTCTGCAGTCAGGAGTGTGGTTGCTGGAAGCCAGAGTGCTGCGTGTCTATCATTATCTTCCTGTTTTCTATTGATCAGTTGGTACCTTTGGATTTGCAGACAACTGTTAACTGGGACCCAGGAGATGTCGCATTTGCTCACCCTCCTGCCCCGCCAGTTACTTTGAACCATCTTTGGTGACTCACATTTTCATTCCCCGACAATATGTTTGGTTGAGTTTTAGCCCTCACTTTTCTAATCATCTGGTTCACAGAGGCTGCAGAGTAAGTACCTATAGATCACAAACATGTCCATGACTCCTGGCTTGTGATAGGGCAGGGTGAAAACTACTGGGTGGGGGTCATAGATTCTAAAGCATGAAATCATGAGGCTCTGGACTTGGGTGTATTGGGTAACTGGAAACAGAGTCTGAGAATTGGGTAAGGGAGCATGGGATAAGGAGGTAAAGAACAGGCAAGATTGGAGCACCCCTAGGGCTTTTTGAACCTTAATGAAGATAATTTGAATAGGAAGTAGAGTGAGCCTGCTGTAACTACCTGTTGCTCTCCAAACTCAGAACAAATGACCCAAATTTTTGAAATTGAATTGATATAGCACTGGGGTGTGATTTTTCTCACCAGGGCCTTAGGGTCAGACCATTGTCTAGTGGATGGGAGTTGAATTTCCTTTGAAGGGAGCAAAGGATCGAACCTTCAATCATACTGGGAAGAGATCAGCTCTATGGCAAGAAGGGAGGAATCAGAAAGCAGACCCCGGATTTGAGGGAGAGTGTCTGCCTTGCTCTAGGGATAGAAATGAGCCTGAGGACTGTGTACAGTGGCTCATGCCTGTAATCCTAGCACTTTGGGAGGTCAAGGTGGGCAGATCAATTGAGGCCAGGAGTTTGAGACAAGCCTGGCTGACCTGGTGAAACCCCACCTCTATTAAAAAAAAAAATTAGCCAGGCATGGCTAATTTTAGCATGCACCTGTAATCCCAGTTACTTGGGAGGCTAAGGCAGGAGAATCACTTGAACCTGGGTGGTGGAGGTTGCAGTGAGCCACGATTGCACCACTGCACTCCAGCCTGGGCAACAGAACAAGACTCCATCTCCAAACAAACACAAACAAACAAACAAACAAAAAAAAAAAAAAAGAAAAGGAAAGAAAAGAAATGAGCTTGACCTGAGCTCCAGGGCTTGGGGACTCTGGACGCATTTCTACTGATGGGGCCGAGTGCTCTGGTCACAGGATAGCAAGCTACCGACAAGTCAGGATGGTTTTGGATACTCACAGTAAGCTATTATCTATGTTGCTTTCCCTGTATATTTTCCCCAAACCTTCCCCAGAGTCTCAGAAAGGCCTAGTCTCAGCTTTACTATGAAGAATTCTGTAAAAGCTCTCCCACATGCTGGAGGAAGTGTCAAAATGGAAGGGGCAGTCTCCCCACTCCTGAAGCCACATTACTGGGGAGGTCAACTGTGTTCATCCATCTCAGAAGGGTCACTGGCAGCACAGGAGCAGTGTAGGGGATTAGATACTCACAGTTGGGTGGAACATACTTACATTACGCCTCTTCATTTACAGATATGCAAATGAAGATGGATGTCTAGAGCTGCTTTACAAGTATCGACTAAAATATTGACTACCTGACTCTTCATAGAAAAAATTGCTGACACCTGGTTTATGGCTCTAAGCTTCCCAGATCTTCTCAACAGTCTTATGAGGTGATAATGTCGAGTTATTGCTTTACATATAAAAATCAGAAGCTTGGAGATGTGTGTGACTTGCCCAAGGTCACAAGGACAGGCTGTCTGCTACCACAGGTGACCTGCAAACTGGTCCATGAGACAGCTTGGAGGCTGAAGAAGGCTGCTGAGGCTGCCAGAGGTCAGAGATATTTAGCTGTAAACTCACTGTGAGGCCATGGGGCTTTGGGGTGTTGGGCAGCGTGGATCTGCTCTCCCGGCCCTTACAGGGTAGACCTCCATTGTGGTTTTCCTCAGTCCCTATCCTTGCCTGCAGGGAAGGCTGGTGCTCAGTCAGATACACACCTATAGCTCCACTGCCACTCCCTGATGAGCTTGGTTGGGAATCCCTCCTAATAAGTGGTTAACATTTTGAGCATCAACCCTTCCTGAAGTGTTAACTTGGAAGCAAGTAGTGTGAGGGGTAAATCTGGGGATACATTTTCTTTCCCAGGAGATTTCTTTTTTATTTATTTTATTATTATTATTTTTTTTGAGACAGGGTCTTGCTCTGTCACCTGGGCTGGAGTGCAGTGGCATGGTCTCAGCTCATTGTAGCCTCGATTTCCTGGGCTCAAGCCATCCTCCTACCTCAGCTTCTCAAGTAGCTAGAACTACAGGCATGCACCACTACAACCTGTTTTTTTTTTTTTTTTTTTTGTAGAGATGAGGGTCTCACATTTTTTCCCAGCCTGGTCTTGAACTCCTGGGTTCAAATGATTCTCCTGCCTCAGCCTCCCCAAGTGCTGGGATTACAGGCATGAGTTACCGTGCCTGGCTCCAAGAGATTTCTTAAAGGAATAAATGGTCAGGCTGGTGGGACCTTTCTGGAGTGGTGGGAGCCCCCAGTAGGACCCTCTGAGTTTTCCCTCCCTCACTGCACCTACTCTTCCCCTATTTTTATTATTTATTTATTTATTTATTTATTTATTTATTTATTTATTTATTTATTTTGAGATGGAGTCTCACTCTGTCACCCAGTCTGGAGTGCAGGGGTGTGATCTCAGCTCGCTACAACCTCCACCTCCCAGGTTCAAGCAATTCTCGTGCCTCAGCCTCCTGAGTGGCTGGGATTACAGGCGTGCGCCACCACACTTGGCTAATTTTTGTATTTTTAGTGAGACATGGGGTTTCACCATGTTGCCTAGGCTGGTCTCAAACTCCTGACCTCAAGTGATCTGCCTGCCTTTGCTTCCTGAAGTGCTGAGATTACAGGCGTGAGCCACCGTGCCTGGCCTCCTCCTCTCTTTAGCCATGGCCACCTTTGGTTGAGACAGAGGGCAGGACTCCTTCCTGACCATGCAGAAAAAAAAGAATGCATGCTAATCCTCAGGGAGATTGACGGGCCCAGGAATATCACTGGCCAGAATAAGATGGTAACTCCCAGTGCACTTGCCTTTGCCATCTACCTAGACCAGGTGATATGGTTTGGCTCTGTGTCCCCACCCAAATCTCACTTCGAATTGTAATAATCCCCACATGTCATGGGAGGGATCTGTGGGAAGTCATTGAATCATGGGTGCAGATTTTTCCCAAGCTGTTCTTGTGATAGTGAATAAGTCTCAGGAGAGCTGATGGTTTTATAAAAGGGCAGCTCTCCTGCACATGCCCTCTTGCCTGCCACCATGTAAGATGTGTCTTGCTTCACCTTCGCCTTCCACCATGATTGTGAGGCCTCCCCAGCCATGTGGAACTGTGAGTCCATTAAAGCTCTTTCCTTTATAAATTACCCAGTCTCAGGTATGTCTTTATTAGCAATGTGAAAATAGACTAATACACCAAGTGAACTAAAGGCCTGGATGTACAGATGACACTGGACATATCACCTTCCTAGGGGGCTGCCATGGAAACCCTGGGCATCCCAGGCTACCAGCCAGGCTATAAGCTTATTCACATTAACCCAAACTCCTCATCAGCTTCCCTGTATCACTGCCCACCACTTCCAAAAGTCCTCATTGAGCCATATAAACAGATTAAACTGATTAAACATACTTCCCCAAGAGTCCATTGGGTGTGATTTTTCTGTGACCTCTCTGGCAAGCACCAGCATCTGTAATTGTGTAGGCACCATGCCAACACAGACACGTGATTGTAAGAATTGAGTGTGTTCTTAGTCTTTGATAATGAAAATCTTAGCATTTTCACAAAGTATGAAATTAAAAGGTGTTATCTCTTTGGAGCCTGACATGAGACACAAAAGTGTTTATAAGAATTGCGCAAACTGGGACATGCTTTGACAAAATCTGCTTAATTCTTCCAAAATTGGTGTTTAGATAGGGACAGCAACATGTTTTTTCCCCACAAAGCTCTATTATTACTCTCATTATGTGTTTTATCTTAGAATAAAGAGAATGCATTTGCAAAGAAAGATGTGTGTAAGTAAATAAAATATTTAAAATTAGGATTTTTCTTATTACTAGCTTATTTCTGTAGAACAAAGTAGGCTACATTAGATATAGCTGGTTATGATGTAAATTTCTTCAAGATAGTGCAGTAGATTGCAAAAATGGCTACAAATTCTTCTCATCCCTGCATCTATGTCATCCTCACATCGACACTGTGATTGGCTTTGGCCAATGGGATGTTGGCTAATGAGATGCAAGCAGAAGCTTGACTAGTGCTTGCACATTGGAGATTGTCCTCTCTTGGGAAAGTGTGACTACTAGCTTGTGAAATAGCCCAGGTTAGCCTGTTGGATCATGAGAGACACATAGTGCTGTAACCCTGGTCACCTCAGCTGATAGCCAGCCAATTATCAGGCATGGGAGTGAGATCATCATCAGCCAGTTGAACTCAGAGCTCATTCAAGACCAGCAGAACTTTGTTATGCCTTCCTGAAGCTTAGACGTGATGTAGGAGGTACAGCAGCCATATTGTGTCCATGAGGCAAGAAGCACTCACTAAGGCATGACTGAGCAGAAAGGTAAGCAGAAACTAGGGCCTCTGATGGCATCACAGAGCTATAGCACCAGCCCCAGAAAGCCTACCTCTTCACTCCTAGTTGTATGAGAAAAAGAAAATGTAATTTTATTCTGCCCGTATAGATTGGATCTCTGTTGCATGCAACCAGTATTATTCCTAACTGAAAGATTGGTTAATTAAAAAAATAGTTTTCCCTGAAGAAGCTTCTATAGGAGCACTTTCTCCCATCTCTCCACTAATTAGGACAAAGAAAAGGAGACTGGGAGCTCTGAGGACCCACAGACAGAGAGGCTTTCTAGGTTGATCAATAAAATCTAAAGGGTGGCCGGACATGGTGGTTCACGCCTGTAATCCCAGCACTTTGGGAGGCCGTGGCAGACTGATCACCTGAGCTCAGGAGTTTGAAACCAGACTGGCCAACATGGTGAAACCCTGTCTCTACTAAAAATACAAAAATTAGCTGGGCGTGGTGGTGCACACCTGTAGTCCCAACTACTAGGGAGGCTGAGGCAGGAGAATTGCTTGAACCGGGGAGGCGGAGGTTGCAGTGAGCCAAGATTGTGCCACTGCACTCCAGCCTGGGCAACAGAGGGAGACTCCGTTTCAAAAAAAAAAAAAAAAAATCTAAAGGGCTTTTACGGTTGAGCAGAAAGACAATGATCAGAAAGTGAGTTACTTAATTCTAGTAATAAACGGGGGAAAAAAGGTAGAAGCAATTAATGATGAAGAGTTAGGAGGTGGACTAAGCTACCTTGGGGGATACCTTGAATCTACATTTTTACCTATATTTTCTTCGTGCCCTTTTTATGATTCCGTGGTCCATGCCACGGATTGATAAAGAAGCATCTTAGCTACCGATAACCCAACCCCAGTGTAGGAAGGGATAAGTTCATCTAAAATTACCTACAATGGCCGTGTGCAGTGTCTCATGCCAGTCATCTCAGCATGTTGGGAAGCTGAGGTGGGAAGACGGCTTTAGTCTAGGAGTTCAAGACCAGCTTGGGCAACATAACAAGACTCCCATCTCTACCAAAAAAAAAAATTAGCCAGGAATGGAGGTGTGTGCCTGTGGCCCTAGCTACTCGAGAGGCTGAAGTGGGAGGATTAGTTGATTCCAGGAGGTGGAGGTTACAGTGAGCCATCATGGCACCACTGCACTCCAGCCTGGGCAACAGAGTAACACCCTGTCTCAAAAAAATTAAGATTAAAAAAACTCCTACATGAAGGTAATCTTAAATGAATGAATGATACCATAATAAATGGGCTTACCAGACTGAAATGGGCAGGAGTCAGCTAGATTCTTGCCTCTGGTTTGTGGAGTTGAGGCTTGTCTTCTCTAATTGGAGAGTTCCTGGCCTGTAAAAGCTGCGCTCATTTGCCCCAGGACTGTCAGTGAGTAAACATCAAGCGTGAAATGCCTCTTTCCCTGGTGTCAGCCTGGATTCCAGCAGCACGATTTGCAAACACCTGAGCTTCTGGCCTTTGCCTTCTGTTCCCTCTTCTCTCCCTGCCTTCAATAAGCCAGCTCCTTCCCTTTGCCTTTCATTTCCTAAAACACAGTCTCCTTTCACTGCCATGCCCCTGTGATTTACTGCGTGAGAGCATCCCAGTGAAGCAAGTAAGACATCCTTCATTTTCATACCTGACATATGAAGAGCCATAAAATAAGTCTCTGAAGTCAGACTCAAGGGCCTCTTGATTAGGAGTTAAATTGCAGATATAATTTACTCAATTGGAGCTTGAGGAAACAAGGGATGTTGAAGATAATGTGATCGGCACACTCACGTTTCTGCCTCTATCTTGTGTCCAGATACCTGAGGAACTGGTGTGGAGAAGATGAAACGTCTGAACTTGGGCGTGGATTGGGGAGGAGCTGAAGATGGCAGGAACTGGCTCACCTGGGGTTTACTTTAGGGAAATATGAGTTGGGAAGCTCTTCTAAGGTCAGTTTTGATTAAGTGAAATCAGCAGAATAAGGGTGAGATCAAAGATATTGGAGGCAGGTGGAGAGCATCTTGAAAGAAATAGGAATCCAGCTTCAAGAGTTCTGGGCTTCACTTTGCCACAGATGAGCTGCGGGAATCCTGCACAAGGATTAATGAATGGGTCTCAGTCTCTTGACCTACAAAACAACATGGGGCTGAATTACATGACGATCATTTTGACTGACTTATGAAAGAATGAGAGGTAAGGAGGAAGAGCCAGCCAGTATAAAGGATTTTTTTTTTTTCTTGAGACAGGTTCTCACTCTGTTGCTCAGACTGGAGTACAGTGGTGCCATCTCTGCTCACTGCAATCTCCACCTCCCAAGTTCAAGTAATTCTGCTTCAGCCTCCCCAGTAGCTGAGACTACAGGCACACACCACCACGCCCAGCTAATTTTTTTTTTTTTTTTTTTTGAGATGGAGTCTCGCTCTGTCGCCCAGGCTGGAGTGCAGTGGCGCGATCTCGGCTCACTGCAAACTGCCTCCCGGGTTCACGCCATTCTCCTGCCTCAGCATCCCGAGTAGCTGGGACTACAGGCGTCCGCTACCACGCCTGGCTAATTTTTTGTATTTTTAGTAGAGACAGGGTTTCACCGTGTTAGCCAGGATGGCCTCGATCTCCTGACGTCGTGATCTGCCCGTGTCGGCCTCCCAAAGTGCTGGGATTACGGGCGTGAGCCACCGCGCCCGGCCCTCAAGCCCAGCTAATTTTTGTATTTTTAGTAGAGATGGGTTTTTGCCATGTTGGCCAGGCTGGTCTCAAACTCCTGACCTCAGGTGATCTGCCCGCCTCTACCTCCCAAACTGCTGGGATTACAGGCATAAGCCACTGTGCTCAGTCAAATTTTATCATGAAGAGTAGCTGAGAATGGGCCAAGAGTTGGTGGGAAATGTGGAATCAGGATAGGGTATCTTTAAATTGAAGATAATGAAACATGTTTCTATGATTTAGGACAGAGGTATCAATTGAAGCTACAGAAAGATAGAGGGTAACTGTGTTAGCCTGTTCTTGCATTGGTACAAAGAAATACCTGAGACTGGGTAACTTGAAAAGAGGTTTCATTGGCTCATGGTTCTGCAGGCTGTGTATGAAACATAGGGGCATCTGTGTCTGGGAGACCTCAAGAAGTTTCCAGTTATTGCGGAAGGCAAAGGCGGAGCAGGTACATCACATGGTGAAGGCAGAAGAGAGAGAGATAGAGAGAGAGGGAGAGAGACAGAGAGGTGGGGGTGCCCCACACTTATTTTATTTTTTTATTATTTTTTTGAGATGGAGTCTTGCTCTGTTGGCCAGGCTGGAGTGCAATGGCATTATCTCAGCTCAGCCTCCTGCCTCAGCCTCCTGAGTAGCTGGGATTACAGGTGCCTGCCACCACGCCCAGCTAGTTTTTGTATATTTAGTAGAGGTGGGGTTTTGCCATGTTGGCCAGGCTGGTCTTGAACTCCTGACTTCAGGTGCTTCACCCGCCTCAGCCCCCACTAAGTGCTAGGATTACAGGTATGAGCCACTGTGCCCGGCCAGAACTCACTTATCACCAAGCAGATGGCCCATGCCATTCATGAGCAATCCAACCTCATGATCTAACACCTCCCACCAGGCCCACCTCCAACATTGGGGATTACAATTCAACATGAGATTTGGGTGGGGACAAGCATCCAAACTATATCAGTGACTGTAGTAATAAAGTCATTGAGTGGGTGAAAGGGAAGGGAAGGTAGGGCTCAAGTGGCTTTTGATAGCATCAGCAACAATTCATCCCCTGTCACCGAATGAGTGGCAGAATATATGGGCATGAGTTTCAGGAGACAGCTGGACTTGATCACAGGAGAGGGAAGTTGTTCTTATCTGATAGCTCCTATTTAGCAAAAACCACAAGGTGATGCAGTCAGCCCAAGTGGTAGGAGGTATTTTGGAGGTTTGACAAAGAAGGAGTCGTGATGGCATCTCAGAAAGTGAGAAGGGGGAATTGATAGGATATAGGCAGGATCGTTGGTCTGTGTTTAGCACTGATTTGAAATACCTGGTCACATTTTCTTAATCCAGTCTATCATTGATGGACATTTGGGTTGGTTCCAAGTCTTTGCTATTGTGAATGGCACTGCAATAAACATGCATGTGAGAAGTTGATGGGTGCAGCAAACCAACATGGCACATGTATACCTATGTAACAAACCTGCACGTTGTGCACATGTACCCTAGAACTTAAAGCATAATAATAAAAAAAAGAAACACATGATCACAAATTTAAAGTGAGATCAGTTAGCATAATTGTGGCATTTCTTTTCTAGCAGTGCTCAGCTGCCTAAGGACAGGCACAAGAGAGGTGAATGGTTGAATTCAATGAGAAATGGCATCTGCCAGTTGAGCAGCTTTGCCATGGGAGATGGACAGAAGAGGCGTTCGCAAAGGAGCTATTATACTGAGGAACACGTGGAATGTAAACTGTGTAGAGGGAAGTGAGGACCTGAGAAAGGTGACAGATGATGAAAAAGTAGTAGAATGAATGGATCACCAGTCTCCAAAGATATCAAAGTGTTGGTAGCCTGGGATTTTAAAGTAGATGGGTTGGACAGTGGTGGTCAGGAAAGTGTACCTAGATGGGAATTTGAACTTCTTCCTTCATGGTTCATTTTGCAGGTGGAAGATGGGTGCTCGTGAGTCTAAGGAAGTGGGTTCAGTCCTGTTGAGGTACAGTCAGCTATGCCCTTTCTTTCTTGGTTTTACAATATTTACATACCTTGGGTGAATAAATGGACAAGAGGATGGATCAGTGAAGCCCATTCTTACTATTGCAAAGGAAAGTCAAATCACACATGCTGGCCGGCCGTGTTGGTTCACGCCTGTAATCCCAACCGTTTGGGAGGCTGAGGTGGGTGGATCATCTGAGGTCAGGAGTTCGAGACCAGCCTGGCCAACATGGTGAAACTCCATCTCTAGTAAAAATACAGAAATTAGGTGGGTGTGGTAGTGAGCACCCCTAGTAGGGAGGCTGAGGCAGGAGAATCGCTTGAACCTGGGAGGCAGAGGTTGCAGTGAGCCGAGATTTTGCCATTGCACTCCAGCCTGAGAAAAAAAAAATAAAGAAAAAAATCACACATGCCATTCACCAAATCCAGCAATAGTATATGCTGTCATGTAGATGTGTTTTTAAAAGGTTTATTTTTGTTGGGTTAAGTGGAGAATCATTGGTTTTCTCCATGCTCTTCTTATGATTCCCTGTTCCATAGCACTGATTGATAAAGCAAGCGTCTTACCTATAACCCAAGCCCAGGGTAGGGAGGGGTGCTCCCTACACTGATGCTTTATATTCAAAATACTCTTTATATTCAAAATACCTTGTAGACACATCTTAATTTCCAATTATTATAAATTTATATGCCAAATACTATTAATATAAATATGCATGACTAACCAGCATGGGCTTCAGAGTTAACCTTCAGCAAACTAAACTGATAACTATGGACCCATACTAATGTGGGTAATGTATAAAATTATGATTTAGAATTTAAAAAATAGCAGCAACTGAAAACTACAATTAACTCAAAACAGGATTATGGTCACACAGAAACACACATGCACACACACACGTGCACACTCAAAGGTCCTTTCCTAAAATTGTTAGGTTGGAGGAGAATGGATGGATGGCTCACCACCACTCTGTGTGTCTGAAGATGTTGTATTTTCCAAAAATGCACAATGCAATATTTCTGATCCCTGAACTTTGCAACTGCCTGACCAATACAATGTGGGAGAAATTATGTTATGGGACTTCCAAGATTAGGTCATAAAAGGTGGTGTGAGCCTGGCTGTCTTCTCTCAGGATTCTTGCCCAGGAAACCGCAATAGAATGTGGAAGAAATGGGCTGGGTGTGGTGGCTCACGCCTGTAATCCCAGCACCTTGGGAGGCGGAGGTGGGCAAATCACCTGAAGTCAGGAGTTCAAGACCAACCTGGCCAACACGGTGAAATTTCATCTCTATTAAAATACAAAAATTAGCCGGGCGTGGTGGCAGGAACCTGTAATCCAAGCTACTTGGGAGGCTGAGGCAGGAGAATTGCTTGGACCCGGGAGGTGGAGGTTGCAGTGAGCTGAGATGGCGCCACTGCACTCAAGGCTAAGTGACAGAGCGAGACACTCCCGTCTCAAAAAAAAAAAAAAATGTGGGAGAAATGATGTCATGTGACTTCCAAGATTAGGTCATAAAAGGTGATGTGAGCCTGGCTCTCTCTCTCAGGATTCTTGCCCCTGGAACCCAGCCACTGTGCTATGAAGGAAGCCCCCAGGCAACAAGGAGATGCCACGTGGACATCTTCCAGCCAGAAGCTCCAGCTGAGGTCTCAGCCAGGAGCCAGCATCAGTTACCAGACATATGAGTGAACAGGTATTTAGGTAATTCCAGCCACCAGTCTCCAAGCCAACCCTGCTGATGCTGAATGGAACAGAGGCAAACTAATCTCACTTAGTCCTGCCTAAATTACAGAGTTGTGAGCAAAATAAGGGTTGTCATTTGCTTTAAGCCACTAAATTTGGGGGTAATTTGGAACACATTCATATTAGAAGCTTTGCAGTGTTGTACTGGTTTGAATGGCAAACACATTTTCTGATAGAGTACTGAATTAGAATCTTCAGAAAATGTCAATATTTTGAACTAATTTTAGTTTACAACTTATTTGTGACAAACATCAAAATTATCTTCAGAGATAAGTATCTAGAAAGTAGACTTCCCATGTATATAAAAATGAGTATCTGTCAAATTGAAAGCCATTTTCCATTAAAACCCATAGAAAGAACTCCAGCAGTGAGGACCACAGCTCCGGAAGCCACCATGTAAAACCCACAGTAGGGAGCTTCTGTGTGAGATTGAAGAGAATGTAGTGATTATGGTGCTTTTTTTCTTCTTTTTTTGAGACGGAGTCTGCCTCTGTCACTCAGGCTAGAGTGCAGTGGCACGAACTCGGCTCACTGCAGCCTCTGCCTCCTGGATTCAAGCAGTTCTCCTGCCTCAGACTCCCGAGTAGCTGGGATTACAGGTGCACGCCACCACACCTGGCTAATTTTTGTATTTTTAGAAGAGACTATTTTGGCCAGGCTGGTCTTGAACTCCTGACCTCAAGTGATCCACCCGCCTCAGTCTCCCAAAGTGCTGGGATTACACACATGAGCCACCATGCCTGGCCCATCCAATGTTATGTTTTGAGATTTTTCCAGGTTGGTTTGTCTAGTTGTAGCTTATGTGTTAATCTCTGTATGATATTCTATTCTACAATAAATTTTAGTTAGTTCACCTATTCCCCTATTGGTGAGTGTTTATTTCAAAAGTCTCATTTTCATGTAAGTTGATATATGAAAATACTTCCATTTCTTTATGCCTGTGTGTGAGAATTCTTCTGAAAAATACACTTACAGATGGTGGTATGGTATTGTACGGATCACCGATCTTTAACTTTAGTGGGTACCACCGAAGTGGCTGTGCCAGTTAACACTCCACTAGTGGTTTTGAGAATACCTTTTTCTCAGTTTTCCTACTTTCATCTTTGTCAGATCACTAGGTGTGAAGTTGTATCCTATTATTCTTTCTTTTTTTTCTTTTGAAGCGGAGTTTTGCTCTTGTTTCCCAGGCTGGAGTGCAATGGCATGATCTCGGCTCACTGCAACCTCCGCCTCCTGGGTTCAAATGATTCTCCTGCCTCAGCCTCCTGAGTAGCTGGGATTACAGGTGCCCACTACCATGCCTGGCTGATTTTTTGTATTTTTAGTAGAGACGGGGTTTCACCATATTGGCCAGGCTGGTCTCGAACTCCTGACCTCAGGTGATCCACCCTCCTCGGCCTCCTAAAGTGCTGGGACTACAGGTGTGAGCCACCACACCGGCCTTTTTTTTTTTTTTTTTTTTTTTTAAGACAGAGTCTTGCTCCGTCACTCAGGCTGGAGTTCAGTGGGGCAATCTTGGCTCACTGCAACCTCTGCCTCCCGGTTTCAAGCAACTCTCCTGCCTCAGCCTCCTGAGTAGCTGGGATTAGAGGCAAGCACCACTACGCCCAGCTAATTTTTGTATTTTTAGTAGAGAGAGGGTTTCACCATGTTGGCCAGGCTGGTCTCAAACCCCTGACCTCAGGTGATCAGCCCGCCTTGGCCACCCCAAGTGCTAGGATTACAGGCGTGAGCCACAGCACCCGGCCTCCTATTATTATTTTCATTTGCAATTCCCTGATGACTAGTAGGTCTAAGCACTTTATTTTTTTCATATTTATGAGCCATGTGGCTTTTCTTCTTTTGGGAACTATCCATCCATATTGGGTTAATTATATTTTTCTATTGATTTTTGGAACTAATTTATGTAATCTTGACAATCTTTTGTATCTTTGTTGCTAATATCTTCTGCTTTGCTGGTTAACATTCCTGTTTTGCTTTTCATCTCTTAGAAGGAAGTTTGAAGCATTAGCGAGATCAAATCTATCAAAGATTTAGCTTGTGATTTTTGCCTTTTGGGACTAATGAAGAAATCCTTTCCTACCCTTAAGACATATAATTTTTAAAAAGATTATTTTTATTTTCTTTTATATGAATAACAATAGTATTTCTTTTTTTTTTTTTTTTTGAGACGGAGTCTTGCTCTGTCGCCCAGGCTGGAGTGCAGTGGCGCGATCTCGGCTCACTGCAAGCCCTGCCTCCTGGGTTCACGCCATTCTCCTGCCTCAGCCTCCCTAGTAGCTGGGACTACAGGCGCCCGCCATCATGCCTGGCTAATTTTTTGTATTTTTAGTAGAGATGGGGTTTTACTGTTTTAGCCAGGATGGTCTCGATCTCCTGACCTCGTGATCCGCCTGCCTCGGCCTCCCAAAGTGCTGGGATTACAGGCGTGAGCCACCGCGCCCGGCCCAACAATAGTATTTCTTTCCCTTGCTGTTTTATGACGCAAATTGTGCCCTATGACAAGCTCTTCTTGAAGCAGGGCTGTGTTTATGAGCGATTTGCCTATTTATGTATCAATATTTTGTATCCCAGTAAATACTTTTTTGTGACAGTATGTTGCTCTGTCACTCAGGCTGGAGTGCAGTGGTGCAGTCATAGCTCACTGTAGCCTCAAACTCCTAGCCTCAAGCAATCCTCCCACCTCAGCCTCCCAAGTAGCTGGGACCAGAGGTACATGCTACCATGCCCTGCTAATTTTTGTAATTTTTGTAGAGATGGGGTCTCCTCATGTTGCCCAGGGTGCTTTCAAACTCTTGAGCTCTGGTGATCCACCTGCCTCGGCCTTCCAAAGGGCTGGGATTACAGGTACGAGCTACCTTGCCCAGCCCTAATAAGTAGTTTTTAAAAACATTTCAGGGCCAGGTGCGGTGGCTCCTGCCTGTAATCCCAGCACTTTGGGAGGCAGAGGCAGGTGGATCACCTGAGGTCAGGAGTTCGAGACCAGCCTGACCAACATGGTGAAACCCCGTCTCTATGAAAAAAACAAAAAATTAGCCATGTATGGCTGTAGCCATCTGTAATCCCAACTCCTCCAGAGGCTGAGTGAGGCAGGGGAATCACTTGAACCCGGGAGGTGGAGGTTGCAGTGAGCCAAGGTCGCGCCACTGCACTCCAGCCTGGGTTAAAAGAACAAAACTCCATTAAAAAAAAAAAATTCAGGCCAGGCGTGGTGGCTCATGCCTATAATCCCAGCACTTTGGGAGGCCAAGGCGGGTAGATCATGAGGTCAGGAGATCGAGAGCAGCGTGGCCAATATGGTGAAACCCCGTCTCTACTAAAAAAACTAAAATATTAGCTGGGCATGGTGGCGCATGCCTGTAATCCCAGCTACTTGGGAGGCTGAGGCAGGAGAATTGCTGGAATCCAGGAGGCAGAGGTTGCAGTGAGTCGAGATCGCACCACTGCACTACAGCCTGGGCGTTCGTCTCAAAACAAAAAACAAAAAGCATTTCAATATCTTGACTAGGACCTCTGCATTACTAAATCTACTGGGCAATTCCCACTGTGTCCCTTCTTAATGTATCAAGAACAAGTGACACAGTTAATCCCTGCCTCCTTCTTGAGGCCCTTTTCTCATTCGGATTCCATGACCCAGAAATCTGGTTTTCTCTGTCTCACTGTCTCCTCCTCCCCCATCTCCACTGCAGGACTGGATTCCTTTGGCCAATCTTTTGCTGTTTCAGAGCCCCAGGCTTCCCTCTTCAGATGTCTTCCCTTTTCTATCTACACTTACTTACAACTTGCCTGATCACATTCTGTCCAATGGCTCAGAAATCATATATCAGTTAATAACTTCACATTTATTTTCTTGGATTTGACCTCAGTTGGATATCTAATAAATCGTCACCTCCTTTCCTGCTATTGCTATGGAAATTATATATATATATATATATATATATATATATATATATATTCTGATCTGGAAGAAGTAACTCCAAAAGTTTTTGTTTGTTTGTTTGTTTGTTTGTTTGTTTTTGTGATGGAGTCTTGCTCTGTCACCCAGGCTGGAGTGCAATGGCACAATCTCAGCTCACCGCAACCTCCGCCACCCGGGTTTGAGCAATTCTCCTGCCTCAGCCTCCCGACTAGCTGGGATTACAGGCACCCCCCACCATGCCCAGCTAATTTTTGTATTTTTAGTAGAGATGGGGTTTCACCATGTTAGCCAGACTGGTCTTGAACTCCTGACCTCAGGTGATCCACCCACCTCGGCTTCCCAAAGTGCTGGGATTACGGGTGTGAGCCACCATGTCCAGCCTCCAAAAGTTTTTAATAGGCATATCTAATAGAGTGTAAAGTTAATCAATATTTTTTTTCTCCTTCCAAAAAGTACAAGATATTTAAAACTTTTGTTGATACCATTTAGGGCATCCACTGACCTGCAAAGGTTTTTTTTAACTTGAAATCCATTCTCCCTCATTTTTACTTCTATTTAATTATCAAGTATTTTTGTTCCACATTGCTTTAACCTCTTCCCCATTTTAAACATTATTATTTTTTATTACTGTAAATACTTAGACATCAACATATCTACCTTCGTGTGTGTGTGTGTATGGGGAAAAACTTATTATTTCTTCTTTCACCTCATACCTTCCTTCTGAGTTCAATTTCATTTTTACTAAAGTACATTTTTTTGTAGTTCTTTCGATGAGGGTATGGGATCTTGGCTGGGCGTGGTGGCTCACACCTGTAATTCCAGCATTTTGGGAGGCCGAGGTGGGTGGATCGCCTGAGGTCAGGAGTTTGATACCAGCCTGGCCAACATGGTGAAACCCTGTTTCTACTAAAAATACAAAAATTAGCTGGGCGTGGTGGTGGGCACCTGTAGTCCCAGCTACTTGGGGGGCTGAGGCACGAGAATTGTTTGAACCCAGGAGGCAGCAGTTGCAGTGAGCTGAGACTGTGCTATTGCACTCCAACCTGGGCAACAAGAGTAAAACTCTGTCTCAAAATATATATATATATTTTGTATATATATATGTATGTGTATATATATATATCATATATATATGTATGTGTATATATATATCATATATATATGTATGTGTATATATATATATATCATATATATATATAAATCTGATTCTATTGGTAAACGTCTTTCTGTTCTCTTCATTGTTAAAAATAGTTCATCTGGATGCAGACTTCTAGGCCAACAGTTATTTTTCCCTCAGCATTCTCTTTTCTTTTTCTTTTTTTTTGTTTTTGAGGCAGGGTCTCACTCTTGTCACCCAGGCTGGAATGCAATGGCGTGATCTTGGCTCACTGCAATCTCTGCCTCCTGGGTTCAAGCAATTATCCTCCCTCAGCCTCCCAAATAGCTGGGATTACAGGCGAGCACCACCACGCCTGGCTAATTTTTGTATTTTTAGTAGAGATGGGGTTTCAACATTGCGGCCACGCTGGTCTCGAATCCCTCAGCATTTTCAAACTACTATTCCATGGTTTTCTGGTATATGTTAATGAGAAGACTGAACTATTTATAATTCAGTATAGTTTTCCTTTTAAATCACTTTTAGTTTTTTTTTCTTTTTTAGATGCATTTGATTTTTGTTTAACTCTATCTGGATGTTGGGATTTGTGATTTTTCTTTAAAAATTTTTTTTTAACTTAATGACAACGTGCCTAGGCGAAGATCTTTTTGAGATGAATTTCCCAGGTGTTCTTCATGCTTCTCGTATTTGGATGTCTAGGTGTCTAGCAAGGCTGGGGAAAATTTCCTCTATTATTCCCCAAATATGTTTTCCAAGCTTTTAGAATTGTCTTCCTCAGGAACACCAATTATTCTTAGGTTTGGTCTTTTAACATAATCCCAAACTTCTTGGAAGCTTGGTTCCTGTTTTCTTGTTCTTTTTTCTTTGTCTTTGTTGGATTGGGTTAATTTGAAGACCTTATCTTCGAGCTCTGAATTTCTTCTACTTGTTCAATTCTATTGCTGAGACTTTCCAGGGCATTTCACATTGCTAAAAGTGTGTCCAGAGTTGCCTGAATTTTTGATTGTTTTTTCTTTAAGCTATCTATTTCCTTGACTATTTCACCCTTCACTTCTGTACCATTTTTTGGATTTCCTTGCATTGAGCTTTGCCTTTCTCTGGTCCCTCTCTGATTAGCTTAATAACTAACCTCCTGAATTCTTCTTCAGGTAAATTGAGGATTTATTCTCAGTTTGGATCCATAGCTGGTGAACTAGTGTGATTTTTGGGGGGTGTTGACGAGCCTTGTTTTGTCTTGTGTTCTCACTGATATATGGGAGCTAAGATCTGAGGACGCAAAGGCATAAGGATGATACAATGGACTTCGGGGACTTGGGGAGAAGAGTGGGAGTGGGTAAGAGATAAAAGACAACAAATATGGTGCAGTGTATACCGCTCAGGTGATGAGTGGACTACAGTCTCACAAATCACCATTAAAAAACTTACTTATATAACCAAATACCACCTGTACCCCAATAACTTATGGAAAAATAAAATAAAATTTTTATTTCCATAGGTTATTGGGGTACAGGTGGTATTTTGTTGCATTAGTAAGTTCTTTAGTGGTGATTTGTGAGATTTTGGTTCACCCATCACCTGAGCAATATACACTGAACCCCCGCATGTCTTGGCTCAATTCTAGAACATTTTCAATTGTAAATCTTTTTAATGTTGCCTTCCACTTCTTGTTTTTGCCTTCTAGAACTCCAAATCACCTTTGCAAAAATCATAACTGAGGAAATTATGACAGTGAAAGAGATCAGACCTAACCGACCCCATCTTGCTTCCAACCTCTAAACTCTCTTTGTTCATTCCTAGGCATAGGCTGAACTAGCCTTGGGAAGAAATTTATAGTTTAAACTCTGAAAAAAATTGATAATAGCCCTTTCTCAAAAAATCCCTTCTTGCCTGGGGACCAGACTGCCTTTGCAGGACTAACAAATTAGCTACAAGATTAGAAATTACAGTTTAGGGGCCATGTGGCATCCCCTGCCTCCAAGAATCTGAACCTCCCCAAATTATTGCTGGGAATAACATCACTATTATAAAACCTAAGGTCAGTGCTTGAGATATTGTACAGACCCTGCACTGGATGGATCAGGTGACACTACCCAGACAGGTAATCTGGCTCAACCAGTTCTGCAATCCCACACAGGAACAGAAGACAGCAAGAAAAACTCACTTCAACCCCCTATGATTCCATCTCCTACTTGATCTATCAGCACTGCCCACTTCCCAAGCCCCTACCTGCCAAATTATCTTTAAAAACTTTGATCCTTGAATGCTTGGGGAGACTGATTTGAGTAATAATAAAATTCTGGTTCTCCTGCATGGCCAGCTCTGTGTGTATTACTCTTTCTCCATTGCAATTCCCCTGTCTTGATAAATTGACTCTGTCTAGGCAGTGGGCAAGGTGCCTAGAATTTGTAACCCACTGGGTGGTTACAAATGTTTGTTAATGTTTGTTAGCTGTCATTTCTTTTATGCCATCCTCTATCACTCTTTCTCTTTCATATTTTTCATCTATCTGTTTTATAGGTACATTCCGATGATTTCCCCAAATCTCTCTTCCAGTTCACCAATTCTTGCTACAGTTAAACATTTTTTTTTGATCCCATGTTTAAGCTAACCACTGAGTTTTAGATGCTTGTGGTTTTTTTTCTTTCTTGCATTTCTAGGAAGTCCTATTAGCTCCTTTTCAAATCTGCCTCTTCCTTTTTCATATAGATCTGTTCTTCTTCAAGCTTTCTTTGTAAACTGTTAACACTTCAGTAATTTTACATCTATCTATCTCACGTTTTCTTTCTTATCATTCCTTTATATGCAGTTTTTTAGGAGCCAAATGTGTTTGTAGTATCTGCTCATTCTTCTTCAGTGTGGTTCATTTTTCTTATATTTTGGTAGTTTTGTGCCATACATTCATATTATTCAGGAATGACTTCTTTTTCGGGGGAGCCTTTGTGCTCTGGCTTGTACACTTTTATTTGGAGCAGTTATATATTCCTTTTGTTGATGCCATTTGGGGGCTCCACTGACCTGCAAAGGATGTGAAACATTTGGTGTGTAGTTCCTTTATTTCTCAAATAATGTAATTTGGACTTCATACCTTCATGGAACTTGCCTGAAACTTGGATATTTTGTAGGTAACTATCTTTCTAAAAGATTTGATAGACAGTAAACTTCCTTCAGCCTCTTTTAGGAAGGTCGATGTGTTACAGGAAAGGGCCCCCCACCCCAAGACAGGCTACTTGGATCTCCTGCAAGAAAGAATTTAAGGCAAGTCCATAGAGTAAAGTGAAAGCAAGTTTATTACGAAACTAAAGGAATAAAACAATGGCTATTCCATAGACAGAGCAGCAACCATAAAATGGTTGCCCATTTTTATGGTTATTTCTTGATGATATGCTAAACAAAGGATGGATTATTCGTGCCTCCCCTTATTTTAGGCCATATAGGGTGACTTCCTGACATTGCCATGGCATTTGTAAACTGTCATGGCGCTGGTGGGAGTGTAGCAGTGAGGATGCACCATCTTGGTTTTGGTGGATTTTGGCCAGCTTCTTTACTGAAACCTGTTTTATCAGCAAGGTCTTTATGACCCGTATCTTGTGCTGACCTCCTATCTCATCCTGTGACTTAGAATGCCTTAATCGTCTGGGAACACAGCCCAGTAGGTCTCAGCCTCATTTTACCTAGCTTCTATTCAGGATGGAGTTGCTCTGGTTCAAATGCCTCTGACAGATGGAAATTATCGATTTCCTGTTTAAGGATGAAACAGTCCTTGAAATCACTGAACATCATGCAAATAATTTAGTTTCAATCCCCTACTTTTCTCAGCCCCAAGCCCACGTTTCCTTACCCCATGGAGGAGGATTTAGAAGCCAAGCCACTGGGACCTATAATCTGGGAAAAAAGCCAAGTGGCTCCCCATGAAGTCAACTTGGTTTTCCATTCTGTTATTAATTTTTCTTACTGCATTTTGCGATTGAGGATTTTGCCTTCTTGGTTTTGAACTCACCTCTGCATTACATGGTTTTGAAGTTAGATTGCATCCAAAATGTCTGTTTGTTTTGGCAAGGGTGGGGCCGGCCTGTGTCAGCTCCATGTGCCTATTGCCAAAGCCATCTCGGTCATGTTTACATTTTCATTTGCAGATTGCCAACACAGCATTAATCACCAGCTACTTGGAAAGAGAGCCTGAGGCTTTCACAAAAGTTAAAATAAAATCAACCAACCAAGCAAACAAACAAGAAAAAACGTTCAAGCCAGTTTGTTGGTTAAAGTAATGAAATTGATAGATTTTTATAAAATTTAAAAACCTGGGTTTGGCATGGTGGTTCATGTCTGTAATCTCAGAGCTTTGGGAAGCTGAAACAGGAAGATCCCTTGAGGCCAGGAGTTCAAGACCACTCTAGCCAACATAGTGAGACTCTAATGTCTACAAAAAAATTATTTTTTAAAAAAGCTGGGCATGGTGATGCCTGCCTGTAGTCCCAGCTACTCGGGAGGCTGAGGCAGGAGGATCCCTTTAGCTCAGGAGTTTGAGACTGCAGTGAGTTATGATTGCACCACTGCACTCCAGCCTGGGCACAGAGTGAAACCTTGTCTTTTTTTCTTTTCTTCTTCTTCTTTTTTTTTTTTTTTGAGATGGAGTCTCGCTCTGTCACCCAGGCTGGAGTGCAGTGGCGTGGTCCCAGCTCACTGCAACCTCTGCCTCCCGGATTCAAGTGATTCTCTTGCCTCAGCCTCCTGAGTAGCTGGGATTACAGGCATGCGCCATTACCTCTGGCTTATTTTTGTATTTTTAGTAGAGACGGGGTCTTGAACTTTTGACCTCATGATCTGCCTGCCTCTGCCTCCCAAAGTGCTGGGATTACAGGCATGAGCCACCGCGCCTGGCCAAGACCTTGTCCCTTAAAAGATTTAAAAAAAAAAAAAACAAGTTAAAATCCAAAGTATTGAGCATTTTGAGTACTATGTGATACAGTTGTTTTTGTGTTAGACAGTCTTGAATCCAAACCGTGGTGTGGGTACTCACTAGTGGTATAATCTTGGGACATTACTTCTCTGAAACTCACCTTTCTAACTTATGGAATAAAGATAATCTTTGGGAGGCTGAGGTGGGCTGATCACCTGAGGTCAGGATTTCGAGACCAGCCTGGCCAACATGGTGAAACCCCGTCTCTACTAAAAATACAAAATTAGCTGGGTGTGGTGGCGCGTGCCTGTAATCCCAGCCACTTGGGAGGCTGAGGTAGGAGAATGGCTTGGACCCGGGAGCAGAGGTTGCGGTGAGCCGAGATTGTGCCATTTCACTCCAGCCTGGGCAACAAGAGTGAAATTCCATCCAAAAAAAAAAAGAGATAATGCCTACTTCTCATGTTTTCAGTGAGAGCTAAAAGAGTTTGTGGGTGTGCAAGTGCCCAGCAATGTACTTTTATATTTATATTAAATTTATGTTTATTTTGAAAATATTCCATTTATTTAATTTTGTTAACTAGAGGGCCTCATACTCTGTCTCTTTCTGTCTCTTTCTCGCCTGTCTATCTATCTCTATCATCTCTATCTCTGTCACCTCTATCATCTCCCTATTTTTCTGTCTGTCTCTCTGGCTCTCTGGTGTGCTCTCTCTCTCTCTCTCTCTCCCTCTGTCATCTCCATCTCCTCTCAGGTATACAGAGAGGCGTGTTCTCTTTGGTAGCCTGTGAACACAGAACATTTGCTCTGCCAGTTACAATAGTAAACATTGAAAAGACACACAGAAGACCCACTCCTTGCAGATGCCCCGGTGCAGAGGACACATCCTCTACTTTGCATTCTCTCAGCCTACCTGATGGTCTGGCTGTTGCTGTGGTAACCAGCTGTCTGCTGGTGGAACTTGGCACCTGTCTGCAGGTGTAACCTTTCCTCAGCTGTACCAGGCTTTTCTTGTCTTCTCTCTGAAGTTTGTCTCTTTTGGAATGTCTGCAGGAACCACTCTGCCATTCTAACATATGTCCTTTAGGATTCTTGCAGAAGTAGGAGGGAATCAACACTGGGGGTGCAAATCTTGACCGATGGAAAATGGAAGCTGAGATTTAAATATTAACCTTTCCATCCTAAGACAAACAATTCTAAAGTGCATTCTACATGGCTGCATTCTGGGGGTCAGGAATCCAGTTTACTGAAGTGGTGACCAGCTTAATATTGCAGCCATAGATTGGGCTTTGCACCCCTCAATTTCATTCACCCCAGACTATATTCTTATTTCTTGAAATGACTTCTGCAAATAAAATACGTGTACATAAGCCCTTGCCTGTAGCTCTTCCTTTTGGGAGAGCAGAGGCTAAAACACCTGGCTAAGTTCATCGAGAGACTTGATTTTCCACATGAGTGGGTGAGAGCTTAACTCAATACAGCAAGATGTAAGTCCTAAGATAAGTGTTGACATTAACATGAGGACAGTTGTATTGACAAGCTTGTGAAACCAAGGCCATTTCAGTTGCAGGGGTCTTTATAATTTATACCATATCCCTTACCAAAGAGGCTATGAGATGCCTTTTTAGACGAAGAGGACAGTTAAAAATCATTTAAGTTGGCCAGGTGCAGTGGCTCACGCCTGTCATCCCAGCACTTTGGGAGGCCAGGGCGTGCGGATCATGAGGTCAGGAGATCAAGACCATCCTGGCTAACACGGTGAAACCCTGTCTCTACTAAAAATACAAAAAATTAGCCTGGCGTGGTGGCAGGCGCCTGTAGTCTCAGCTACTCGGGAGGCTGAGGCAGGAGAATCACTTGAACCCGGGAGGCGGAGACTGCAGTGTGCCGAGATCGCGCCAATGCACTCCAGCCTAGGTGACAGAGTGAGACTCCATCTCAAAAAAAAAAAAAAATCATTAAATATCCAAAACTTATGACCAACACCACACATAAAGCCTGGCTTTAGCCATGTTCAGTGCATTGGGTGATGACTCTACCTAACGATTGGAGATCCGTAACCAGGGAACTCTGGGAAAGGAAAGCGTTAAAGGCACAACTGTGTGGTGTCTCAGCAGATGATATAAGTTAGGAACACATTTTCCCCTAAACCTTTCCTGTACCTGGGATGACAGATGTAATTTCAGCTCCCTGGACTCACTCTAATGTGATTATGATTAGGAGGTCAGGCTAAAATCCAGCCAGAGCCGACCGTCACTCATCTTCTGCTTGCAAGTAATAGGAAGGACAATTGTATCACTTGCTTGAATGACCGATGGGAAAGTGGTCAGGGCCTTCCCCATTTTGGCTCCCACAAAGAAACTGGTTGTAATTCTAATATTGGAAATGGCATCTCAATGATATTTCTTTCTTTTTTCTTTCTCTCTCTCTCTTTCTTTTTTCTTTCTCTCTCCTTCTTTCTTTCTTTCTTTCTTTCTCTCTTTCTTTCTTTCTCTTTCTTTCTTTCCTTTTTCTTTTTTTGACAAGGTTTTGCTCTATCACCCAGGCTAGAGTGCAGTCACACGATCATGGCTCACTGCAGCCTCAACCACTGGACTAAAGCAATCCTCTCAACTACAGACTCCAAAGTAGCTGGGACCACAGGCACATGTCACCATGCTTGGCTAATTTTTTGATTTTTTTTTTTTTTTGTAGAAATGTGGTTGGGGTCTCACTTTGCTGTCCAGGCTGGTCTCCACATCCAGAGCTTAAGTAATCCTCCCACCTCAGCCTCCCAAAGTGCTGGAATTATGGGCATGAACGACCGCACCCAGCTGGTATCCCTTCAACAGAGAACTAGCTTCTGATTTTGTTTCCTTGGCTGGGTTTGGCAGGTCAGATGCCAAATGTACCATGAACATGCAAAAGTCCTGGGATGTGGACTGTTGTAGGAGCCTCTGACAGTCTGCCCAGCTATGGATGATCACGTATTGCTCCTGCACTTGAGGCCAAAAGTAAAAACACCTCTCCTCTTGTTTCGGGGCCAGGTGGGTGGAAGTTACCTTGGACAAAAATTACATAGAAGAAAGTCAATCTACATGAGCTGGCAGGGAGGAGATAGATCGAATAGTGACCTATTTGACTAAACACCCCATTTACAGGCCCCTGAATGGATGTAAACTTGAGCAGTCTGCTGAGAAAAGGACAAAGTGATCAGAGGTGAGCAGTCAGAGAGGCGAGGAAAGAGCTAGGGGACAGATAATGGAGCCTCCGTGCGCTGAAAACCCATGTCACTGAGCAAGAGATCAGAGCACAGAGAATAGGAGCAGCATTCAAAGAAGGCAGTTCTGAGCTGGAGAAAGACCTACACCTGCAGATCAAACGTGCACACCCGGTGCCAGTCAAAAAGAACGAAAACAGAACAACACCTAGAAATGCTCCAGCAGAATTCTTAAACTTCAAGGACAAAGAAATAATCACCCAGCACATACGCCAGAAAGAACAGACTCATGACAGAAGAATACAAGTCAGGCTTACCTTGGCTTGTCTTTCACAGCATTTAATAGGGCACGAGATGGACAAGCGATGACAGTTTTGAAGGTAAAAGGAGTTGTCATGCATGATCTGCTCCTGTGTGAAAGAACAAGGAAGCTATCCTCCGAGAGGCAACAGCTCGGCTTCAACCCCACCCACCAACCTACACTCAGGAAGTTAGCAAAGAAATGTGCCAGGCACCTAAAGGATGAATCATGGTAAAGAATCCACAAATAACCAACCTGGGCAGCATGAAAATGACAGCAAGCACCGAAATCACTAAAACACAGGATTCAGTTTAAATAACTGTTGTAAATATGTTTTGAACGTAGAATACACAGTAAGCGTTAGTTCTGGGAAGAGAAGATGTTAAAAATAATTTAGGTACTTGAGAGGCTGAGGCAGGAGAATCGCTTGAACCTGGGAGGCGGAGGCTGCAGTGAGCTGAGATCGTGCCACTGCACTCCAGCCTGGGAGAGAGAGCGAGACTCTGTCTCAAAACAAAACAAAACAAAAGCAAACAGACAAAAAAATCGGGCTGTAACACCAGGCAAGCAGGAAGAGAGGGAGGGCCAAGATCAGGCCAAGCTGCTGACCAGGGCAGCGAGCAGGGGTTAGGCCCCCAGCCTACAACCTTGCAAAAGGGTAGAGCAATCCAGCACCATTCAGGCAAGGATAAGTCCTAGGAAATCCAGTCCAGTGAGTCGACCCTGAAGTGCGGGAGGACTCGGGGAGCTCTTTCTGTTCCCCAGGTGCACATGCTCCAGGAGTGGCTCTTATTGGAGAAGCAAGAATGAGGTAATGAGTTTCGGGATGAAAGCAGAAAAGAGCCACGGTCCTGGGACCCAGGACGACATAAGCATAGAAGTTCTATGCAGACACTCGTATGACAACTTTAGCCATTAGAATTACAGAGACAGCCGTAAGTGATGGTTCACACCTGTAATCCCAGCATTTTGGGAGACTGAGGCAGGAGGATCACTTGAGGTCAGGAGTTCGAGACCAGCCAAGCCAACATGGTGAAACCCCGTTTCTACTAAAAATACAAAAATTAGCCAGGTGTGGTGGTGGGCACCTGTAATCCCAGTTACTTGGGAGGCTGAGGCAGGAGAATCTCTTGAACCTGGGAGGCAGAGGTTGCAGTGAGCCGCGATCGTGCCACTGCACTCCAGTCTGGGCAACAGAGCAAGACTCCATCTCAAAACAAACAAACAACAAACAAACAAAAAACTAGGTTGAAAGTTTCCAATTGTGCCTACGGAAGCCATGGGGAAGGGAATATAGTACTCCTCTCCCCAGCTTACAGCAGTGTCATTCTTGACCTTCATGGGGCTAAAATTCTGTAATAGTGATGGGAATCCCCTGCCGTTCTGTTTAGGTCTGCCTTGATCCGTGGCCAAGGGTCTCTCTTTCTGCCCTGTCCTTCAAAGGACTACCAGGAGGGCTAAAAAGTAGAAAGAAGAGTTTTATTGGTGATGTCACTTCCCAACCTGGGAAGAGACGGTCTCTGGCATGAGCCGAAGGTGCTCTCTCTCCAAAGAAGGAAAAGAGAAGTTGGCTTTTATGCCTCATAGGGTCTGGGTTACACAATAGAGTCATACATATTCATCAGGTTTGGGGGAAACTATACATATTTATGAGGGGAGTACAGTGCTGTACAATGGGTAAACATACATGTAACATACATCCCATGTTCACTGTGGGGCGGGGTTTTAGCATTAAAATGAGGTGGAGTTGGGCTCTTTACATCAAAAAGCGATGACAGGACACAAAGACAGTTTGTGTGCAGTCTCTATACGCCGGCTGAAAGCAGCTTGGGGTTTACAGTTGTTTATCAGGAAAGAATGTTTGCAAGGCCGGTCCTCTGTCCCATCACAGTTGCAGTGGTCTGGGTCTTAAATCAGAGTTAGGGAGGGTCTGACATTTATTTAGTCTGTTAAATCCGATTGTTAGGGAAATGCTCAAGACTGTAGTTTTTCTTGTAGTTGTAGGAATTTTAGGGAGTTGCTATGCCAGTCGAATGCCCGGGCCCTGGGCCTTTAGGTAACTTTTGTTTCCTTAACTTTAGGGTCCATAAAGGAGAATCTGTTTTGGTCTCTCAGATCACAGCCCTCATGTCCACAGATTGATTCCAGGTGTCCTCCCCTCTGTTGGGGGAAGTGGGGTGGGATGGACAAGAATCATTGACTGTTGGCTGGGTGCAGTGGCTCACACTTGAAATCCTAGCACTTTGGGAGGCTGAGGCAGGTGGGTCACCTGAGGTCAGGAGTTTGAGACCGGCCTGGGCAACATGGTGAAACCCTGTCTCTACTAAAAATACAAAAAATTAGCCGGATGTGGTGGCACATGCCTGTAGTACCAGCTACTTGGGAGGCTGAGGCAGGAGAATCATTTGAACCTAGAAGGCGGAGGTTGCAGTGAGCTGAGATCACGCCACTGCACTCCAGCCTGGGTGACAGAGCGAGACTCCGTCTCAAAAAAAAAAAGGAAAAGAAAAGAAATATAAAAATTAGCCAGGCATGGTGGTATACGCCTGTAATCCCAGCTAGTCGGTGGCAGGCTCAGGGAGGAGGGGGCCGTGGCTGAGGCAGGAGAATTGCTCGAACTGGGGAGGTGGAGGTTGCAGTGAGCTGAGATCACGCCACTGCACTCCAGCCTCGGTGACAGAGGGAGACTCTGTCTCATTAAAAAACAAACAAACAAACAAATAAACAAAAAACAGAACAAAAAACAAAATCGTGGACTGTTTCAGGCAGGGTGTTTATAGGGATGAGTCTGTTGGTGTGAGTTGTGTGCACAGGAAGGGCTACTCCAAGAGCAGACCAGGTCTGTCTATTTTGTGTCTTGGTCTTTGTTGAGGAAGGTCTCATCTTCATCTCCTCCTGCCATCTTCCTCTGATTCCCACATACTTCTTCCTCTCCTCCCCCAAGTTCAGCTTTATTTGGTCTCTGCAAGGGGAAACACTGGTCTTAATAATGCTCCATCATCTTCCTCTGGCACTTTGAGAATCTGTGCTCTCACTTATGACAGGCTGCAGGAGGTAGGATGCCCCTCAGGGTAAAAGCAAGAGAAGGGACAAAAGGAGAACAAGACTCACAATTCAAGATCATGCAAATTGTCATACTGGATTCTATAACCCTATCACACTGTACCTATTTATTTATTTATTTTTTGAGACAGAGTCTCACTCTGTCACCCAGGCTGGAGTACAGTAGTGCGATCTTGGCTCACTGCAACCTCCGCCTCCCAGGTTCAAGCGATCCTCCCACCTCAGCCTCCCGAGTAGCTGGGATTATAGGCACATGCCATCACACCCAGCTAATTTTTGTATTTTTAGTAGAGATGCGGTTTCGCCACATTGGCCATGCTGGTCTCGAATTCCTGACCTCAAATGATCCACCTGCCTCAGCCTCCCAAAGTGCTGGAATTACAGGCATGAGCCACAGTGCCTGGCCTCCATAGCCTTTTATACTGTGGAATATAATACACATGTAACAAGTGCACAAAACAAAGATACACAACTTAACGATTTATCACAAAGCAAACACCCATGTAACCACTGCCCAGCCAAGAGACAGAACTTGGTCAGTGCTGAGTCCCCCATGGGCCCCTTCCCAAGCACCACACCTTCTTCCACCCTGACTTTTATTGGGAATTGCTTATTTGCTTTTCTTCATCATTCACTACCTAAACATGCATTCTCAAACTTGAGTTCAAGTGTGTCCTGGTTCTTGCACCAAAGTTTTACAGGATGTATTATTTGTGGGCCCAGCTTCTTTTGCTCAAAGTTGTGTCTGTACCATTCATCCATGTTGTTTTGTTCAAAGGGTGTCTATACCATTCATCCATCCATACCATTCAAACATGTACGTTGAGTCCATTTGCCTGTGTTGCTGCACGGTGCTCTGTTGTGGATACTGTAATTTAGTTATCCATTTGACTGTTGATGGACTCTTAGGCTGAGTCCAATGTTTGGCTATGACAAACATTCCCATTATGAGCTCTCTGGTTTTTGTCTCTTGGTACACACACGCCAGCACCGCTGCTGAGTGCATCTCCTAAACCATTTATGCAGAACACCCTGTGGGTTTATTACTTCTAACTTCTGCCGCTGAGTTTTTGATTTGGGGATGTGTTTTTTAGCCCTGGCGCTTACATCCTGACTTATGAATGCTTGAGTGACATTGTAAGTGACAACACTAGTAAATGTTGAAATAATGGTATCACAGCCGTCAAACTCACACGTGGAAGTTCTCATGGACACACATTGTGGTTTGGGTTATGTGGCATTCCCCACAGATGGGTGAGTGTGACTTTTCCTAGCCCGCTTACCAGCTTTGAACTTACACAATTCTTTTTTTTTTCTTTTTTTCGAGAAAGAGTCTCACTCTGTCACCCAGGCTGGAGTGCAGTGGCACAATCTTGGCTCACGGCAACCTCAGCCTCCAGGTGAACTTATGTAATTCTCGATGACACTATTTTTCAGCTTCGGCAGGCTTGTATTAATTATAGTATTGTATATAAAGGGAGGCCTTATTAATACTGTAAAAACACTACTTTAAGACTGAATAATTCAAAAGTACATAAAAAGCATATTCAATGTACCACTCAGTGGCTACTTCCCCAGCCATGGAAATAGCCAATAAAAGACCAAGATTGAGTTGTGAAGAAATAGATATGAATGGATCAATAACAAGGAAGGCGATAGAAACAGTAATTGAAAACCTCAAAGGAAAGAAAAGCCCAGGACTGATGGCTTCATGGGTGAATTCCACCAAACATCTTAAAGAAGAGTTAATGCTAAACTTTCTCAAACTCTTCCAAAAAAATTGAAGGGGCAGGAAAACTTTCAAACGCATTTTACAAGGCCAGCATTATCCTCATACCAAAGCCAGATAAAGACACTAGAAGAAAAGAAAATTATAGGACTGGACAGGTGCAGTGGCTCACGTTTGTAATCCCAGCACTTTGGGAGGCCAAGGAGGGTAGATTACAAGGTCAAGAGATCAAGACCATCCTGGCCAACATGGTGAAACTCTATCTCTATTAAAAATACAAAAAATAGGTAGGTGTGGTGGTGTGTGCCTGCAGTTCCCAGCTATTTGGGAGGCTGAGGCAGGAGAATGGCTTGAACTTGGGAGGCGGAGATTGCAGTGAGTCGAGATCATGCCACTGCACACTGCATCCCTGCCTGATGACACAGCAAGACTGTCTCAAAAAAAAAAAAGAAAATTACAGAACCATATCCCAGATGAACTTAGATGCAGAAATTGTCAACAAAATACTAGCCAACCAAATCCAACATGTAAGTATAAATAATATAATATATCCTATACATTTTTATGTAAATAGATATAAATATAATATTGGAAGGAATATACAAAAATGTTATCAGGGCTGATTTTTGGGGTGGAAGAGAGGTGGCATTATGATAACTTTTTCTTCTTTTTGCTTTCTGTTGTTTTCCTAAATTTCTGTGTTAAGTATGTTTACTTTTCCAACTAGAAAAAAAATTCTGAATTATTATTTTTAAAAATGAAATCATAAAGAGCAAAAAAGAAGCCATATAGAAAATGGCATACATGTGGCCAAAAAGCATATGAAAAAAGCTCAACATCACTAGTTGTTAAGGAAATGCAAATGAAAACCACAGTGAGACACCATGTTATAGCAATGTCAGAATGGTTATAATTGAAAATCAAAAATAACAGATGCTGGCAAGGTTGTGGAGAAAAAGGAACATTGACACACTGTTGGTGGGAGTGTAAATTACTGTGGAAAGTAGTGTGGTGATTCCTCAATGAGCCAAAAACAGAATGACCATTGGACCTAGCAATCCCATTACTGGGTATATACCCAAAGGAATATAAATTATTCTATCATAAAGACACATGAATGCATATGTTCCCTGCAGCATTATTAACAATGGCAAAGACATGGAATCAACCTAAATGCCCATCAATGGTAGACTGGATAAAGAAAATGTGGTATATATACAGCATGGAATACTATGCAGCCATAAAAAAGAACAAGATCATGTCCTCTGCAGGAACATGGATGGAGTTGAAGGCCATTATTCTTAGCAAACTAATGCAGGAACAGAAAACCAAATACCACATGTTCTCATTTATAAGTGGGAGCTAAATGATGGGAACTCGTGGACACATAGAGGGGAACAACACACAATGGGGCCTATTGGAGAGTGGAGGGTGGGACAAAGAAGAAGATCAGGAAAAATGACTATTGAGTACTAGGCTTAATACCTGGGTGATGAAATAATTCTGCATAACAAACCCCTATGACATGGGCTTACCTATGTAGCAAACCTGCACATGTAACCCTGAACTTAAAAGTTAAAAAAAAAGAAAATGGGAAGCTATAATTTAACTTGAAATAAAAGACTACATGTTTATTGCTCTTGTGTATGAAATTTAACTCTAAACTCTTTGGTAACTGAGGTCAGATAAAAATCTTAAGTAATGTGTCAGCCTCATGATGTGATAGAAAGAAGCAAATCAGTTCTCTAAGAAGCCCTAACTTTTATCCCAGTCATAAACTGTAAGAGGAATTTTTCAGGCCAATAGATCACTTTCTCAGGGATATTAAATGGCTAATAGACAAGGTCTTCAATAGTCAGGTTTCTTCCTCTCCCAGACATTCAGCTCCAGACTCAAGGGCCATGACATAAAGTTCCCTTTCAAGGAAAGTAATTTGACAGGTGTCAGTTATTGTAGTAGGAATTTCTTGCTTTCTGTTCCCTCCATTGATCAAGGTTGGAACTTGGGAACCTGTGCAATTGATTGGCAGGCCCCTAAGTATGGTAGCTGTATCAGTTAGGGTTCTCTGGAGAGAAAGAACTAATAGGATAGATGTATATACAAAGGGGAGTTTATGAAGAAGTATTGACTCACACAGTCACAAGGTCCTACAATAGTCTGTCTGCAAGCCGAGGAGCAAGGAAGTCAGTCCGAATCCCAAAACTGAAGAACTTGGAGTCCGATGTTTGAGGGCAGGAAGCATCCAGCAGGGGAGAAAGATATAGGCTGGGAGGCTAAGACAGTCTAGTCTTTTCATGTTTTTCTGCTTGCTTTATGTTCTAGCTGCACTGACAGCTAACTAGCTGGTGCCCACCCACATTGAGGGTGGGTCTGCCTCTCCCAGTCCACTGACTCAAATGTTAATCTCCTTTGGCAATACCCAGAACAATACTTTGCATCCTTCAATCCAATCAAGTTGACACTCGATATTAACCATCACAGTAGCCTGTACAATTCCTTCAAAGTATTTACTGTCCCTCTGTATCAGGCCCAACCCTACAGGGTTACATTCCATGGTTCCCCCTGACCTCATGCCCTGTGAGAGGAGCTAGTCCATATCTCATTGACATGAGACCTGGCCATGTTCCCTGTTACGGGCCATGGAATATGAACAGGAGTGGAGGATGCTGCATCCATGCAGAGACGTTAAAGAACACTTCAAGATCTAGAACATGTCCTTTTACTTTTGCAATAAGATCTGAAGGGGTGACACCTTCAGTCTGAGCCCTGGGATGAACCAGATGAGGAGCAGAAGAGTAACTGATCCGTAAAGGACAGTTAACACAAACATGGGAGAATCTTGCATTGTCGAAAGCCACTGAGCCATCCAGGGTTGCTAGTTACCACCGTGAAATCTAGCAAAAGCTGATCATATCTAAGACTGCATTTCTCACACTGATCAACTCACTGACTGAATTCTCTAGTAAGTGCTTAGAATGTGGGTGTTAATTCTGTTCATGAAAACAAAATTCATATGCTTCATAATAGCAGAAGATTTCCCCTTTCTTGGATAAGCCATTCCAGGGGTTTATAAAAGAGCTTCAGGGAGTCCATCCATCTTCTGTAATGCAAAATTTTATGTTTGTATACTTATGTGCATTTGGGGAGATTGGGAAGAGTTGGATGGTCATGAGTCCGTGGATTTTTTCGGATTCTCAAAGAATTCCAAGACCTAAAATACATCAAACAATGCTGTGGTAGATACTAGACATGCAGGCTGTAAAATTGATGTTTATTTATTTATTTAGTTTTGAGACAGAGTCTTTCTTTGTCACCCAGGCTGGAGTGCAGTGGCTCAATCTTGGCTCCCTGCAAACTTTGTCTCCCAGGCTCAAGCAATTCTTGCGCCTCAGCCTCCTGAGTAGCTGGGATTATAGGTGCGTGCCACCATACCTGGCTAATTTTTTTTTATTATTTTTTGGTAGAGACGGGGTTTTGCCATATTGGCCAGGCTGGTCTTGAACTCCAGACCTCAGATCCACCCTCCTCGGCCTCTCAAAGTGCTGGGATTAAAGGCTGTTGTTTATTTATGAAAGCAGCCTAACTGTTCTCATCTTGAGAGCAGCCGTCTCTCTCTTCCTATAAGAAAAAGAAATCTTTGTGCAGTTCACTTGCTTCTCCTCTCTTCCTAGGAGTAGCAGTGAACTGTGCAAATATTTATTTTTTTTCTCAAAGAAGTTTATGCCTGTTGTAGGGCCAGCGTAAGTGTCTGGATGACTTCAGAGAATCCTATGGGGTGGTTTTGGTCTGAAACATTTCAGGGTAGATATTGCCAGTCACTTGTGTAAAAAAAGGAACATGACTTCTGCCAAGTGTGTAATTTTTAGCAAGTTGGCTTTTTGGTTGGGGCCCCAGAAGGGGTGAGTTGTACATTGTAGTGCCAGATAACCAAGTGAATTGGCTTGTTGGATGGAATTGTTTAGGCCAACCCATTTTGCTTTGCAGAGTTACCATGAACTATTCTTTGGATGTCAATTTTGCAACAATTTCAGCTGCTTCTAGATGGCCTTTGTGGTCTGAAGTGATAAATCCATGCCCTTTGTGATGAAGAAGGATGGATATCCTTATTGCTTTGCTAGGAGAGCATGCATCATGATTACCTAATGTTGAAATAAGTATGTGTTTAGGTCTAAGTCCAAGAGAGAGCTCAGCATTATTGCACATTCACCAAGCAGGTTCTGCTTCTCTCCACTGGAATCCAGCTGTGATGCTGTGGTTCACACCCAGCAGGGTAACAGTAATATTGGATTTTGGTAATGTCTGCATAGCTCGAGACAACTGTGGCTTTGGCTTGTAAAATAAAATGCTGATGATGGATTAATTTAGAGTGCTTCAATTGAACAATCTTCCTAGTCAACTTATCAATAACAAGAAACAGCATAGAGCTAAAATCAGTCATGTAACCACTGGACCTAAAATTTACTCTTCACGAAAAAGTTGGGCTGAGTGTTTTCAGTCTAGTAAGTTGTTGGGAGGAGGACTGATGGAAACTTCTAAAAGAGGGACCCTGTAAGCCCGTGGGCTTTTAATTTTGTGAAGGGGGTGCATTTCAGCTATGAAAACTGGATACATTTCATTCAAGCTACAGGGTCTGTACCTGAGCAATAAATTAGACAGTTGAATATGACTTGCAAATATGACTTACAAATAGATGGTTGACTAAATGTTGCATAAGTTTCCAAATAACAAAGTCCCTAGTTTGTTAGGGCAACCCTGGTAGCTGCTATTCACCTTGAAAGGATTGCCACTCCATCTTTCCTTCCTGACAAAGGGTGGCCCTTGTCCAACTACTCTCTGCAGAGTTACTCTAGAAGAGCTAGAGTTCCTCAAACTCCTGACCTCAGATGATACGCCCACCTCGGCCTCCTAAAGTGCGGAGGTTACAGGCATGAGCCACGATGCCTGGCCTTATCCTGCACTCTCTATAGCAAAAATTGGAAACACTAACCTTGTACTTCCCAACTGGATGCCAGAAACAAGCGTCCTCCTAGCCACTTATTTCCCCTCACTCTACACTCAATCAATTACCAAATTTGTCTCTCTGATCTCCTAATTATCTCTCAAATTTATTTGCTTTTCTACATCTCAACTGTTGCTGGTGCAAGCCACCACCCTCTTCTGCAGGAAAGACTGCAGCAACCTCAACTGCTTGCATCACCTCCTCTCTTGCTCTCTCCAGTCCATTCCCCGCTCTAAGGCAAGGCTTTGCTATAATCTGTTGATGCCTAAGGAGAGCCTAAGTTCCTTCATCCTGCCTTAGAATCCTAGCTGGAAGGAGATGCTTTGGTCACGTGGTAGGATTGATCCATCTCAACTGTCCAGTCTCAAATTTACCCCAGGCAAAACTTTGCTGTGACAAGGGCAGATCCTTCTCAGCCCATTAGGGTCCCACCTTGGGATTCTGAGAAGATTCCAACCCAGTGCAATGCTACATGCAATTTACAAACACTTGTTGAGCATCTATCCTGTCTCAACATTGGGCTAGGCATGAAGGATATCATCCGTGTTCCCTAACTCCAAGAAGGGGAAACACTCAGACATTCTTCAAACATACGTACCCATCGCTTCCACCTTTCTGCTCAATAGATGTTCTCACGTGACATATCAGAGAAAATAAAAATCGTCAGATGCAACCTCCTTCAAATCCCCCTCCACAATCTTATAACATCATCTCCTTCTGAGCCATTATTTCCTCTGTTTCTCTTGTTCTATGGTAAAAGTGTCCCTCTTCCAAGCTAACATCTCTGCCTCTAGAGTTAACATCTCCAACTCTACCCTGGATCCCATCTCTTCCACTTACTTGGGAACTTGCTCATGGGAAAGACTCTTTTTTAAAATATTTATTTATTTATTTATTGAGATGGAGTCTCACTCTGTTGCCCAGGCTGGAGTGCAGTGGCGTGATCTTGACTCACCACATCCTCCGCCTCCTGAGTTCAAGCAATTTTCCTGCCTCAGCCTCCCGAGTAGCTGGGACTACAGGCACGTGCCACCATGTCCAGCTAATTTTTGTATTTTTAGTAGAGACAGGGTTTCATTATGTTGGCCAGGCTGGTCTCAAACTCCTGACCTCATGATCCACCTGCCTCGGCCTCCCAAAGTGCTGAGATTATAGGCATGAGCCACCGCGCCTGGCAGGGAAAGCCTCTTTTACTCTCTCCTGCTCTGCTTCTCCACATCAACTCAACATGCCCAAATTTCCCCCACATTAAAAATCAGAAAGTTTCCCTGATCCCATTTCAGTTGCCTGCTCTGCTTCCTGTACTTTTTCTTTCTATTCATTGCCAAGATTCTTGAAAGAATTGTTTGAACTAATTATCTACCCTTTCTTCTTTTCTTATATGTTAATTTTAATTTTAATTTTAATTTTTATTTTTGAGTTGAAGTCTTGTTCTGTGGCCAAGGCTGCAATGCAGTGGCACAATCTCAGCTCACTGCAAACTCTGCCTCCTATGTTCAAGTGATTCTCCTGCCTCAGCCTGGATTCTTGAACACAGGCAATCATCTCTAAAGCCTATGCTCGAGTAGCTGGCATTACAGGCATCCACCACCACACCCAGCTAATTTTTGTATTTTTAGTACAGATGGGGTTTCTCCATATTGACCAGGCTGGTCTCAAACTCCTGACCTCAAGTGATCCACCCACCTCAGCCTCCCAAAGTCTGGGATTACAGATGGGAGCCACCACGCTGGGCCTCCTTTTCTTTTCAAGTCACTGCAATCTGGTTTGCACCCTGACACCCAGGAGAAACTGCACTAGCCAACAGCACGAATGGCTGGCTTCATGCTAAATCCAATGGGTCCTTCTCAGTCTTTCTTCATGGAACTTTCAGAAGCATTTGACACTGTGAACTACTCCATCCTACCTGGAACAGCCTGTTCCTGTGTTTCCTGTTGATGGCTGTAGTTACATAGCATGTGAAGAGCATAGACTTTAGAGTCGACTGCCTGTGTTCAAATCCTGGTTCCAGCACTTACTTACTAGCTGTGTGCCATTGGACAAGTTCCATAAACTCTCTGTGCCTCTGACTCTTAGAACTATTATGAGGATTAAATTGGTTAACACATGTAAAACACTTGGATCCATGCCTGTTACAAAATATGTGCTAAATAATTGTTTGCTGTAATTACCTTGTTTGTATTTTTCCCTTTGACTTCTCCTTGAATTTGGGTGTCTGGCCCTTCTGTCCAGTATGACCTGGTTTCCCTGGGTAATCTCATTCACCCCTTTACACCATCTATATGTTGATCATTCCCACATCATTACCCCAGCACTCTCACCTAAGCTGAAAATCTATATATCCGATTACCTGCAGCACACATCTGTGGTATAAATGTATCACATTTATATCCCCTGTACCCAATGTTGAACTCACCATATTCTTTCTCAAGGCTGCTTCTGAGAGAGGAGAAAGGAAGAAACCAGTCAGGCAGTCAGTTAGGGTGGGTCCTTGGTTAAATTCTTTCAAACAAAAGAACAGCCTAAAAAAATCAAGCTGCAGGCACAGATAAGGAAACTTGCCCAGAGGGGTTTGCCTAAAGCATGCCAAGAGTCACATAAGAAAGGCTACATAGGAGACTTGCCCGATGTACCTGCAATGCAAAATTCCATTCCCTGACACATGTGCAGTAAGGGGAACAAAGCAACAGGGAGTAACTCAAGCTAAGGGCCTACGTGCACACTAGGAGGATGGGGTGGAGTTACCAGAAATGTGCATCTTATGCAAATGAGATGCCCAGGCCTCATCAGTTTCTTATAAAAGCCTTTGCACTCAACTGTGAAAACGGCAACACTTTTTTGGGATCCCTCTTCAGGGCGGAGATCTTTCTTCTTTCGCTAATTAAACTCTCCCTCCAACTTCACCCTTGTCATCCATGCTTCTTAATCTTCTTGGTCTTGGGGCAAAGAATGCTGGGTGTACCTCAATGAGAGATGGCTATATTGTGGTGCATTGGAGAGAATGTAACACTTATTTTACGCTGTCTTTTTTTTTTTTTTTTTGAGATGCTGTTTCGCTCTGGTCACCCAGGCTGGAGTGCAATGGCACGGTCTCGGCTTACTGCAACCTCTGCCTCCCGGGTTCAAGCAATTTTCCTGTTTCAGCCTCTCAAGTAGCTGGGATTACAGGCACCTGCCACCATGCCCAGCTAATTTTTGTATTTTTAGTAGAGATGGGGTTTTACCATGTTGGCCAGGCTGGTCTCAAACTCTTGACCTCAGGTGATCTGCCCACCTTGGCCTCCTAAACTGCTGGGGTTACAGGCATGAGCCAATGTGCCTGGCCTTATCCTGGACTCTCTATAGCAAAAAATGGAAACACCAACCTTGTACTTCCCAACGGGATGCCAGAAACAAGTGTCCTCCTAGCCACTTATTTCCTCCTCACTCTACACCCGATCAATTACCAAATTTGTCTCTTTGATCTCCTAATTATCCCTCAAATTTATTTGCTTTTCTCCATCTCCATTGTTTCTGGTGCAAGGCACCACCCTCTTCTGCAGGTAAGACTGCAGCAGCCTCAACTGCTTGCATCACCTCCTCTCTTGCTCTTTCCAGTCCATTCCCTGCTCTAAGACAAGGCTTTGCTGTAATCTGTGGATGCCTCCACTGTTGTGAGCGTGTCTCACAACATATCTGCAAGGCCCTGTCTTCATCTTCAAGGTCCTTCTCCCCTCAACCTCATCTCAAGCTGCCCACACTTTTTTTTTTTTGAGACAGCATCTCACTCCTGTCACCCAGGCTAGAGTGCAGTGGCGTGATCCTGGCTCACTGCAGCCTTGACTTCCTGGGTTCAGATGATTCTCTAATCTCAGCCTCCCGGGTAGCTGGGACTACAGGGGTGCACCACAATGCCTGGCTAATTTTTCATATTTTTAGTAGAGACAGGGATTTGCCAAATTGCCCAGGCTGGTCTTGAACTCCTGGGCTCAAGCAATCTACCCACCTAGGCCTCCCAAAATGCTGAGATTACAGGAGTGAGCCACCGCACCTGGCCCTGCCCATACTTTTTGATCCAGGCACTCTAATCTCCTTTGGACTCATGCTATTTGGGTTATCTCCTCCTTCTAAGGCTTTCCACATGCAGCATAACAGAGAGGTTTAAAAGTTTGGACTGAAAACTGCTGGCTTCACATCCCAGCTCCACCTCTTAGAATGACGTGACCCTGAGCAAGTTACCTAATCTCACTGGGCCTCAATTTTCCTATATGTAAAACAAGCATGAATATAATATCTACCTCCTAAAGTATATTAGTTCATTCTCATACTGCTAATAAAGACATATCTGAGACTGGGTAATTTATAAAGGAAACAGGTTTAATGGACTGGCAGTTTCACATGACTGGGAGGCCTCACAATCATGGTGGAAGGTGAAGGAGGAGCAAAGTTACATCTTACGTGGTGGCAGGCACGAGAGCATGTGTAGGGGAACTGCTCTTTATAAAACTGTCAGATCTCATGAGACTTATTCATTATCACGAGAACAGCATGGGAAAAACCTGCCCCCATGATTCAATTACCTTCCACTGGATCCCTCCTATGACACATGGGGATTATGGGAACTACAATTCAAGATGAGATTTGTGTGGGGACACAGCCAAACCATATCATAAAGTGTTTACAGAGATTCAACAGAATAACGTAAGTAAAGATCTATATAGGTATTTGTTAAATACATTGTTGTTTCTCTGTCTAGAATACTTTCCTTTCTCTCTTCTCCTGGCTCCTGTTCATATTTCAATTTCAGATATCCTGTTTCTGCTGGGAAGTGTTCTCTGATTCCTCATGTCTGGGATGAGCACTCTTCCCATGTATCCTTGGGATATTGTTATTCAATGGCTTACTTGTCTTTATCCCCTACTATACTGTAATATATTTGAGGGCAAGGACTGTGTCTACTTTATTTACATTTGATTCTAAGAGCTGGGCCCATTTTGGGCATGGCATAAACAGTTATGTATAATAGTGAATATGATAATAGTGGTAGCAGGAATACTAAATTATGCAGAAAGAACTATGGATACACTAGGAAGGCAGTGGTTGCTAATCTCATGGGGTATGTGGGCTGAAAGAACCATGAAGGCTTCATAGGGAAGGTGAGTGGGAGCCGGAGCTCCAGTGAAGTGTAGGGTTTGGTTGAGTGGGGAGGTGGATCCCGAACAGAAAAAGCAACACGCGAAAGGCTGAGGGGTGGAAGCATGACTGTGTGGTGCTCAGATTCGGGAATTATGGGGAAGTGCCTTGGATGTAGACGAGCTCAAAAGAGCAGGGTGAGGCCAGATGGGGAAGGGCCTTGAATACCATGCCAGGGGCTTGGGCTTCAACCCAACACCTCAATCACATGTGGAGACTCACCTGGCATGCTCTCTCTCACCCTGCCAAGGTGCATGTGTAATTTGCAGGTCCATTTTGCAGCCACACAGAGTCCTCGTTGGGTCTTTGCCACAGCGATCGCTGAAACTTCCTAGGTCTTTGATGGTTCTTTTATTGATACCTAAACTGAGGCTCAGCTCCCAACTTTGAAGCTTCAGTGGAGGCTGTGGTCACTGCAGGATGAGAATCAAGGGGTTGTGGACTGGATGTTGAGTATACACCTTGCCTTGTGTAGATGAGACAGAGAAATCGCCTTCACTGGATAGGCTCAGGTTCCAGGAACTCCCATACCTTGCTGGACTGTGAGTTCCTTAAGGAAGAAAGCATGTCTGTTTTATTTCCAGATGTGCCAAGCACATAATAGGTACTCAATATGTATTTCCTGTGGCATGAGTCCAGGGAAAAGGGCTGAGGTTGGTGCACGTCAGGAAGCAGCTTAGTAGTCACTGCCTGTGTAAGGATGTCCCCCAAGTGGGGTGGCCAGCCATGCACTCCATGGTATTCAAAGGGATATGACATTCTGTGGCTGACATCCTAGTACAGGGAACAGGCTCCAGGTACTTTAGGGAAACTGGCCTTGTAGGATTAAATGAGGCAGAAACACAGTTCCTTGGAGAGGACCAAAAAAGTGTGGGGAAAATGAAAGTGTCTTTACGGTCACTTTCTTGACCTGGTTGGGACCAACTCAAGGTCATGCCCCCAAGAATGTAACATCACTATGCTAGCACTGGTTGACCTGGTTGGGACCAACTCAAGGTCAGGCCCCCACGATTGCAACCAGGCTGAAGCAGCAGGCAAAGCTGATCAGAAGGAGCTTGCTGAAGTCTTAGCGGCACGTGACCCAAACAAGGAGGTTCTTGTCTGATGTCCTCACGAGGGGTAGCATTGGCATCACAATGCCAGGGCTCAAACTCTGTCTGTGGGGCTCTCTCATCTCCCTCCACCTCCTGGCATGGCTGCTTTCTGTACCCTGGTCTCATCCTCTTTTGCCACAGATGGGCTTCTTTCATGCTGTGGGGAGAGATGACTCCTGGCAGTTAGAGCATCACATTCTTCCAACCCTATAATCCCAAATCCCACGGGCAGGTCTCCCAGCTATCCCCAGCAGAAAAATCCTGGCAAGGAGCTCTGAGTGGCTCAACTAGAAATCTGTGTTCATGCCTTAACGGATCCCCGTGGCTAGAAGGATGGTGCCTTCCAAATGGCCAGACCCTAGTCAGGTACCCACTGCTCAGCCAGGGGTGGAATCTTGACTCTGCAATTGACAGCCTCTCCAGAGCCATTCACAACTGTGGCAGGCGGTGAGTTTCTGGAAACAAAGGAGATGCAAGGCAGCCCCAAACAACAGATATCTTTGGCCAAACCCAGCTGCTCTTCCTAACCGCTCCCTTCCCCCATCCCTGCATCAGCTCCCCTATTTTCTAGATGAATCATCTCCATCTTCTGCAGATTCTATCTGTTCAAAGTTTCAATCATGGGCCTGTTAATTAGGCCTATTCCTCACAGTGCTTCGGTGCCTTTGGTTCTGTGACACGGGGCTGCGGGGAAAAGCAGCTAAAGAGGACTAATTAAGACTCAGAGTGCTTTCAATAATGTACATGGAAATGAACAAATTAACTGACGATGGCAAAAAGGCAATATTGCCCCAGTGGGGATTCCGCATACGGAGATAACATTAAGGAGTGTGATAGTCATTGAGAGGAAACTATGAATTATGAGTGATATTCAGTCCCATTACCTCTGAGGTGTCAGATGTAATAGCAGGAAAATGTCAGAAGATGTTAAGAGACAAAACAAACTGAGGTTAAGGGAGCTCCACAGGGGGAAGCCGAGCGGGGAAACAGTGAGAGTCTGCGGCGGGGAGGTGTTGCTTGCAGTCAGGGGACAGGTCCCGGCAAAAAGTGGCCTGTTGTTGCTGACCGTTCTTTGCAAGTATGTGACAATCTGCTTGATGAATGAAGACTCCTTTTCTGTCAGGCTTGGATAATGCTGAAAAGGCAGCTCTGCGCACTAGGTGAGGACCCTGTGAGGTTCCCTGGGGGTACATTGAAGACAGTAGGTCTCAAAATGCAGGCCAGGGACCGTCACCATCTGGAATACCCTCTATTCCGGGATTGCTCAGCAAAGCAAATTTCTTTTTTCTTTTTTTTTTTTGAGACGGAGCCTCACTTTGTCACCCAGGCTGGAGGGCGATCTTGGCTCACTGTAGCTTCTGCCTCCTGGGCTCAAGTGACTCTTGTGCCTCAGCCTCCTGAGTAGCTGGGATTACAGGCACACACCACCACGCCCAGCTAACTTTTGTATTTTTAATAGAGATGGGGTTTTGCCATGTTGGCCAGGCTGGTCTCGAACTCATGACCTCAAGTGATCTGCCCGCCTCAGCCTCCCAAAGTGCTGGGATTATAGGCATGAGCCACCGTGCCTGGCCTGTCAGCAAAGCTAAGTCTGAGGGCTCTCTCCAGACCTACTGTGGGGTGGGGGCCCAGCAATTTGCATTTTAACCAGGCTTCCAGGCCAGGCGATTCGGATGCAGGCTTAGGTTTGAGAAATGTGGTCTTGGAATTAGGAGCCTTGTGTCTGGTCCCAAGTTGTGCCAGTTCCAAGCTGATCTGGTCACTTAGCCCCATTTAATCCCCTCATTGCCAAGATAATAGTCCCTGCCCCGCTTCCATCACCAGGTTTCTGTGAGAATCCAATGAGATAATTGGTATCATCGGGAACAGTGGAGCGTGACACAAATGCAATGAATGATAATGATTATTTCAGAGACAGATGATCTTGATAAACTGAGGATCCTGATTTGGAGGGCAAGGGAGATAGTGCCAAGGTAAGTAAAGGACATGGGCTGGGCATGGAGGCGCATACCTCTGACCCCAGTGCTTTGAGAGGCCGAGGCAAGAAGATTGCTTGAGGCCAGCAGTTCCAGACCAGCCTGGGCAACACAGCAAGACCCTGGATCTACAAAATACTAAAAAAATTTAGCCAATTGTGTTGGAATGCACCTGTAGTCCCAGCTACTCAGAGGACTGAGGTGGGAAGATTGCTTGAGTCCAGGAGGTTGAGGCTGCAGTGAGCTGTGATTGCACTATTGCACTATTGCGCTCCAGCCTGGGTAACAGAGCAAGACCGTGTCTCCAAAAAAAATTTAAAAATTAGCTGGGTGTGGTGGTGCATGCCTGCAATCCTAGCTACTTGGGAGGCTGAGACAGGAGGATCACTTAAGCCCAGGAGTTTGAGGCTGCACTGAGCTATGATTACACCGCTACACTCCAGCCTGGATGACAGAGCAAGACCCTATCTCCAAATAATAATAATAATAATAATAATAATAATAATAATAAAGAGGAAGTGAGGTACAGAAGTAGCTGATTGCTTACAGCTCAACGTTTGCCTTATTTGAACACAGTTTGAACAAATTTGGATTGGCCAAGGAGAGAGATTTGTTTAAATGCCTCCCTCCAAAGCCCTGTGGTTGATAAGTGATTTGCCAAATCTAAATATACATAATAGATAATTTCTGGCTGCTTTTGTTTGAAGGAGGTGATTAGTTTTTTGTTTTTGTTTTTTTTTTCGCTGTTGTTGTTGTAGAGACAGAGTCTTTCTCTGTCGCCCAGGCTGGAGTGCAGTGGCGCTATCTCAGCTCACTGCAACCTCCGCCTCCCGGGTTCAAACAATTCTCCTACCTCAGCCTCCTGAGTAGCTGGGACTACAGGCACATGCCACCATGCCCAGCTAATTTCTTTTGTATTTTAGTAGAGACAGGGTTTCACCATGTTGCCCAGGCTGGTCTTGAACTCCTGAGCTCAGGCAGTCTGCCTGCCTCGGCCTCCCAAAGTGCTAGGATTACAGGCATGAGCCACCACGCCCAGCCGGTGATTAGTTTTCTGGACTAACTGCCATTTTTCTGCAGTGACACACAATCATAGACACACATACCGAGCAGTGTCTTAACCAAGGCTTGGCTCATCCATCGGAGCTGAGTGTGTTCTTGGAGCGCTAACTGACCATACATAAGTTTCCTATTGAAAATTCGAGTAAAAAATGCAGAAGGGAAGAAGGTCGTTTTTTGCAATGAATAATTAAGCTAAAGGACGCATCTTTAAGGGAAGGTAGGGGGATGGAGAAAGAGCTAATAGTCATATTTTCCAGTCTTTATGAGAAATGAATGCAGGGACATTGATTCAGAAATGTTTCAGACTGAGGCTGGGTGTGGTGGCTCATGCCTGTAATCCCAGCACTTTGGGAAGTCGAGGCAGGCAGATCACTTGAACTCAGGAGTCCGAGAACAGCCTGGGCAACATGGCAAAAACTCATCTCTATGAACAAAAAGTAGCCAGGCATGGTGGCATGCACCCACAGTCCCAGCCAGTTACTTGGGAGACTGAGGTGGGAGGATTGCTTGAACCTAGGAGGTGGAGGTTACAGTCAGCTGAGATTGTGCCACTGCACTCCAGCCTGGGCAACAACAGCAAGACTCTGTGTAAAAAAAAAAGGAAGAAAAAATAAAAATAAATGTTCCAGACTAGCATCCAAGGCCCTCCCAAATATTGCCACTTTATCATGTTCTCCCCTAAGTCTCTGTGATGTGAACTCTATGATTGCCTTAAAAGAAAAACCTTAGACAAATTAAATTTAACAGCGTTTAATTGAGCAAAGAACAATTCATAAATTGGGCAGCCTCCCAAGCCAGCATCAGTTCAGAGAGTCTCTGGTGCAGCCATGTGGTGGGAGAAGATTTATGGACAGAAAAAAGAAAATGACACACAGAAAACGGAAGTGAAGTACAGAAATAGCTGATTGGTCACAGCTTAGCATTTGCCTTATTTGAACACAGTTTGAACAAATTTTGATTGGCTGAAACCTGGTGATTGGCACAAAAGTAAGTTACAGTCTGTTTACACATCAAGTTAGGTTACAGTTCACTAGGGATAGAGAAACAGTTAGGTGGAACTTAAAATATATAGAGGGGCAGCTTTAGGCTAAACTTAATTGAACAACCCAACCAAACCAGGTTCTGTGTTTTTCCTGGGACATGCTTTCCTTCCTCTCTATCTTCCCTTATGCTGCGATGCTTCTCTTTTCTCACTATAGCTGTTTGCCCAAACAAAACCATTAAGCCTGAGTTTTTTTGCTCAGCCATCTCATACTAACACCTCTCCTCCCTTGGGCTTTAATTATATTTTGTGTATGTGTCTCTCACGAGCTTGAATTTTGTCTTTGATTGTAGTTATATTGGACACCCCCTGCACAGCTGACCTAAATCACTAGAACCTGGGAATGGTTAGTGGTGTTTCATTCTGCCCCCTCCTCCAGTCCAGTTTTCTCCATATGGACCGCATGAATGATGTCTAATTTCTCTGAATGCCCAATGCATTTGTTATCAATCCTTGTATACAATTCAATTGTATACCCCACACCAGGCATGGTGGCTCATGCCCGTAATCCCAGCGCTTTGGGAGGGCGAGGCAGGTGGATTACCTGAGGTCAGGAGTTTGAGACCAGCCTGGCCAACATGGTGAAACCCCACTCTACTAAAAATGCAAAAAGTGGGCTCACGCCTGTCATCCCAGCACTTTGGGAGGCCAAGGCGGGTGGATTATGAGGTCTCCCAATTAGCTGGGACTAGAGGCATATGCCACTACACCTGGCTAATAATACAGATCCTCTTATAAACACCTTTATTTGCTTCACATCAGCCACTTGCTCCTTAGTCTCCTTGTCCTGTTTCCCAGAAAATTCACACTTATTCCTAATATGTCATTTTCATAGCTAAATGAACAGTGAGTGGGATTTGAGGTATCTGCTCACAAGCTGGAGATACATTTGGAGACACTGGAAACCAGAAGGGCTGCTTAGCTGTGTATTTTAGTGTCTGGGGTTTCTGAAGCTGTGGGTCAAGTTGCCTCCTGTTTACCCATGACTTTGAGCCCATGGGACAGATTTTGTGTCTTGGATGCTACAGAGGCCTTGGAAAAATCCTTCAGTGACTGCCATCCCAGCTGATAGGATGCCCAGCATCCTGGGCACCTATCCATGAAGCTCACCCATGATCAGAGCCTGGCAGGGGCGTGGAGGATCAAGAAGGAACTCCTTGGCTGCTACAAAGGCTGAAATCAACCTCCTACCACCAAACCCCTGAGACACACACTCTGATCTGCTCCCAGCTGCCCTAAAGCCCCTCATTTTCTTCCCACTTCTGGTTGAGCCCATATAGTTTCTTCTCTCGGGGATGCCTCTCTACCCTCTCAAATTCTCAGTCTCATGAATTCCTTTTGATCCCTGTCATCTTCACTCAATGCCTTGTGAAAGGAAGATAAATCTTGGGCCCCCCAAATCAGTAAGCTAATGGGAAAAATCAACCTGGGAACTGCTCAGGGCCAACCTGCCTCCCATTCTACTCAAAGTCACCCCTCTGCTCACTGAGATCAATGCATATCTGATTGTCTCCTTTGGAGAGGCTAATCAGAAACTCAGAAGAATGCAACCATTTGTCTCTTATGTACCTATGACCTGGAAGCCCCCTCCCCACTTTGAGTCTTTCTACCTTCGCTTCAAGTTGTCCCAGCTTTCCAGACTAAACCAATGTTCATCTTGCATATGTTGATCGATGTCTCATGTCTCCATAGAATGTATAAAACCAAACTGTGCTCCGACCGCCTTGGACACATGTTGTCAGAACCCCTGAGGCTGTGTCCTGGGCATGCATCTTCAACCTTGGCAAAATAAACTTTCTAAATTGACTGAGACCTGTCTCAGATTTTCAGGGTTCACAGCCTTAATTGAGATTTAGCTCAAATCTCACCTCTCTCTGGCTGCCATCTCTATACCTTGCAGTGTGATGGTTAATTTTTTTTTTTTTTTTGAGATGGAGTCTCACTCTTGTTGCCCAGGCTGGAGTGCAGTGGTGCGATCTCGGCTCACTGCGACCTCTGCCTCCCGGGTTCAAGCAATTCTCCTGCCTGAGCCTCCCGAATAGCTGGGATTACAGGCATGTGCCATCATGCCTGGCTAATTTTGTATTTTTTTTAGTAGAGATGGGGTTTCTCCATGTTGGTCAGACTGGTCTTGAACTCCCGACCTCAGGTGATCTGCCCGCCTCAGCCTCCCAAAGTGCTGGGATTACAGGCATGCACCACCACGCCCAGCCGTGATGTTTAATTTTATGGGTCAACTTGGCTGGGTCATAGGACCCAGATATTTGCTCAGGCATCATTCTGGATGTTTCTGTGATGTGTTTTCCTTGGATAAGATTAACATTTAAATTGGTGGACCTTGAATGAAGATGACGACCCTCTGTAACCTAGCTGGGCCTCATCCAATCAATTGAAGGCCTGAATAAAACAAAGGATCTCTCCCAGGCAAGAAGGAATTCTGCCAGCAGATGGCCTTTGAACTTAAACTGAAACATCAGCTCTTTCTAATACACTTAATGTATTAAGGTCTCCAGCCTGCTGGCCCACCCTACAGATTTTAGACTTGTCAGCCTCCATGATCATGTGAGCATATTTTTTAAAATAATTTTTTTTCTGCATGCATATCTTATTCTTTGGAGATCTCTCAAACACCCAGACAAACTTAAGGACTCCTTCCTCTTTTAAAAAAAATTTTTTTTGAGGTAAAGTCTTCCTTTGTTCCCAGGATGGAGTACAGTGGCATGATTACAGTTCACTCCAGTCTTGACCTCCTGGGCTCAAGCAATTCTCCCACCTTAGCCTCTCAAGCAGCTGGGAATACAGGTGCATACCACTGTGCCCAAATAATTTTTAAATTTTTTTGTAAAGATGGGGTCTCACTGTATTGTTCAGGCTGTTCTCAAATTCCTAGGCTCAAGTGATTCTCTCATCTCAGCCTCCCAAAGTGCTGGGATTACAGGCCTGGACCACCCCACCAGGCCATGACTCCTTTCTTTTAATTCCACGACAGGCTTTGCCTGATAGCACTTATGGCTTTTGGAAACCATTTGTTTACTTGTCTTCCATGTTTATAAGGTTCTTAAGAGTGGAAGCTGTGCTATATATCTCTCTGTATCTCAGTGTCAGAGACGGTTGAACCAGAGTGACTCCATCTTGAATAGGGGCTGGCTAAAATGAGGCTGAGACCTACTGGGCTGCATTCCTAGGAGATTAGGCATTCTTAGTCACAGGATGAGATTTGAGGTTGGTACAAGATACAGGTCACAAAGACCCTGCTGATAAAACAGGACACAGTAAAGAAGCCTGCCAAGTCCCACCAAAACCAAGATGGTGACGAAAGTGACCTGTGGTCATCCTCACTGCTCATTATACACTAATTATAATGCACTATCATGCTAAGAGACACTCCCACCCACACCATGACAGTTTACAAATGCCATGGCAACATCAGAAAGTTACCCTATATGGTCTAAAAAGGGGAGGAACCCTCAGTTCTGGGAGTTGCTTTTCCTGGAAAACTCATGAATAATTCACCGCTTGTGTAGCGTATAATCAAGAAATAACCATGAAAGAGCCATTGAGGAGCCCACACTACTGCTCTGCCTATGGAGTAGCCATTCTTTGGTTTCTTTACTTCTCTAATAGACTCACCTTTACTTTATGGAGTAATTCAAATTCTTTTTTGGGCGAGATCCAAGAACACTCTCTTGGGGTCTGGATCGGGACTCCTTTCTAGTAACATCAGCACCTAGAATTGTGTCTGAAACCTTATTATTACATGCAAAATACTTGCCAGTGGAATGAATGAGTTTCAGCAGGAGGAAGTGCCGTGGTGCTCCAGGAACCCTTTCTTCGGTTTCCTTGTTCAGTCACTGTCCTGTCTTGGAACCCAGAAAGAAAGAAGAGATTCAAATGATGATATCAGGGTTTAGACTTGGGACAGGGTAGGAAGAGGGGTGATGAGAGGCCCAGCAAGCTGCCTGGAAGTGTAACCGCCCAATGGGTTCACCTTTCCCACTGTCTAGACAGAGCCGATTTATCAACACAGGGGACTTGCGTTGGAGAAAGAGTAATTCATGCAAAGCCAGTTGTGTGGGAGAAGGGAGTTTTATTATTACTCAAATCAGTCTCCCAAACATTCAGGAATCAGAGTTTTTAAAGATAATTTGGTGGGCGGGGCTTGGGAAGTGGGGAGTGTTGATTGGTCAGGTTGGAGATGGAATCATAAGGGGTCGAAGTGAGTTTTTCTTACTGTCTTCTGTTCCTGGGTGGGATTGCAGAACTGGTTGAGCCAGATTACCTGTCTGGGTGGTGTCATCTGATCCATCCAGTGCAGGTTCTACAAAATATCTCAAGCGCTGATCTGATCTTAGGTTTTAGAATAGTGATGTTATCCCCAGAAGCAATTGGGGGAGGTTCAGACTCTTGGAGCCAGAGGCTGCATGGCCCCTAAACTGCAATTTCTAATCTTGTAGCTAATTTGTTAGTCCTGCAAAGGCAGACTGTTCCCCAGGCAAGAAGGGGGTCTTTTCGGGAAAGGGCTGTTAACAATTTTGTTTCAGAGTCAAACCATGAACTGAATTCCTTCCCAAAGCTAGTTCAGCCTATGCCCAGGCATGAACAAGGACAGCTTAAAGGTTAGAAGCAAGGTGGTGTTGGTTAGGTCTGATCTCTTTCACTGTCATAATTTCCTCAGTTATCATTTTGCAAAGGTGATTTCAGGAGTGGGGAGTCCATTGGATCAGGTAGAATGTAGGGATTCACAGTGTTCAGCTTCATGAAGCGTCATGACGGGGAAAGTCATTCATTCATGCATTCATTCACCAAGTTGATTGTGTACAATATCCCAGCAGTGAGCTCTGCAGACACAATTTCTGCTCTCAAGGCTATCCTAGACCACAAGTAGAGATATGCATTAAATAAATAAGCACATCAATACATATATCAGGCTGGGCACAGTGGCTCACGCCTATAATCCCAGCATATTGGGAGGCCAAGGCGGATGGATCACTTGAGGTCAGGAGTTCAAGACCAGCCTGGCCAACATGGCAAAACCCTGCCTCTACTAAAAATACAAAAATTAGCCAGGTATGGTGGCAGGTGCCTGTAATCCCAGCTACTGGGGAGGTTGAGGCAGGATAATCAGTTGAACCTGGGAGGCAGAGGTTGCAATGAACCAAGATTGCACCATTGCACTCCAACCTGGGTGACAAGAGTGAAACTCTGTTTCAAAACAAAAAACAAAAAACATGTATCATTATAAATCATAAAAGAAAATTGATAGGAGAAATAAATGACGAATGAAGGGGGGATCTGATTTAGATTGGCTGGGTCAGGGAAGGCCATTCTGAGGAGGTGATAATGGAAGCAAAGACTCTAAGGACCATTCTGGAGCAGGGGATTGTCAGGGAGCCAGCAGGTTCACCCCCAAGGATTCTTCCCCTAAGTCCAAGACTCTCCAAGGGCCTCCAGCTTAAGACGTTCTCAGACTCTGGAGCACCATCTCCCCTAGCACCCAAGACCCCCTGGACACCCCCTTATTTGCCTCAACCTGCCCCGCAGAGTCCTGAGCAATGGTGACACCTGTTTTAGGAATCTGTCCAAACTGAGTGTGACTACACTTGGATGCTTTTCATCACAATGAGTGAAATCTCAGGCCACCAAGAGGTTACCCAGGCACAGCCTTTTCTCAGGCCTTTTTATTCCTCACCAAATGTTATCCTTTGAAGACTAAGCTCTGATTTTTTAAATCTTGTCCAAATTCCTATCTAAGGGATCCGGGGAGTCATGCCCTACAAACCATAAATTCTCATCAGATGGGTTTTATTTAACCCTATATATCGTGACTTTCTTTCCAACCTGACCCTGGCATAACATTACAAGACACAGAAGAAATATTTTACCCCAAACATGTTTCTTTGCCATATCTTGAAATGGCCCTGCAAGGCTGTCCTTTGTGGGGGAAAATTTGCATCTGTACAGGATCTCTATTCACATAGCTAGATCTTTTTCTTCCAGGCCCTACCAATTCTAGAGATTAACTAAAAGTCTAGCACTTTTTAAAGATCTGAATAGGAAACACTTGTCATCTATTGTCTGTAAGGGCAGCCACTGTGAGATTTCAGAAGAACCTTGGTCTCCACAATCTTTTAACCTGAACGTTTCCTTTCTATTGATCCCAGGTCTTTCGACAAACTCAACCAATTGTCAATAAGAAAATGTTTAAATTTACCTATAGCCTGGAAACCCCCACTCCCTACTTCAAGTTGTCCTGCATTTCTGGACCAAACCAATGCATTTCTTAAATGTATTTGATGTCTAATGCCTCCCTAAAATGTATAAAACCAAGCTGCACCCCGACCACCTTGGGCACATGTTCTCAGGACTTCCTGAGGGCTGTGTCATGGACCATGGTCACTATTATTTGGCTCAGAATAAATCTCTTCAAATATTTTACAGAGTTTTTCATTGACACCCTCAACTACCCTTCCGGCAGCGTTATTTTCAGACCTCTGATGGTGGAAGTTAAAACTCCAATCTTTGGGATGTGTGTTGGTCTCCTCCAGGATTGCTTCCTCCTGTTGGGGGTGAAGGAAGTGCAATGAGGGGGTGCCACGTAGATTTGATCTGAGGAGGCCTTTCATTTCGTGCCATCCACTCCAGCTTCCTCTGACTTCTCCAGAGAACAAAATGCTGTGGTTCAGAATGAGATCTGCTCCCAGCTTCCCTGGGGTTTAATCCCATTACCTTCCACTGGGGGCCAAGTCTCTGGCAAATGCTGAAAGAAAGGAACTAAGCTCTTTCCAAAGAGTTAGGGAGAAGGAGGGGGACCAGTAGAGGCCCCAGGAAAAGAACTTCGAAAGGGAGATTCACATACATTATTCAGTCCTCCTCCATGGGACCTCTGGCATGGGTTGTTTGGTAAGAAGTGTGTTGTTAATGGTCTCTATTGCCATAAGAAGGAAAATCACTCCACAGAGGAGGTTCAGAATCTCCTCCCCAATTACCCTAGGCAGGCTGTGTGCACCTTGGACACTTAGCCCTGGCAATGAGTTCATGCAAGTGAGGAAACCAGGTGGACTTCCCAGTGGCCACCTCCCTTCGTCTCTGCCCACATCACCTGCTATTAAAGAGACACAAAACTCAGCCAGGAACGGTGGCTCATGCCTGTAATCCTAGCACTTTGGGAGGTCGAACTGGGCTGATCATGAGGTCAAGAGATTGAGACTATCCTGGCCAACATGGTGAAACCCGGTCTCTGCTAAAAATACAAAAAAAAAAAAAAATTTAGCTGAGCATGGTGGCACATGCCTGTAGTCCCAGCTACTCGGGAGGCTGAGGCAGGAGAATCGCTTGAACCCAGGAGGCAGAGATTGCAGTGAGCCAAGTTTGCGCCACTGCACTCCAGCCTGGTGACAGAGCAGGACTCCGTCTCAAAAAAAAAAGAGACACAAAGCTCTAGACTTGTTAAAGGACATCGGATGGGCTTTATTCAGACTGTGGCAGGCCAGGTCTCCGTAACCACTGTTTCAGCACTGACTGAGTGGTAAAGTTAAATATTAAAAGCTGAAAGAGCCGGTGCCCTTATACAAAGGCTGGAATTTAACAAAAGCCCACCAAGAGTTTTGCTTAGGCCTTTCCTGGGCCTCGAAGCATGACAAGATAACAAAGGAATTGTTAACAGGATCCATTTAGGATTAAACAGGTTTTCACTGGGAGTCTGAAGAAACTCCCCAGACCTCCACAAACAAGTTTTATTGTGGGTCTAGAAGAACTCCCCAAACCTCCATGATTTAGCAGGTGACAAGATAAGGATAATCACCCCTGGCACCTGGACCCGTCTACATCAAGTAAATTTACTGAAACTCCATAGGAAGGTCTTTGGGACTCAGACTTTAGTTATAGATGAGAATAAGTTGATTACTTATGTCTTTAGAGGCGTACACACTTACATGTAAACATACAGCTTAGAAGGTATATAAGCTCTGGAAAACTTTGTAATTTTGAGCTGGTCTGGAGCTATTTTCCCAGCCTGTTCCTTGTATCCAGTTACAGAAATAAACTCTCTTCTTTCACAATTCATCTGCATCTTGTTATTGGGCCACAAGAATAGCAGCCTGATCCTTTTGGTCTGGGAACAAGACTATTGCAGTAGGGAAGAGAGACTTTAGTGTAAACAGAGTCTGCCAGGACAAAAGGTACTTTTCAATGCTGGGTAGACTCAAGGAAAGGTATCAAAAGATGCTAAGGGATGGGTCTATATGATTAGGCCATCTGAGTTCATTAATTTGCGTTTATCTGGAGAAGTAAACTCCTCATATCTTTAGGACAGGAGGTAGATTTGCTTGTTGGAAAAGGCACCCAGGAATTTAGGCTCTTAGCCTCCGACTAGGAACAGGGAGACAGAAGAGCCATCACCCTAGATGTTTGCATTTCAAAGAGATGTCTCCCAGATCCTCCAGAAAACATTTCTGCATTGTAGGAGACTTACGTCTCAAAGGGATGGAGAAAAGTTTCACAACCGCCAGGTTTTCTAAAGTAAATGCTCTGGGAAAAGGGAGGTCAGGGGCCTAGAGTCACGGTTTGGCTGGAAGAAATGGTAAATTATTTTGGCAGCAGTGAGCTTTCTCAGGCAGGCCTTTAGAGTGGGGTGGGTCATCCCAGGGACATGTCCTTGAGCTGCTTGAAAAAACACTAGGGTTTTAAAAAAAATCCCTTAGCATATGTGTGTGTGCCTGGGGTAGGAGTAGATGAAATTATTTATATGAAGAGTTTGTCATTGTTTTTTGTTAACTTTCATTTTAGTTTCAGGGGCTCAGGTTTGTTATAAAGGTAAATTGCATGTCATTGGGGTTTGGTATACAGACTATTCCATCACCCAGGTATTAATCATAAGCATAGTACCCAATATGTAGTTTTTGTGATCCTCACCCTCCTCCCACCCTCCACCTTCCACCCTCAAGTACGCCCTGGTGTCTGTTGTTCCCTTTTTGTGTCCATGTGTACTCAATGGTTAACTCCCACTTATAAATGAGAGCATGCAGAATTTGGTGTTCTGTTCCTGCATTAGTTCACTTAGGATAATGGTCTCCAGCTTCATCCATGTTCCTGCAAAGGACATGATCTCATTCTTTTTTATGGCTGCATAGTATTCTGTGTTGTATATGTACCACATTTTATTTATACAGTCTAACATTGATGGGCATTTAGGTTGATTCCATATCTTTGCTATTGTGAATAACACTGCAGTGAATAAATGTGTGCATGTGTCTTTCTGGGATAGCAATTCATATTCCTTTGGGCATATACCAATAAGGGGATCGCTGGGTTGATGGTATTTCTGTTTTAAGTTCTTTGAGAAATCACCTAAATGCTTTCCACAGTGGCTGGACATATTGTTACCGGAAAAGGATCCCCATCCAGACTCCAAGAGAGGGTTCTTGGATCTTGTGAAGGAAAGAATTTGGGGTGAGTCCATACAGTAAGGTGAAAGCAAGTTTATTAAGAAAGTAAAGGAATAAAAGAATGGCTACTCCATAGACAGAGCAGCCTTGAGGGCTGCTGGTTGCCCATTTTTATGGTTATTCTTGATTATATGTTAAAAGGGGTAGATTATTCATGAGTTTCCCGGGAAAGTTAGGGGGCAATTCCTGGAACTAAGGGTTCCTCCCAATTTTAGACCATATAGGGTAAGTTTGGATGTTGCTATGGCATCTCTAAACTGTCATGGTGTGGATGGGAGTGTCTTTTAGTATGTTAATATATTATAATTAGAGTATAATGAGCAGCGAGGATGACCAGAGGTCACTCTCGTCACCAACTTGGTGTTGGTGGGTTTTGTTCGGCTTCTTTACTGCAAGCTATTTTATCAGTAAGGACTTTGTGACCCGTGTCTTGTGCCGACCTCCTATCTCATCCTGTGACTAAGAATGCCTTAACCTCCTGGGAATGCAACCCAGTAGGTCTCAGCCTCATTTTACCCAACCCCTATTCAAGATGGAGTTTCTCTGGTTCACAGGCCTCTGACATTATAGGTCAAGGTTGAGGCCTGGTTGAGAAGAGGGCTCAGAGGAGCCTGGCCAAAGGGAATTTGGTCAAGGAGTCTTTGTCACTGGCCACTGCCCTCCACCCAAGACTGTGCTACTGGCTGGCTTAGAACTAGAATGCAAGGATAAGCTGTGCCACTTGTCATGGGCTAATAAGAAGAAGCAGACTGGGTGAGTTTCACCATCCGGAGCCAGAATGGAGACATCCACTGGGACTTGATACCTTCTTAGGGAGAGCTACTGACCAAAGGCCAGACAGGAAGGTTCTAGAAATATGTTCACATGTCCATGTTGATTTTTATTTCCCTCTGTGTGTATTCCTGAAGTAACTGCTAATGAAACCCTAAACATAGGCAAGATTTTTGGACTTTTCCTGGGGGCAAGAAAAAGAAGAGCTGGGAACCACAGGGGCCAGTCTTTGGGATATGGTGGCGTGGCAGCTTCCAGGGGAAGGAGAGAGAGAGGAGCCTGCAGCTGAGGAAAGCCTGTACTTTGAGTAGCAACGAGATGTTAGCAAAAAAGCCTGTCACCTGAGGCGGGTCTCAATCAATATAGGTTTATTTAGCTAAGACTGAGGATGCAACTGGGGAAAACATGACATGTCACAAGAACACTGGTGACCTGTGCTTTTTCCAAAGGGATTCAGGGAACTTCAGTATTTATTTATTTATCTGTTTTAAAGTGTGATTTCCTTATCTTTTAATTTTTAATTTTATTTTAATTGTTTTTGAGACCGAGTCTCACTCTGTCACCCAAGCTGGTGCGCAGTGAGGCGATCTCGGCTCACTGCAACCTCTGCCTCCTGGGTTCAAATGATTCTCCTGCCTCAGCCTCCCGAGTAGCTGAGATTACAGGCACCCACCACCATGCCCAGCTAATTTTTGTGTTTTTAGTAGAGACGGGGTTCATCATGTTGCCCAGGCTGGTCTCGAACTCCTGGGCTGAAGCGATCCACCTGACTTGGCCTCCCGAAGTGCTGGGATTACAGGCATGAGCTACCATGCCTGGCCTATCTTTTTATTTTGATAGTTTTGGGGAACATGGATAAGTGCTTTAGTGGTGATTTCTGAGATCACCAGAGCAGTGTGCACTGTACCCAATATGTAGTCTTTTATCGCTCACCGCCTGCCACCCTTCCCCCCAACTGAGTCCCCAAAGTTCATTATATCATTCTTATGCCTTTGCATCCTTGTAGCTTAGCTCTCACTTATAAGTGAGTCCATTTGATTTTTCATTCCTGAGTTATTTCACTTAGAATAATGGCCTACAGCTCCATCTGAGTTGTTGCAAAAACCATTATTTTGTACTTTTTTATGGCTGAGTAGTATTCCATGGTGTATATATACCACATTTTCTTTATCCACTCCTTGGTTGATGGGCATTTGGGTTGGTTCCATTTCCTTGCAATTGCAAATTATGCTTCTATAGACATGTGTGGGTATGTCTTTTTCATATAATGACTTCTTTTCCTTTGGGTAGACACCCGGTAGTGGGATTGCTGGATCAAATGGTAGAACTTCAGTATTTAAAGGGAAAAAGACAAGCAGGAAGGGGAAAAGGGGAGGGAGGGCAGGCCATGTGGTAAATGGTTGCATTCTCATGAAGTTCTGATTAACCTCTGTAAATCTACATTTTACATGTGAAAAGAGGGAGTACAAGAACAAGTCAATTGTGCATTGCCTCACACTCAGTAAATCTATACTTACATACAATACAGTAAGCTGTGAAAAGATAGAGTAGAGAAAAAAGTCAATTATGCATTTGTGGGCCAGGCGCAGTGGCTCAAGCCTGTAATCCCAGTGCTTTGGGAGGCCGAGGTGGACGATCACCTAAGGTCAGGAGTTTGAGACCAGCTTGGCCAACATGGTGAAACCTCGTCTCTACTAAAAAATACAAATTTAGCTGGGCATGGTGGTGGGCTCCTGTAGTCCCAGCTACTCGGGAGGCTGAGGCAGGCGAATCGCTTGAACCCAGGAGGGCGGAGATTGCAGTGAGCCGAGATTGCGCCCCTGCACTCCAGCCTGGGCGACAGAGCGTGACTCCGTCTCAAACAAACAAACAAAAAACCCCAAAAAACAAAAACCAATGATGCATTTGTTTTAGGATAGATGGAGAGAAAATTTCTGGTCTTCTCCTTGTTCTATAAAGATAAGTTGGTAATTGTGTGACAATTCAACAGAGCTCAGGTTTAGAACTTAATGGGGAGATGTGTATTTTGCAAGATTTAGGGGCTCACAAGGAATATTCCTCACAATATGTGAGGGAGGCCATCTGGGGAGATACATGGCCTTTGATTATTATCAGAACCTGGCTTTTGGATGAGGCTATGACACAGGATTGTCAAATGACAGCTGTCTGTTTGGGGACTAAAAGGAAGGCAGTGTTGTGTGGCTCAGTTCCCAAGCTGAACTTTCCCTTTGGCATAGTGAGCTTGGGGTCCCGAGATCCTATTTTCATTCACGGAGGCTTGAGTGGTTCCCCGACAGCCACAGGAGTCTGTGTTCCTGGAAGCTGGCTTTCCTGTGACACTTTTGGCTCCAGGAACCTGAGTTCAGAGAGTGGAATGTTTCTGCCATGAAAAGAGCCATTCTCAGGAAACTAAAGGAAAGGAAGCTCTGAGCAGATGAAGGTGGATGCAGGAGACATGTACGGCACGAATTTGTGTATCCAAAGTTCAAAAACCACGCTAATTAATCCAAGGATAGGGACGGCTCTTCAGAGGCAGGTAGCGAACTGGAAGGGACCAGGGGCACCAAATGCTGATGGTGCTCTTGTTAGTAATCTGTGTGCCGCTTACGTGGGTGAGCTCCCCTTGAGAGCATTCATCAAGTGGCACCCTTGTGATCTGACTGCTTTTCTGTGTGTCTATTGTCCTTCAATCAACATTTATCTAGCAAAGGGAATGCCAAACACCAGGAAAGTCTGAGAAACTGTTGGCAGCCGGGAGGAGCCTAAGGAGTCATGAGGGCTGAACGTCATGGGATGTCCTGGGTGAGATCCTGAAACAGGAAAAGGGCATTAATTAAAAGCTACAGACCTGTGAAAACAGTATGGACTTAAGCTAATAATAACGTCTCCATATTGGTTCATGAATTATGGCAGATGTGCCAAGGGAATGTAAGATGTTAATGGTGGGGGAATTTGAGTGCAGCATGTGGGAATTCTGTACTATGTTTGCAATCTTTCTGTAAATGTAAAACTGTCATTTAAATGTTAAAACAGGGCCAGGTGCAGTGGCTCATGCCTGTAATCCCAGCACTTGGGGAGGCCAAGGCAGGAGGATCACTGGAGGTCAGGAGTTTGACACCAGCCTGGGCAATATAGTTAGACTCTATCTCTACAAAAAAAAAAAAAAAATTAAAAAGTAGCTGGGTGTGGTGGTGAACACCTGTAGTCCCAGCTACTTGGGAGGCTGAGGCAGGAGGATTGCCTGAGCCCAGGAGTTTGAGGTTGCAGTGAGTTATGATAATGCCACTGCACTCCAGCCTGTGTTACAGAGCAAGACCTTTCTCTCTCAATCTCTCTCTTTCTTTCCATATATATATATATATATATATATATATATATATATATATACACACACACATATATGTAATCTATATCTCTATATATAATCTATCTATCTATCTATCTATCTATCTATCTATCTATCTATCTATCTATCTATGAGAGAGAGATAGAGAAGTTTTCCAGTCTCACAGTTGTAGAAGCTGGAAGAGCAAGATGAGAATGCTAGCATGGTTAATTTCTGGTGAGAGCTGTCTTCCTGAATTGCACATGGATGTCTTCTCTCTGTATCCTCCCATGGTAGAGAGAGAGAGAGAGAGAGAGAGAGAGAGAGAGAGAGAGAGAGATATCAAGCTGTCAGATGCCTCTTCGTATAAGGTCACTAACCCCATCATGAGGGTCCCACCCTCATGACCTCATCTAAACCTAATTACCCCCAAAGACCCCATCTCCAAGTACCATCACACTGGGAAGTTAGAGCTTCTGCATATGAATTTTTGGGGAGACACAATTTATTTTTTTAATTTTTAAATTAATTTATTATTTATTATTATTTTAAATTTATTTATTTATTTATTTTGAGGCAGAGTCTTGCTCTGTTGCCCAGGCTGGGGTCCATTGGCACCAATCTCAGCTCTCTGCAGCCTCCACCTCCTGGGTTCAAGCAATTCTCCTGCCTCAGTCTCCCAAGTAGCTAGGATCACAGGTGCGTGCCACCACGCTGGTTAATTTTTGCATTTTTAGTAGAGACGGAGTTTTGCCATATTGGCCAGGCTGGTCTCAAGCTCCTGACCTCAAGTGATCTTCCTGCCTTGGCCTCCCAAAGTGCTGGGATTATAGGCGTAAGCCACCACACCCAGCCATTTTCCTTTTTTTGTTTTTAAAGGACAGGATCTTACTCTGTTGTCCAGGTTAGGGTGCAGTGGTGTGATCATAACTCACTGCAGCCTCTAACTCCTGGGCTCAAGTGATCCTCCCATCTCAATCTCCCAAGTAGCTGGGACTACAGGTGTGGGCCACCATGCCTGGCTAAGTTTTAAATTCTTTTATAGAGAGGGGTCTTGCTATGTTGCCCAGGCTGGTCTTGAACTCCTGGCCTCAAGTGATCCTCTGGCCTTGATCTCCCAAAGAGCTGGGATTACAGGTGTGAGCCACCATACACCTGGCCTTTTTCTTCTTCTTCTTTTTAAAGTAACCTATTTGAAAGACATCAATCTGGAAATTCTTGAGAGCCTTGTTGCTTGCTACATGGTCTACTTGGAGAGACTGATCATTGTCATGGCCAAAGGCGTGCTCCTAACCAGAGTGCACTGGAGCTGGCTTTTATTGATCACTAGAGCCAGTTGTACACATCTATTTCCAACTCCACCTTCAGTAACGTCATTTTGGGAGTGAGAATATTGGCACCACAGAAATCTGCAAATGCCAGGAATCAGCCACCTGCCCAGAGTCAGGTGTTAAACAGTTACTAGCACACCACTGCTTCTAACTAACCTCCACTTAACCACCTTTGTCTGCTAACCAGTGCTCTTATTTTCCTCTGTAAACACCCCTGACCAATGCCTTTGTCCCTCCGACGTTCACAGCTGTTCCAATCAGGGAGACTGCATGCTTATCAAGAGTCAATTACACTTGTCCCCAAACCTGTTCATGCAAATATATTTCTTATGGCAATTACAGAATTAGGTAAATATTGCAGTACTGATGGAGTGTATAAAAATAATAGAGTCGTCATTTCTAGGGAAATTAAGTTGAATGCTTGGGAAAGACTTAATAAAGGCAAATTACTTAACAACTGCTGTCAAATTGAGTGCAGGCAAAGCAACTGTAAAATTTTGGGAATGATTATATAAACCTGGAAGGATTCTGGGCTTCAGTTGCTATAAGTGACTTTAAGATCTTTCTCCATTTCAAGTTAATAAAACAGGAGATTTTAAAATAATGCAGAACTTCAAGTAGTGAGCATGTACTCAAAGAATGGATGCATATTTATATATGTTAAGCTAATCTATGAAATTGCAGGTGTGCTTTTATCATCTTTTTATGACTCCACACTCTCACCCACTTTTGCTAATGATGGGCCATCAGTCCCAATCTTGCTGGCCAAGAGGCTTTTACTGTAATTTGTGTGGGCCAATCATTTCAGGGACACACAGTTTTGCTTTAGCTAAAGATCTAGCCACATAGTCTTAGCTCTGTCATCTCGAGGGTTTCTACTTGTCAACCACATGGTTCAGCCTGAGACCAGAGAAACAGAACCAATAGGATGTATGTGTGTGTGATTATCTATCATCTGTCTGCCTATCATCTCTCTATCTCTCTCCCTATCTACTTATCATATCTATCTATCTATCTATCTATCTATCTATCTATCTATCTATCTATCTATCTATCTGTCTATCTATCGATCTTTCATCTATCTATTATCTATCTAATCTACCTATCATCTCTATGTATCTGTTATCTATCATCTCCATCATCTATCTAATCTGTCTATCCTATCATCTCTATCACCTATCTATTTATTAATCATCTTTATTATCTATCAACTATTTAATCTGCCATCTCTATCACCTATCTAATCTATCATCTGTATCTATCATCTATCTAATCTGTCACCTCTGTCATATATCTAGCTAATCTATCATCTCTATCATCTATATATCTAATCTATCATCTCTATCAATCATCACTGTTATCTCTCTATCATCTATCTATCTATCATCTCTATCAATCTATCATCCATTCATCTATGTATATATATATCAATTATCCATTCATTTATGTATTTTTGTATGTATGTATCTATCATCTCTATCAATCTATCTATCATCCATTCATCTATGTATCTATCTATATATCAATTATCTATCCATTCATTTATGTATGTATGTATGTATCTATCTATCTGTTGAGAGATTTATTTTAAGGAATTGGCCCACGGATTGCAGAGGCTGGCAAGTCTAAAATCTGTAGGGTAGGCCAGCAGACTTGAGACTCAGGAAAGGGTTGATATTGCTGCTCAAGTTCAAAGACAGTCTGGAGGCAGAATTCCCTGTTTGTTTGGGGTAGGACAATATATATATTTTTTTCTCTTAAGGCCTTCAATGGATTGGATGAGGCCCACCAAAGTCATAGAGGGCAATTTTCCTTACTCATGGCCTACTAGATTTCAATGTTAATCTCATCTAAAAACACCTTCACAGCAACATCTAGACTAGTGTTTGACCAAATATTTGGGTATCACAGCCTAACCAAGTTGACACATAGGATTAACCATCATACTGACATTTTAGCTTCCCCCATCCACTTCTTCCTTTAGTTGTTCCCCAGTTTGCTTTTCTCTTATGCCCCAGCCCCAGCTTCTACCATGCCTTTCATGCCTTCGCTCACTCTGCTTCTTTCTTTCTTTCCCTTTCTTTCTTTCCTTCCTTCCTTCTCTTTCTTTCTTTCTCTTCCTTCCTTCTCTTTCTTTCTTTCCCTTCCTTCCTTCCTTCCTTCCTTCCTTCCTTCCTTCCTTCCTTCCTTCCTTCCTTTCTTTCTTTCTTCCTTTCTTTCTTTCTTTCTTTCTTTCTTTCTTTCTTTCTTTCTTTCTTTCTTTCTTTCATTCTCTCTCTTTCTCTCTCTCTCTCTTTCTCTCGTTCTCTCTTTCTTTCTTTCGTTTTTGAGACAGACTTTTGCTCTTGTTGCCCAGGCTGGAGTGCTATGGCGCGATCTCGGCTCACCACAAACTCCACCCCTGGGTTCAAGCGATTCTCCTGCCTCAGTCTCCCGAGTAGCTGGGATGACAGGCGCACACCAACATGCCAAGCTAATTTTTGCATTTTTAGTAGGGATGGGGTTTCTCCATGTTGACCTCAGGTGATCCACCTGCCTCGGCCTCCCAAAGTGCTAGGATTATAGGCGTGAGCCACTGTGCCTGGCCCTCTTCTTTCTTTCTTTTTTGGAGACAGAGACTTGCTCTATTGCCTGGGCTGGAGTGCAGTGGCATGATCATAGCTGACTGCAGCCTCAAACTCCTGGGCTCAAGCAGTCCTCCTGCCTCAGCCTCCCGAGTAACTGGGACTATAGGCATGCACTACAATGCCTATTTTTTTTCTTTTTTTGTAGAGATGTAGTCTCACTATGTTGCCCAGGCTGCTCTCGAACTCCTGGCCTCAAGCAATCCTCCAACCTCTACCTCTCGAAGTGCTGGGGTTACAGGCATGAGCCATTGCTCCCAGCCACTGCTTCCTTCTACACTGCCTTCCCCCAGTCCTACGTGCAGGCTAACATCCTATTTTTCCAAACCCAACTCTATCATCTCTTTCTTCATGAAACTGGTTTTTATCCCCTGACTAAAAGTCATCTCATGCTCACTGGCATTCCCAGATCATTTTATGTGTTTTACTAATGATTTGGATTATTTCTTAGGAAAAATTAGTTATTTTGATTATATAATTGGGGATCTATAGGAGTCTTGGAGATCCTGGCACCTACCTACCCCTTTGATTTTGTAAATAAGAAAACTGGGCCAGAGCTCTTCTGTAACTAGCTTAGGGTGACACAAACAGCAATAAAGGAGAGTGATATTGAGCTTGTAAATACCACCTCCCATGCAGAGCGCAGTGTGCACTGGGCCCCATTCACTGGGCTTTGCACACAGTAGGTGTGCATACATATTTTTAAAATTAGACTTATTTTATTAAAATCTAGAGGCTCCATTTATTAAATAGCTCAGATTGTAAAGAAATATATATTAATTGAAGATAATTTGGAAAATACGAAACAGCATAAAGAAGAAACTATAGGTAGGGCGTGGTGGCTCATGCCTGTAATCCTAGCACTTTGGGAGGCTGAGATGGGTGGATCACTTGAGGTCAGGAGTTTGAGACCAGTCTGGCCAACATGGTGAAACCCTGTCTCTACTAAAAAAATGTGGTGGTGGGCACCTGTCATCCCAGCTACCCGGGAGGCTTAGGCAGGAGAATTGCTTGAACCCGGAAGGCAGAGGTTGCATGCAATGAGCTGAGATCACAACACTGCATTCCAGCCTGGGCGACAGAATGAGACTCTGTCTAAAAAAAAAAAGAAGAAACTGTAAGTCACCTATTATAATTTTTGTTTTCTTTCTTCCTCCTTTTTTTTTTTTTTTTAAGACATGGTTTTACTCTGTCTCCCAGGCTGGAGTGGTACAATCACAACTCACTGCAGCCTCCACCTCCCAGGCTCACATGATCCTCCCACCTCAGCCTCCTGAGTAGCTGGGACTACAGACATGCAACACCATGCCCAGCTAATTAAAAAACATTTTTTTTTGTAGTGATGGGATCTCGTTATGTTGCCCATGCTGGTTTCGAACTCCTGAGCTCAAGTAATCCTGCCTTAGCCTCCCAAAGTGCTGAGATTACAGGCATGAACCACTCAGCCTGGCGCAAGATTAAAATTTTTATTATTTAGGATTTTTCCTTCATATTGGGTTTAAAGAAAAAGACATCAAACAAATCAATATTATGCATAGATTAGCTACTTAAAGGAGTAAGTGCTTTTTTTTTTGTGATGGAGTCTCGCTCTGTCATCGAGGTTGGAGTGCAATGGTATGATCTTGGCTCACTGCAACATCCACCTCCTGGATTCAAGCGATTGTTGTGCTTCAGCCTCCCAAGTAGCTGGGATTACAGGTGCCTGCCACCACACCCAGCTAATTTTTGTATTTTTTTGTAGAGATGGGGTTTCGCCATGTTGGCCAGGCTGGTCTTGAACTCCTGACCTCAAGTGATCCTCCTGCCTTGGTCTCCCAAAGTGCTGGGATTACAGGGGTAAGCCACCGCACCCAGCCAGAAGTGATTTTTGATTGAGCAAAAGAAGCGAAGCATTCCAAATAGTATCTCTGATTCCCACCCAACCACTTATCTACTCAGGAAATAAGAACCTGCCAGGGTAGGCTTTATGTTTGGCACTAGGGGTACAGAGAAGAATTACATATTGCAGGTGCCAGCACTTGAACCTTTCAGAATCTAGTGGAAGAAACAGACATGTAAACAGAGAATCACAATGCAGGCTGACAATAGGAAGATGAACAATTTCAGGCAACTTATAATTACATGCCACATTACATGACACGGATTTTATGGCCTGTAATAGCGGGCTGTAGTGGTTTATAATTTCTGGTATCAAACCAAAAGCTGCCTAACAATGACCAGGGAAACTTTCTTTAAGGGTGATTGTTCATAAAGGGGAAATAATTGGAAATTTCACAAACCTGTAATTACAAAAGCGGGAAAGGTTACTATGGTCTATTTTATAACTGTAATCAAAAAAGCTACAGGGGGACTTTTAAAATGTGACTTTAATTAACTCCATTAAAGGTTACTGTCTGGGATGAAAGATAGATCAACCTGAAATCACACCTAATGAGAAGTTTAAGGGGATCTGAAATTGGGTGTTTGGCAAATCAGCACCAAACTTGAATCCAAGCGTTTCCTGTGTCTGTCGGGTTCTTCTGTTATAGGATTCAGTGATCAGTGATGACAGTTGGTTTTGTCATGATTGTCCTACCATATGCAATGGCTTCTTAGGATTAAGAATAATATACATTATTGAACTACTTTAAATATGCACAAGACTTTGGGCATCATTCATGAGTCTTGTTTTCATTTCAGCTTGTCAGGTTAGTTTTTACTGAACTTGATGCCTTCCGCCATATGGGATACCTGGGGTGCTGTCAGAGAGAGGGGCTGTCAACATGATTGAAGTGAAGACTGGGCGTGAATCATAAGAGAAATCAGTGGATGTGGGATTGTGTTCTCCCAGGACAGCGCAAGGATTTCAAATGCGGCCCGGCTCCTGAGGATGATAAGAGAGTAATTGGTCTCACTGCGTATTGCACGGGAATATGTTTAAGTGTCAGCAGAGGTGGCCTGGAGTAACTTCTAGTCCATCTGTGAGAACAGAAGTGGCTTGTTTCTGGGGGAAATGCAATTCTTCCCAGTGAGATGGTGTCCAGCAAAGTGTGTTGCCTGTGCCTTGACGGTGGGCACGCCACTTCCCCATTTTGGGACTCATTTTCCTCTTCTGCAAAATGGCCGGATTCAACAAGATGATGTTTCTGCCTCTTTCCAGCTCTAAAACACCAAGAAGTCACCATGGGTTTGGACGTGGCTTGGAAGGGGTGCTCTCTCTGAGCCGGAAGCTAGAGCATTGTGCAAACCCCTCTGCTCTCTCTCTGTTACTAAGAGTGACCGCCATTCACTTCTTCTTCTTTTTTTTTTTTGAGACAGAGTCTTGTTCTGTTGTCCAGGCTGGAGTGCAGTAGCATGATCTCAGCTCACTGCAACCTCCGCCTCTCGGGTTCAAGAGATTTTTGTGCCTCAGCCTCTCAATAGTTGGGATTGCAGGTGTGCGTCACCACATCTGGTTAATTTTTGTATTTTTTAGTAAAGATGAGGTTTCACCATGTTGACCAGGCTGGTCTTGAACTCCTGACCTCAAGTGATCCACTCGCCTCACCCTCCCAAAGTGCTGGGATTACAGGTGTGAGCCACTGTGCCTGGTCACCATTCACTTTTTCACTATGGTGGCCATCCACATCTATTCTCCTGCCTCCCACTTTCAGGCTCCAATGCCTCTTTTCCAAGATACTCCACGCCTCACAAAATTGATAGTCTCAGGCCTTTCTGCACAGACAAAGTGGTATTCACCAAATCCTGATTTCTTTTGCTCTTCCCCAACAGGCAGGAGAACACTTTCCTGACTTGCTGGTAGGTTAAGATCACGTGACTGAGTTCTAACCCAGGAGGATTTGTAGTAGGTAGGTTGAGATCTTTGCTGGTAGGTTGAGATCACGTGATTGAGTTCTGGCCCAGGAGGATTTGGGAGGAAGTCAAGTAGCCCTTCTAGTCTTGGCTTGTAAAACCTGCACAACCCTCCAACTCTCTCTGCCCCTGCAATGGGGAACCTGAACCACATACAGATTGGCATAATCTGGCTCTTTCCCACCCAAAAGCAGAACTATTAGGGCAAAATCCAAGGGTTCCTCCCAAAAAATCAGGGCAAATCTTAGTTTTTTTTTCCGCCAATTTCCAGGTCCTGCCCTTGAGTCTTCAAAGGGAAGGGGGATTCTATGGAGTGGATTGAGCAGGAAAGGAGTTACTGACAACTTACCCACAAAAACATTTTGGCAGCTCCTCAATTAGTTAAACATAGAATTACCATCTGACCCAGCAATCTCATTCCTAGGTATATAACCAAAAGAAATGAAAACCGGATGTTCATATGAAAACATGCCCAAAACTATCCATAGTGGCACTACTCATGTTAGCCAAAAAGTTGAAACAACCTGAATGTCAATGAATGAATGAATGAGTACAACAGATACTGCACATCCATAACAAAGAATGAAGTGCCCTCACATGCTACATCTACCCTCACATGCTACCTTGAAAACATTATGCTAAGTGAAAGACACCAAACACAGAAGGCCACACATTGTGTGATTCACTTAATATGAAATACTAATCCAGAGAGACAGAAAGCAGATTAGTGGTTGCCAGGAACAGGGGGAGGGAGCATAGGAAGTGATTGTGTAAGAGGCATAAGGTTTCCATCTGAGGTAATGAAAATGTTCTCGGCGATGGTTACACAACGCTGCAGACGTACTTAGTACCGCTGACTTCTACACTTTTAAATGATTGCAATGGCACATTTTATGTTATGGGCATTTTTATCACAATAAAAAAAGAAAAAAAATCTATAAACGTTTTGAACCAAAGAGGAGAGAAATAAACCCAACAAAACTGTGGCAGAAAGGCAAATCAAGGTCAAAAGCACACATGGGGCTTAAAGGTCAAGACGAAGTGAAAAATCACCCAACAATGAGAGAATATGAAAGGTGGAGGCAGGGGGCAGGTTGGACATGGGGGAGGCACATGGAGACTGGTATGGAATGACTCTTTTTAGTGGGGACGTGGAGGGGTTGGAGAGAGACTCTGAAAACTTTGAGGTGTTCTGGGCACTGGGGCATAAGTGCGTTTGAGATTGCATTGGAGGTGAAGGTTTCTGAATCCACCAGGAACAGAAAGTTAGCAAAGGGTGATCTCTTCGTAATCTTTTTTTTTTTTGACATGGAGTCTCGCACTGTTGCCCAGGCTGGAGTGCAATGGCGCAATCTTGGCTCACTGCAACTTCTGCTTCCCGGGTTCAAGCGAGTCCCTTGTCTCAGCCTCCTGAGTAGCTGGGACTACAGGTACCCGCCACGACGCCAGGCTGATTTTTTGTATTTTTAGTAGAGACAGGGTTTCATCATGTCGGCTAGACTGGTCTTGAACTCCTGACCTCAAGTGATCCACCCGCCTTGGCTTCCCAAGGTGCTGGGATTACAGGCATGAGCCACTGCGCCTGGACTTTCTGTTTTTTTTTTTTTTTTTTTTTTTTTTTTTTTTTAATAACCCTTAAAAACATTCTTGGAAGGATCCTATGATTGCACCTGCGCCCTGTTTCATTTTCTTTTGCCTAACCTGGTCCATCCCACCACCCTTCCATCCTGCCTCCTGTACCTCCCACTTCGCCGTCTATATTGGTGCCTTCCCTTCTGTAAATGAACCTGTGCTGGTCAACACCATCTTAACTAAACTCAACCTACCTGGGAGATGCCACAGAGGAGGCGACATCTAAGCTGGGTCTTGAGGATGAGCATAATTTCACTTAGTGGAGAGGGGGAAGGACTTTTCAAGCAGAGGGAAGTGCAGGCTTGGGAAGGGTGTGATTTGTTTGGAGAATAGTGAGTGAGTTAAGGGTAAGCCTAGAGCAAAGAGCGTAGGTAGCAGTAGTCCTGGCTGTGAAGTAGCAATGGCCGTGTGGTAAAAAGGCTTGCTATGTTATGTTCATGTGACGGTGGTGTCCATTCCTATCTTTCAGTGCAGTGTTTACCAGCACATTTTAGAATATTCCAACAGTACAGAACTTGAACTCCTGCGCCCAACCCAACAAGCAACCAGGTAAATCAATGCACAGTGTCTTCAAAGTGCACATCTGGATGAAATGCTGACTCGCGTCATGGCCAAGGAGTTTATTGGACAATACCTCCTTCCAGAGGAACTCTGGTGGAGACACAGGTGCTCACCTGCACAAGTATGTCCTTGAGCATGGTATTGGCTTGGCCCTTTGTTTCAGACTTCTATTCTGGGCATAAGCATAAGGCTACTTAGCATATTCTTTTCCCTCTGAATCTGGGCCCCAGCTCCTTCTAGGCCACTTGCAGATGGCACAATGTAAGATCTGCATGGGTTGGGTTTCTGCTACCTTAAAAAACTCTGGCCCCCATCCCCCCTCCCTGCCAACCACTTTCCTTCCTCAGAGGCTCTTGAACCTGAAGAGGCTCATTTCAGGTTCTTTACCAAACAAAAGAACTTGTTTGCCTCTGGTTGGTGACCTAGACCTTCAAAACATAATGGCTTCTTTACACATACTATGTTTGAAAGAAAGGACACATCCAGAGGGCAGCTCCCCATTTCAGATTTTAAATTCAAAATCCCTTCCTTCCTTCCTTCCTTCCTTCCTTCCTTCCTTCCTTCCTTCTTTCCTTCCTTCCTTCCTTCCTGCCTGCCTTCCTTCCTCCTTTCCTTCCTTTCTTCCTTCCTTCCTTCCTTCTTTTCTTCCTTCCTTCCTTCCTTATTTTTTTTGGAGACAGGATCTTGCTCTGTGGTCCAGGCTGGAGTGCAGTGGCACAATCATAGCTCATTGTAACCTTGCACTTTAGGGCTCAAGCAATTCTTCCACCTCAGCCTTTCAATTAGCTGGGATTACAGGCACACGCCACCATGCCTGGCTAATTTTGTATTTTTTGGTAGAGATGTGGTCTTGCTATGTTGCCCAGCCTGGTCTCAAACTCCTAGTGTCAAGCAATCCTCCTGCCTCGGCTTCCCAGAGCATTGGGATTACAGGCATGAGCCATCTCAGCCAGACTATTTCTACCTTTCTTATTGGACAATGGCACTTAACTGGTTGACCCCAAGGAGGTTAGATTTGATACTCAAGAGACTTATTTACTTGCTTGTCACTGGAATCACACAAATTCCCAAGAGCAGCTCATGGGATTTGCTGCTACTCCTGTGACTGAAGTAGAGATCAAAGCACAGTTTTCACTGTCAACAGGAATGCTGCTATCCCAAGGAATTTAGAGTTTATCTTGTAGCAAATGGAAAACCGTTGAAGATTTTAAAGGACAGCAGTGACAGAATTATATAACAAAGAATTCTGATGGTCACTTAGAGCAAGGCTCAAGGGTCAGCAAGAGTTTTTTTTTTTTTTTTTGTCAAGGGTCCCATTGTAAATGTTTTCACCTTTCCAGGCATATGGTCTGATATGGTTTGCTCTGTGTCCCTGCCCAAATCTCATGTCCAATTGTAGTTTCCAAAGTTGGGGGAGGGACCTGGTGGGAGATGACTGCATCATGGGAGCGGATTTCCTCTTTTCTCTTCTAGTGATAGTGAGTGAGTTCTCATGATATCTGGTTGTTTGAAAGTGTGTAGCACTTGTCCCTTTCCTCTCTCTCTCCTGTCACCATGTGAAGATGTGCCTGCTTCCCCTTCACCTTCCGCCATGATGGTAAGTTTCCTGAGGCCTCTCAGCCATGCTTACTGTACAGCCTGCAGAACTGTGAGTCAATGAAACCTCTTTTCTTCATAAGTTACCCAGTTTCAATTAGTTCTTTATAGCAGTGTGAGAACAGACTAATATACACAGTCTCTGTCACACCTCCTCTTCTACGCTGTTATAGCATGAAAGCAGCCATAGACAATATGTAAATGAATGAGTGTGGCTGTGTTTCAATAAAGCTTTATTTATAAAAAATAGGCTACAGGCTGGATTTGGCCTGAGAGCTATAGTGTGTAAGCCCTGGTACAGGATGGATGGGAGAAGATGAAGGTTAGAAACATAGGAAGCAATAAAGCTATAGCAGACATCTGTTTTGTTTTGTCATGTTTTGTTTTCATGGTTGTCCAGACTCTACTCACTTTTTCTGGGTAATGGTACCTTAGTTTTCCACTAAAAAAATTCTGTCTACCACTGTTAGCCCATGTTCTTCAGGTGCAACTGAGTGCACATTCATTTCAGCACAGGCATGTGACCAAGGCTTGCATAATTGGAGTATTGCATTTTCCTGGCCATAGTGATTGACACATTGAAAGTCCTGGAATCCAGTCAGAGTGAATGAGATGGGAGCAGAGACATACTCTCATTCATGGGCCTGACCCTAGGAGGACATGATCGTGGAGCTTTGGCTGACATCTTGCCATTAAGTGAAGCTTAAGACTGAAACCAACACATGGAAGCAACAGGCACATCTGAGAGCTAGACAGGTATATCTTAAAATTGGAGGAGTACTGACTTCATGATTGATTTTTCCAAAGGTGTCTTCCATTATCTTTTGGGTCTAGACGATCCTTTGCTCAAGCAAACCCATCAATGTGTGGCTTTAGGCCAGGTGCGGTGGCTCACACCTGTAATCCCAGCTCTTTGGGAGGCTGAGGAGGGTGGATCACTTGAGGTCAGGAGCTCCAGACCAGCCTGGTCAACATGGTGAAACCCTCTCTCTACTAAAAATACAAAAATTAGCCGGGTGTGGTGGTGTGCACCTGTAATCCCAGTGACTTGGGATGCTGAGGCACGAGAATCTCTTGAACCTGGGAGGCAGAGGTTGCAGTGAGCCGAGATTGTGCCGCTGCACTCCAGCCTGGGTGACAGAGCAAGACTCCGTCTCAAAACAAACAAACAAAAACCCCAAAACAAAAAGAAGTGGCTTTAGGTTAGGTATAGATGCAGCATAAAACCTTTTTGGGGCATACAGAGGCTTGAGACCATGTGGCTTCTTTGGACCTCAGCTGCTCTAGGTGATTGGGAAAGGTGTGCAGGTGTCATAATGGGAGGGACACTGCTCTAGGTTTTGTCCTGCAGAGAACTGTTGCATCTGTAAGCAGGGTTTGAGCTGTATTTATACTCAAATAATCATGTTTTCTCATGAAAAGACATAGGAGATTTTAGGTACGGGGATGGGGTGGAGAGGGATGGATGGGAGAGGCTTGACTCATGCCTATCCATGGGACCTAGAAGCTGAGAACAGCTTTCATGAGGGGTTGTGTGAGATTCTAGGTGAGTCATTCTGCTTCAGAGGCCAAATGACAGAGTGAGGTTTGCAGTTATCAAGGCAGCTGTTCTTGGATTCTAGTCTTGGGAAAACTGGAGCTGGTACCATGAGACCTTCTCAAGGAGGCTTTCTCAGTAGAGGCAGCAGAAAGGAGTGCCTGATGCAGACATCTGGGTAGAAGAACCTGAACAGCCTCCCTCCCCTCATCATGGGTCTCTCAAGAACACTCAGGGGGTTCTCGGCCAGGCGCAGTAGCTAACACCTGTAGTCTCAGCACTTTAGGAGGCCGAGGTGGGCGGATCACGAGGTCAGGAGATCGAGACCATCCTGGCTAATATAGTGAAACCCTGTCTCTACTAAAAAAAAAAACAAAATAATTAGCTGGGTGTGGTGGCAGACACCTGTAATCCCAGCTCCTCGGGAGGCTGAGACAAGAGAATGGCGTGAACCCGGAAGGCGGAGCTTGCAGTGAGCTGAGATCATGCCACTGCACTCCAGCCTGAGAGACAGAGCGAGACTCCGTCAAAAAAAAAAAAAAGAAAGAAAACCACACTCAGGGGTTCTCAAAGGGCCCCTAAGTCCCTGCATGGGCAGATAGAGCTCTGCACCATTATTATTAATGGAAATGTGACCTCAGCTTATAGATGTTGGGGATCTAAATATATCCATAAATATGGAATAACTCACACCAGAACCAGACACATTCTATATTGTAAATGTTGAATGAACATAAGAAAGAAAACCTGTAACTAGGGGTTTTCTCTCCCAAAGGTTCATCTGTATAAGCCTGCAGCAAAACAAGTGGCAACGTGAATCCACCAAACGCCTGCAATATACGTGTCCAAGAGAGTTGCCTGCCTCTGATCATTCAAAGGGAACGTGGAAAAGGGAGAAGGACATCCCTTTCAGATGGGAGCCGGGAGATGTTGGCCCAGGGTCCCTTTCTTCCTCCCTCCTGCAGGCAGCAACAGGTTTTAACTGCATCATAAAAGCTGGAATGTGTTGGCTCAGAGGGCTTCATAATTTGGTCACATAATTACCAGGAGAGAAGGGTTGTTGCTTTATGGTGATCCACTTCGTGGGTGTTCTTTCAATTAGCATGTAGTTCCGGGTCATCATGGAAAATGGGCGCAATGCCATGCGTTTGAGACATCTTCAAAGATGAGGCTTTATAGGCTGGCTTTCTGATTGATTTTTGTTTATTTGTTTGTTTCTGGTAATGTTGTTATATCATTCTGCGAGGCCCTAACCTTCCTCTTGATTTACCTCTTTGGAGAGTAAATGAACTTCAAAGGATGCCAGGTTCTCATTTCTGGTTCAATTCAAGCCTTTGGCTCTGACTGGTTTTCTCCATCCAAACGAAGGCTTTCACTGCGGGGGAGCTGCCAGGCTCAGAGACTCCAGGTAAGCATGCTTGGACAGTGACTGGCAAGTTCCTTCTGTTGGCTTGACCTGTGAACTTCCTTCTTTCCTCCTGGTTTCCTGCATGCAGCTCTTGAAGCTGCTGGCTCAGCTGAAGAAGAAAATCTTCAGTGAGCAGAGAGCTCTGTTCTGTTTTTTTATTTGCTTGTTTTTTGGGTTTTTTTTGAGATGGAGTCTCACTCTGTCACCCAGGCTGGAGTGCAGTGTTGCAATCTTGGCTCACTGCAACCTCTGCCTCCCAGGTTCAAGCGATTCTCCTGCCTTAGCCTCCCAAGTAGCTGGGACTACAGGTGTCTGCCACCACGCCCTGCTAATTTTTTGTATTTTTAGTAGAGAAGGGATTTCGCCATATTGGCCAGGCTGGTCTCAAACTCCTGACGTCAAGTGATCTGCCTGCTTCGGCCTCCCAAAGTGAGAGGTCTGTTCTTTAATCTGGTGCTCCAGGGCTGCAGGGCTGTGCACCTGATAACTTCCAGACATGCTCAGAAGGTCCTTCATCAGGGCACAGGGGACTCACAGTGACTGCTGTGATACTGGGCCATCATCTCCCTGCTACCATCTAAAAGGAATGTTCTACCTTTTCCATGTTCCCGTTGAATGATCAGAGGCAGACAATTCTCTTTGAAATATATAATGCGGGCATTTGCTAGATTCACATTGCCCCTTGTTTTGCTTCAGGCTTACAGACATGAACTTTTAGGAGAGAAAATCCCTAAAGACGAACCTTCGAGGGGGAAAGGAGAGCAGGCTACATTTTTAACCAGCTGACCAATGTAGCCAGCCCCTCTTTATTTTTATAATATGAAAAGATATTTTATTATTATTGCTTTACTATATAACATCAGTGAATACATCAGATTGCATTTTCTCAAATGACAAATGGAGAATGAGGTACATTTTCCTATTTTTTAAAATTTCCAACTTTTATTTTAAGTTCAGGGGCCCATGGGCAGAATGTGCAGGTTTGTTCCATAGGTAAACGTGTGCTACAGTGGTTTGCTGCAAAGATCATCTCATCACCTATGTATTAAGCCCAGCATCCATTAGCTATTCTTCCTGATGCTATTCTTCCTCCCACATATTTCTCTGTCATTCCCTGAAAATCTCAACATCATCTGTATTTTTGTTTGTTTGTTTGTTTGTTTTTGAGATGGAGTCTCACTCTGTCGCCAGGCTGGAGTTTTTTTTTTTTTTTTTTTGAAAAAAAAACAAAAACAAGAAAACAAACTTCATCAAGCCGGAAGTAGCAGACATTTCTCTGTTTTCCTGTAAATAATTGAGGGGGAGGGGAATACAAGAAAACAGGGGTTTTTTTTTGTTTTTTACTAAATATTGATGTTGTAGCTGCTACTTAGAGAAGATTGCATGTGATGACTTCAATTAGCTTCTCTTTATCTGCCTTTAGAAGCTGGTTTTTCTTTTTTTTTTTAAAGAGCAGGATTGTAGTGTGTTATTAAAACTGACAGCTCCAGTATTCACATTGAGCTTCTGAAGGCGTCAGGGGGAGTTCTCCTGATCTATCAACATAATCTCCACAACAAGCATGGTGCTGATTTCAGAGGAGACCGGCAGGCATTTCTGTTTGGGCTTTCCAGGAGAAACATTCTGCGCTTCCAAAGTGGATGTTCCATCCATTGGTGCGTCCTGCACGTCCGTGTCCCTTGTAACATGGCAGAATGGAATGTGGTGGGAGAAGGGCTGAGATCTGTTGTAGGAAGAGGGAGGATTTCAGCTGGAGAAGGCCCACAAAGGCTGTCTCTGAAAAGGAATTCTAGGGATCAGGACATCTTGGATTCACAGGGCTGCCAAGAAAAGCAACATTGAATATATCAAGTGCTTTCCATGTGACAGGTATTGTGCTTAGGGCTTGGCATGCAGGGTCTTATTTCCCACTACAATCCTGCAAGCTAAGCGTTATGATCCCCTGGTGCAAGCAAAATTCTAAGATCGCCCCAAGATCCCTGCTCCCTTCTGTACATCCCCCTGTATAATATTTGGGAGTGTGAGTATGATGGATTTTATTTCCATGATTAGATGTGTTTATGGCACAGTAGACTTTAAGGAAGTGAGCTTATCAGGGTGGATCTAACCTAATCACATGAGCACATTTCATTTGTTTGTTTGTTTTTGAGATGGGGGTCTTGCTCTGTTGCTCAGGCTGGTGGGCAGTTGTGTGATCTTGGCTCACTGCAGCCTCCAATGCCTGGGCTCAAGCGATCCTCCTACCTCAGCCTCCTGAGTATCTGGGATCGCAAGCACACACCACTACGCCTGGGGTTTCAACGTGTTGCCCAGGCTGGTCTTGAATTGCTAGGCTCAAGCGATCCTTCCACCTCAGCCTCCCAAAAGTGCTTAGACTACAGGCATGAGCCACTGTGCCTACCTCAAGCATTTTTGTTTAAACATAAACATTTGGGTCTAGATGTCAGACTGGGGAATTCATAAATGCAAAGTGTGAGACGAGGTGGACATGAGGAAAATTCTTCTGCTGGCTTTGAAGACGGGGCAGGGCACATGGCAAGAATCTGAGAGCATCCTCTTGCAGCTGAGAGAGACTCCTGGCTGGGAGCTGGGAGGAAGACAGGGACCTCAGTGCTACAGTGGCCAGGAACTAAATTTGTCAACAATCTAAATGAGCTTGGATGAGGATCTAGAGCTCCAGATGATGGTACAGCTGTCAACCCCTTGATGTTGGCTCTGTGAGATTGATCTCCCAGGCAGAGAGGCCAGCCACACTATCTGGACTTCTGATCTACAGGGCTGCGAGGCAATAAATGGATGTTGTCTTAAGCTTCAAAGTGTGTGGTGATTTGTGACATATGACAATAGGAAAATATATTCTCGCTGGGCACGATGGCTCACACCTGTAATCCCAGCACTTTGGGACGCCAAGGCAGGTGGATCATGAGGTCAGGAGTTCGAGATCAGCCTAACCAATATGGAGAAACCTGTCTCTACTAAAAATACAAAAATTAGCCAGATGTGGTGGCACGCACCTGTAATCCCAGCTACTTGGGAGGCTGAGGCACTAGAATCTCTTGAACCCAGGAGGCGGAGGTTGCAGTGAGCTGAGATCACACTACAGCACTCCAGCCTGGGCAACAGAGTAAGATTCTGTCTCAAAAAAAAAAAATAGTGAATGGTGGTCATTCTTAGTAACAGAGAGAGAGCAGAGGGGTTTGCATCATGCTCCAGCCTCTGGCTCAGACAGCCACGTCCAAACAGTGGTGGTGGGTGCCTGTAATCCCAGTCACTAGGGAGGCTTAGGCAGGAGAATCGCTTGAACCTGGGAGGCAGAGGTTGCAGTGAGCCGAGATCGCACCACTGCACTCCAGCCTGGTGAGAGAGAGAGACTCTGTCACAAACAAACAAACAAACAAACAAGCTAACTAATATATTCTAATTTAATAAAGAATTGAGGCTTAGAAAGATTTGGTTGAGTTGCCCAAAGTTACAAAGCTGGGAGGTTGAAAGTGTTGGGATTTGAACCCAGGACAGTTGACTTGTAATTAAATGTTCTGAAACACTACCAGTGATTCTCAGGCTGGCACATGGGGAGCTTGTTCTTTTTTTTTTTTTTTTTGGTGGTGGTGGTGGTGTTGTTTGAGATGGAGTCACCCAGGCTAGAGTGTAGCAGCGTGATTTTGGCTCACCGCAACCTCTGCCTCCCAGATACAAGCGATTCTCCTGCCTCAGCCTCCTAAGTGGGTGGGATTACAGGTGCACACCATGAACCCCATCTAATTTTTGTATTTTTAGTAGAGACAGTGTTTCACCATGTTGGCCAAGCTGGTCTCTAACTCCTGACCTCAAATGATCCACACACCTCAGCCTCCCAAAGTGCTAGGATTACAGGCGTGAGCCACTGTGCCTGGCTGGGAGCTTGTTCAAATGAGACTTGAACAGACCTTTTGAGGTAAGGGTATGACTGCCTCCTTTCTTCAAGGTTATGAAGCAGAGCCGGAGAGCTCCTGAACCTAATGATAGCAAGTGTATTATTGCCTTGCTCCTGCAGAGCAACACCATGTAGAAACGATGGGGCTGGCAGAAGCATTGCAATGAGGAAGGGCCTTTATGCAGAGAAGATGCATGCACAGCGATGGTGAAAGGGACAGGCAGGCCTAAGCAGCTGGCCGCAGAGACCTGGGTGGAAGAAAAGCCTGGGTACATCCCAAGGCCTGCAGTTCTCAAGCCTGAACAGATTAGAACAGTTGCTAGGCCATTCTTGCATTGCTATAAAGAAATACCTGAGACTGGATAATTTGTAAAGAGGTTTACTTGGCTCATGGTTCTGCAGCCTTTACAGGAAGCGAGAAGCTGGCATGTGCTCAGCTTCTGGGGAGGCCTCAGGAAGCTTATAGTCATGGCGGAGGTGAAGGGGGAGCAGGCATGCCACATGGTGAGAGGGGGAGCAAGAACAGAGCAAGGAGGGGCTATACACTTTTAAATGACCAGATCTCACAAGAACTCACTCATTATTGCTTGGACAGTACCACGGGAGATGATGCTGAACTCTTTATGAGAAATCTACCCCCATGATCCAATCACCTCCCACCAGGCCCCAACCTCCAACATTGGGGATTTGATTTCAACATGAGATTTGGGTAGGGACACACATCCAAACTGTATCGAAGAGAATGTATTAGAATAGCCTGGAGAGCTTGAAAAATGTCCTAATGCTTAGATCACCCCTCCACGCCCCATACCAATTTACCCCAAATCTCTGGCAGTGATGCCAAGGCATCAATCCTTTTAAAATCCTCCAGGTAATTCCAATATGCAGGCAAGGTTAAGAATAACAGACCCGTCAGGTCAGCTTAGGAGGATGGGGGGCAGAAATTCAGGGAGGGGCATATTAATTCTAGCAGCTGAGATGAGAGGAGTTCTTGGGGACTTCTGTTATGCCCATTCCCACCTGGTGGCTCTAGATGCCCAGTTAGTCTTTTTCTTTTTAACTTATTTTTTATTTTGTAGAGACATGGTCTTGCTCTGTTGCCCAGACTGGAGTGCAGTGGCATGACCATAGCTCACTGCCGCCTTGGATTCCTGGGCTTGAGCAATCCTCCTGCCTCAGCCTCCTGGGTAACTGGAACTACAGAATGGAGCCATCATGCCTGGCTATTTTTTTTGTAGAGTCAGGGTCTTGCTATGTTGCCCTGGCTTGTCTCGAACTACTGGCCTCAAGCCATCCTCCCACTTTGGCATCCCAGAGTGCTGGGATTGCAGGCATGAGCCACTGCACCTGGCCTCAGCTGATCTTATGCTATTTTCTAAACCTTCAATCACTGTGGTCATTTTGTTGCTTCTGGTGAATCATGGTTAAAATTCTGAGTGCGGTCAGAGACCAGTGACTGCAAATACCCATACTCTCCCAATGTGGGACTGTTACACTCTCATTCTAGGTAGAGAAGAGTGCTTCAGGGTCTTAGAGAGCAAAGGTTATCACACTTGACCACTTCACAGTCACCTGAAGCCTTCTTAAAACAGACTCCTGGCCCCTACAGCTTCTGAGTGGTCAGGTCTGGATGGGGCCCAAGGGTTTGCATCTGTAATAAATTCCCAGTGGTGCCACTGCTGCTCTGGGGACACACTTTGAGCACTACTGTTTAGAGCTCTATGATCTGGGTTTGCAACCAGATGTATCTGCCTGCTTTCATGCTGCTGATAGAGACATATCCTAGGCTGGGAAATTTACAAAAGAAAGACGTTTAGTGGACTCATAGTTCCAGGTGGCTGGGGAGGCCTGACAATCATGGTGGAAGGTGAAAATCACGTCTCACGTGGCGGCAGACAAGAGAAGAGAGCTTGTGCAGGGAAACTCCCCTTTTCAAAACCATCAGATCTCATGAGACTTATTCACTATCATGAGACTAGCAGGGGAAAGACCCGCCCCCATGATTCAATCACCTCCCACCCAGTCCCTCCCACAACATGTGGGAATTATGAGAACTGCAATTCAAGATGAGATTTGGGTGGGGACAGAGAGAAACCATGTCACCAGAAAACCACTTGCTAGCATGAGACCCTGGCAAGGTCCCTTAACTTCTTTGTGGTTCAGTTTTGTCTTCTGCTGAATGTGTGTAATCCCAGTATTCATAGCATCCTGTGGTTGCATGGCTTGGACAAGATAGATAGATAGATAAATAACACTTAGCACAGTGCCTGGCACAAATAGATTCTCAATAAATGTTAATGATTACTTTAGTTAGAGTTCTGGTGGCAAGTTCCAGAGACTCACTCTTAATGGTTTGAGAAAAAAAAATTTTTTAAATGGATTAGCTTACTTAATTGTCCAGAGACTGTCTTTGCATGAGGCACAGATAGACACCAACTCTGTGCTGGCACCAGGCATCTTTCTTTCTCACTCTCTTATTTATGTATTTATTTTTAAGAGCCAGGGTCTCAGTGTGTCATCCAGGCTGCAGTGCCGTGGTACAATCATAGCTCACCACAGTCCCGAGCTCCCTGGCTCAAGTGATCCTCCCTCCTCAACCTCCTGAGTAGCTGAGACTACAGGCACATGCCACCATGCCTGGCTAATTTATTTTTATTTTTTGTAGACATGAGGTCTCCCTATGTTGCCCAGGCTGGTCTCAAACTCCTGGGCTCAAGTGATCCCCTGCCTCCGCCTCCCAAAGTGCTGGGATTACAGGTGTGAGCCACTATGCCTGGTATCTTTTCCCTCATCTTGAGTGTCATTTCAGGTGTTAGCATGGTAGTATCACACACATTAAGTAAGACCAGTGGAAGCCTCGATGCACCAGAGCAGCATGTGAGGGGAAGCCATGGGGTGTCAGATGAGTGTGGACACAGCTATGATCTGGCCTGCCCCTTATCTGCAGACAGCTCCTTGCCCTGCTCGCTGGGCAGCTGGAGATTGAGTGTAAGCAACCACGAAGACATCCTGTTGGATTCTCTAGAAGACATTATCATCTTATTTTTTTCTTGCTTTGTTAAATCATCCAGCTCAAAATGTCATTTTTTTCCAAAAATAGCTGGGACAGAGTCTCGCTATGTTACCCAAGCTGGTCTCTAACTCCTGGCCTGAAGGGATCCTCCATCTCAGCCTCCCAAAGTGCTGCAATTCCAGGCATGAGCCACTGTGCCCAGTCCCAGCATCTCTCTCTTGTCTCGGCCTTTCTGCTTCCTCCAGGTGAGCCTTGTTTTCAGGTAGGCTCTCCCTGCTTATTGAGGAGCATGCCCCTGGCTGGTCCTTACAGCTGTAACCCCAGGATTTTCCATCATTTCTATGCTGTGCAACATTCACTCTGCATTTGTGAAGTCAGCTTTTGAAATCAAATGAGGGAGTTAACATTTATTCCTACTCAGTTGCATCATGGTATGATTTATTTATATTTCCAGCCTCTTCAGACCTTTCTAGTTCCAGCCTATTGATGTCATTCTGGATCTTTCTTCCTCAGGTCATCCATAAATACGGATGCAAATTTTACAGCTGCAAAGTTCACTTATGTGAACACTACATAGTGAAAAGCTCTGTGGAGGCTGGGCATGATGGCTCACATCTGTAATCCCTGTACTTTGGGAGGCCAAGACAGGATGATTACTGGAGCCCAGGAGTTGGACACCAGCATTGGCAACATAGTGGGACCCTGTCTCTACTATGGGGACCACATGCCACTCTGGGGACCACACTTTGAGAACTACTGTTTGGAGCTCTGTGATCTGGGTTTGAAACAAGAAGTATTAATTAAAAAAAATAGCCAGGTATGGTGGCACATGCCTTTGGTCCCAGCTACTTAGGAGGCTGAGGTGGGAGTGTTTGATCCCAGGAATTAGAGGTTGCAGTGAGCTGAGATTGTACCACTGCACTCTGGCATGGGTGACAGAGCAAGACCCTATCTCAGAAAGAAGGAAGGAAGGAAGGAAGGAAAGAAAGAAGGAAGGAAGGAAAGAAAGAAGGAAGGAACAAAGGAAGGAAGAAAGAAAAAAGAAGAAATAGAGAGAGAAAGAGAGAAAGAAAGAAGAAAGAAAAGAGAGAAAGAAAAAGAGAAAGTAAGAAATAAAGAAAAAAGAAAGAAGGGAGGAAAAAGGAAGGAAGGAATGAAAGAAGAAAGAAGGAAAAGAGAAAGAAAAAGAGAAAGTAAGAAATAAAGAAAAAGAGAAAGTAAGAAATAAAGAAAAAAAGAAAGAAAGAAGGAAAAAAGGAAGGAAGGAAAGAAAGAAAGGAAAGAAAGAAAGAAAGAAAGAAAGAAAGAAAGAAAGAAAGAAAGAAAGAAAGAAACTAATTTTGTGGCAAGTCACAGGAACGCTTCCTGTGCCCAAATCATTAACAACAAAATTATGAGGGCCATTTTCCAATGTCTTCCTCCTATGGAGACACCATGCATTTCCCCCATTAGCTAGTCTGGTAATGTAGTTAAAAGGGAAATGTGGAAAGTCTGACATGATTTGTCTGCAAGGGCCCTCTGCTTATTTTTTCCCAGGGATTTCTTTTTCTAAGTCCCTACAAACTACCATCTTGACTGAATTGTGTTCATTCGATCAGGATCTGGAGGTTAGCTCTGGATGAGCTGCTGCTGCCCACTGCTCTCCAGGTTGCAATAAATAATTCACCTGTGTAGAGTGCGAAATAAGAAGAAAAGAGGAACAGGGCTGGGAACAGGGGGTCCCCTCAGGGTCTGGAAGTTAGCCCGTGATGAGCTGCCAGTGCCCACTATGAGTCTGCCAGAGTAGACTCTCCTATTTAGGACCCAATCCCTGTCCCAGGTTTTGGCACCAAATGTTAGGATGGACAAAAGAGACAGAGGCAAGGAGAGTGGCTTGACAGCAACACAGGCTTATTGCACAAAGACCTGAGGAGGGAGAGCACCAGCCAGTGAGCACCAGAGCCCCCTTTCTTGCTTACAGGCTGGGGCAGTTATAGGTCCTGGCTGGAGGGTTCTGGGATTGTTGCGGAATGAGGTGGGGGCAGTGTGCTGGGCTGCTGTTAAGGAAGGAATTTACTGGGTCAGCGGTTAGGCCTGGGACCTGTCCAACAGGATGTTTCTCACTGTCCGGGCCCTGGTGGAATTTTCCACTCTGTAAAAGGTGGGGATGTGCAAAATGCCGTGGCTTGGGCACACAAATTATTTTCTATAATTTCTCCTGGGATCCATGTTAGCTCAATTTTTCTGGAGTTTGGAGAATCTGTTTTCTAGTTTTTGGAAATGAAGATGGCATGTGCCATCTGCAAACACCTGAGGCCTCTCCTGTTATTATTTTCCTTAGCAATAATGACAGGTAACCCATGGGGCATTTGCTGTGGGCTTCACACAGAGCTAAATCTTTCACACTCACCACCCTGCTGGATCCTCCACCATTTCATTTTTCTTAGAAAAGCAACACAATTTTCCCAGAAAATTTGAGCATTAGATAAGTTAAGTAACATTCCCACTAAGTGAATAAAATGCTCATTTTCTAGAATGAGGAAATAGTCAAAGTGTCAAATGCTAGAGAGGTTTACTAGTCTAAGAGTTAAAGAAAGGAAAGGAACATGCAAAGCAGTTCAACAGTGAAAAGACAGGTTTATTGTGGAGAAGAAACCTGAGAGGGGCTTCTCTCCAATTTCGGTCAGGAGCATTCTCTCCCTACAGACTAAGGGTATTTAAGGGTTTAGGAAGGGGGCAGTTTATCACAGGTTCAGAATGTTTCTATGTGAGAGAAAGTTTACTGTGGGATTGGAATGTCTCTGGTCAGAGGAGAGGCTATCTCTAATTGGCATATTTCTGGTCAGAGGGGGTTTATCTTAGGGTTGGAATGTTTCTGGTTATGCTGACATTAGTCATTAGGCTGATGTTTTGGGGCTGGATTTAGGCAGTTTTTTCATTAAGGAGAACTTAAAATGGTGGTGTGTGTCCAAGATGGTGATGCTCCTGCTCTGTCAGCTACGTTGAGAGCTCATGAAGTCATTTGCAAGGTACCCTTGACAACCTCTAAGAGAACATTTTGAAAGAGTATTATTTGTCTAGAAGACATGTGATGGGGAGTTCAGAAGTGGGGGGAAAGTAAACATAAAGAAATTGACAACAGATTCGAAGTATTTCGCAGTGAGTGGAGGGAGATGATTGGCTAAGAACCAGAAGCAGGGCAGAATCAAGGGAAAGCCGATTTTCCAAAAGTCCATGTGAGAGAATGTATACTCCTGTACCACGTAAAGATCTTTTGGTTAATGATGAATCACGTCTTTGACAGTGGTCCCATAAGATGGTAATGGAGTTAAAAAATTCTTGTTATCTAGTGACATCGATCTTAGCTGTTGCAGTGTAGTGCAATGCATTACTCATGTGTTTATGGTGATCCCGGTGCAAACAAACCCACCGTGCTGCCAGTCATATGAAAATATAGCACAGCCAATTATGTAGAGTACATAATACTTGCACTGGTACTATACTTACATATAGTACATAATACTTGATAATGATGATAAACAGCTTATGTTACTGGTTTATGTATTTACTACACTACATATATATTTGTATACGCACATATATTTATATATGTAAATATAATATTTACATAAATACTACATATAGTACTCATATATATTATATATAGTATATGGTATATATAATACCATAGTATTTATAGTATTTATATATAGTATTTATGTAGTATATTCATATATACTATATAATATATAAATACTATATATACTATATCCTTATTTAGTATATTTATATATACTATATAATATATAAACAGTATATATACTATATGCTATATTCTATACATACATTATACTATAGTATTTATATAGTATATTTATATATGTAGTAAATACATTCATAAATATTATATATATATACACACACACATGCACATATTTTTTTTTGAGACAGAGTCTTGCTCTATTGCCCAGGCTGGAGTGCAGTGGTGTGATCTTGGCTCACTGCAACCTCTGCCTCCCAAGTTCAAGCGATTCTCCTGCCTCAGCCTCCTGAGTAGCTGGCACTACAGGGATATACCACCACACTGGCTAATTTTTGTATTTTTAGTAGAGACAAGGCTTCAACATGTTGGCCAGGCTGGTCTTGAACTCTTAACCTCAAGTGATCTGCCCACCTCGGCCTCCCAAAGTGCTGGGATTACAGGCGTGAGCCACTGCACCTGACCTACTACAGTATACTTTTAATCATTATCTTAGATATTAAAATAATGATACTAAAATGTTTTAGTAATTTATATTACTAAATTTAATTTATATTTAGTAATTTTTAATAAGGATACTAAAACATTTTAAATATTTTAGATATTAAAATAATGATACTTTTACTTATTAAAAAATGTTAACAATAAAACAGCCTCAGACAGGTCCCTCAGGAGGTATTCCAGAAGAGGCATTGTTATCACAGGAGAGGCTCCATGTGTCTTACTGCCCCTGAAGACCTCCCAGTGGGACAAGTTGTGGAGGTGGAAGAGAGTGATATTGATGATCCTGACCCTGTGTAGGCCTAGGCTAGTGTGTGTTTTCATTTTTAACAAAAATTTAAAGAAAAAAAAATTTTACAAATAGATAAAAGTTTATAGGATATGGATATAAAGAAAGAAAATGTTTTTGTACAAAGTTTTTACTCAAAAAGTAAAAAAAAAACCAAAAAAACCAAAAAAACAAAAAAAAACAAAACAAAAAAACAAACCAAAAAACAGGCTGGGTCTGGTGGCTCACACCTATAATCCCAGCACTTTGGGAGGCTGAAGTGGCAGGATCTCTTGTGTCCAGGAATTTGAGACCAGCCTGGGCAACAAAGTGAGACTCTGTCTCTACAAAAGATAAAAAATTTGCTGGATGTGGTGGTGTGTACCTATAGTCCCAGCTACTCTGGAGGCTGAGGTGGGAGTATCACCTGTGTCCAGGAGTTTGAGACCAGCCTGGGCAACATAGTGAGACTATGTCTCTACAAAAGATAAAAAAATTAGCTGGATGTGGTGGTGTGCACCTATAGTCCCGGCTACTCTGGAGGTTGAGGTAGGAGGATTGCTTGAGCCCTGGAGGTTGAGGCTGCAGTCAGCGATGATCACGCCACTGCTCTCAACCAGGGTGACAATGAGATCTTGACTCAAAAAAAAAGTTAAAACAATTAGTCCGGGCGTGGTGGCTCACGCCTATAATCCCAGCACTTTGGGAGGCTGAGGCGGGCAGATCACGAGGTCAGGAGATCGAGACCTTCCTGGCTAACATGGTGAAACCCCGTCTCCACTAAAAAATACAAAAAAAATTAGCTGGGCATGGTGGCAGGCGCCTGTGGTCCCAGCTCGGGAGGCTGAGGCAGGAGAATGGCGTGAACCTAGGAAGCAGAGCTTGCAGTGAGCCGAGATCGCGCCACTGCACTCCAGCCTGGGTGACAGAGGAAAACTCTGTCTCAAAAAAAAAAAAAAAAAAAAAAAACAATTAAAAGTTTATAAAGTAAAAATGTTAGAATAAGCTAAGGTTAATTTATCATTGAAGAGAGAAAAAAATTTAAATAAATTTAGTGTAGCCTAACTGCACAGAGTTTATAAACACTACAATAGCGTGTACAGTCATGTTCTAGGCCTGAATTCACTCACCACTTACCACTGACTTACCCAGAGCAACCTCCAATCCTGCAAGCTCCATTTATGGTAATTGCCCTATACAGGCGTAACATTTTCAATCTTTTATATCAGATTTTATTGTACCTTTTTTATGTTTAGATATGTTTAGATACACAAATACTTACCATTGCGTTACCAGTGTCTCCAGTATTCAGTACAGTAAATGCTGTTCAGGTTTGTAGGCTAGGAGCAATAGGCTATAACATCTAGTCTAAGCGGTGTGAACCTTGACTATCTGAGACATGTTTCAGTTAATTTAGAAAGTTTATTTTTTTACTTTTATTTTTATTTTTTTGAGACAGAGTCTCACTCTCTCAGCCAGGCTGGAGTGCCGTGGCATGATCTCTGCTCACTGCAACCTCCGCCTCCCGGGTTCAAGCAATTCTGCCTCACCCTCCCAAGTAGCTGGGATTACAGGTGTGTGCCACCATGCCTGGCTAATTTTTGTATTTTTAGTAGAGACGGGGTTTCACCATGCTGTCCAGGCTCCTGACCTCAGGTAATCCACCTGCCTTGGCCTTCCAAACTGCTGGGATTACAGGCGTGAGCCACCGTGCCAGGCCTAATTTAGAAAGTGTTTTTAGTCATGGTTGAGGATGCATGTCCATGACAGCCTCAGGAGGTCCTGACCACATGTGCCTAAGGTTGTCAGGGCACAGCTTGGCTTTATACATTTCAGGGAGACATGAGACATCAATCAATATATGTAAGAAGTACATTGGTTCCTTCCAGAAAGGTGAGACAACTCAAGCAAGCAGAGGGTTTCCAGGTCACAGGTAGGTGAGAGACACATGGTTATATTCTTTTGAGTTTCTGATTAACCTTTCCAAAGGAGGCAATCAGATACGTATTTATGTCAGTGAGCAGAGGAATGACTTTGAATAGAACGGGAGGCAGGTTGGCCATAAGCAGTTCCCAGGTTGACTTTTCCTTTTAGCTTAATGATTTGGGGGCCCCAAGATTTATTATTTTCCTTTCACAGTGTGTAATAGACTAGACCACTAGGTTTGTGGATGTACACTCTCTGACATTTGCATAATGACGAAATCACCTAACAATGCATTTCTCAGAATCTATCCCTGGTGTTCAGTGGTGCATGACTGTATATGAAAGCCTCTTTGGCCTAGCATGGTGCACAGCAGGTCTTAATTAATATGACTTACCTTGAAAGTGGGAAGCATTGATCATATTTGTAACAGAAGAGGGCACTTGTTGAAAGGAAGGAAAAAAAGATGTTGAAAAAGAAAATAATCGAGGAGTGTAGATCAAAATAGGATAAGATAGATGTGGTTTTGGGTACAGATGGAGACGGTAACTTTCAAGAACAAAGAAAATTTTCTGAATTGAAAGTAAGAAAGAAAGGAAGGGGAGGGAAGGAAAGTCATTGATTGAGGGCTTACATTATGCTAAGTGAGTGCAGACATCATCTTATTCAATCTTTATAGCAATACAATGGAGGGTGGATGAACATTTAATTTATTATTATTATTATTTTTAATTTAAAAAAATTCTTTTTTTTTTTTTTTTTTTTTTTTTTGAGACAGAGTCTCACTCTGTCACCCAGGCTGGAGTGCAGTGGTGCAATCTCAGCTCACTGCAAGCTCCACCTCCCAGGTTCTCGCCATTCTCCTGCCTCAGCCTCCCGAGTAGCTGGGACTACAGGCGCCTGCCACCACGACCGGCTAATTTTTTTTGTATTTTTAGTAGAGACGGGGTTTCACTGTGGTCTCGATCTCCTGACCTCGTGATCTGCCCGCCTCGGCCTCCCAAAGTGCTGGGATTACAGGTGTGAGCCACCGCACCCAGCCATGTTATTTATTTTATTTTATTTTATTTGAGACAGAGTCTTGCTCTGTCACCCAGGCTGGAGTGCAATGGCACAATCTCAGCTCACTGCAACCTCCACCTTCCGGGTTCAAGCTATTCTCCTGCCTCAGCCTCCCGAGTAGCTGGGACTACAGGCATGTGCCACCATGCCCAGCTTATTTTTGTATTTTTAGTAGAGATGGGGTTTCCCCGTGTTGGCCAGGCTGGTTTCAAACCCCGATCTCAAGTGATCTGCCTGCCTTGGCCTCCCAAAGTGCTGGGATTACAGGCATGAGCCACTGCTCCCGGCCTCATGTTGGTATCTTATTGCTACAAAGAGTCTTTAGTCAGTCTTAAGGTCTCTGTTTTAATGAGAATGCCGGTCGGCTGTGCCTGAATAAACTTTCGAATGCCCTTGGCTGAAAGGAGAGGTCTGCTTGGTTGTGGGGGCTTAGAATTTTAGTTTGGTTTACATTGGGATGAATGAAGAGCCAATGATACAGCTCTTTATCTTGGATGCATCCTCTCTTTTCAATGATGTGTCTTCAGAGAGAGGAGTTTTTAGGAGGAAAGAAATGTGGAAGAGTAATGATTGGGTAGTAAGCCGAGGAGATGAAGAGTGTGAAATGGTTTGGACCTGTGTCCCCACCCAAATCTCATCTTGAATTGTAATCCCCGATGTTGGAGGTGGGGCCCTGGGGGAGGCGACTGGCTCATGGGGAGGGTTTCTAATGGCTCAGCACCATCCCCCTAGTGCTGTTCACGTGATAGAGTTCTCATGAGATTTTGTTGTTTAAAAATGTATATCACCTCCCTCACTTTCCCTCTTCTTCCTGCTCTGGTCATGTAAGGTGTGCCTGCTTCCCCTTCACCCTTCACCATGATTTTAAGTTTCCTGAGGCCTCCCAGCCATACTTCTTGTACAGCTTGCAGTATGGTGAGCCAACGAAATTTCTTTGGTTTATAAATTACCCAGTTTCAGTTATTTCTTTTCTTTTCTTTTTTTTTTTTGAGACAGTTTCACTCTTGTCCCCCAGGCTGGAGTGCAATGGCATGATCTTGGCTCACTACAACCTCCGCCTCCTGGGTTCAAGCGATTCTCTTGCCTCAGCCTCCTGAGAAGCTGGGATTACAGGCATGCACCACTACGCCTGGCTAAATTTTGCATTTTTAGTAGAGTTGGGCTTTCACTATGATGACCAGGCTCATCTCATACTCCTGACCTCAAGTGATCCACCTGCTTCGGCCTCCTAAAGTGTCAGGTATTTCTTTATAGCACTGTGAGAATGGACTAATACAGGGGATGAGTTAGGAATAGCAGCTACATGCTATAGGTAGCCCCTACTAGTGGCTACCACATTGCGCTGAAGCATGTGAATAGAAGAGTGATGGTCAGTGGTGGTGGGTGCTCCAGGAGTGGGGTTTGAGGTTGTAATCTCCCAACAGGTTCTTTCTGCCTAGTGCACAGACAAAAGCAATTCACAGAGATCATGATACTGCAGTAAAGAAAGAGTTTAATTGGTGTGAGGCTGGCCATGCAGAAGATGGAGTTATTACTCAAATCAATCTTCCTGAAGGCTTGGAGGTTAGGGTTTCTCAAAAATAGTTTGGTGGACAGGGGGCTAGGGAATGGGGAATGCTGGTTGGTTGGGGATGAAATCACAGGGATGTGGAAAAGAGTTTTTGTGTGCTGAGTCAGCCTCTGACCTTATTCCTGTGGAATACCATAAGATTAGCCACAAGGGTTATAAAACCCAGCCCAAGATAGAATGATCTTTGGTTGTATAATTTTTGATAAGTAAGACATGGAATATTGTTGGTTTAATGAAAACCGCTAAATCATGAGTTATTGGTAAAAATACCCTTATATTCAACTGTAAGTTTTCTTACTTAAGTAAACACCTGAAATTCATAGCTATAAAAATGGTTAACATGCTGGGCAAGGTGGCTTACGCCTATAATCCCGGAACTTTAGGAGAATGAGATGGGCAGATTACCTGAGGTCAGGAGTTCAAGAGCAGACTGGCCAACATGGCAAAACCCCGTCTCCACTAAAAATACAAAAAAAAAAAAAAATCAATGATTGTGGTGGTGTGTGTCTGTAATTCCAGCTACTTAGGAGGCTGAGGCACAAGAATCACTTGAACCTGGGAGGCAGAGGTTGCAGTGAGCCAAGATCACGCCACTGTATTCCGAGCTGGGCAACAGAGTGAGACTCTGTCTCAACAACAACAACAACAACAACAACAACAAAAAAAAAAAAAACAGGAAAGCAACTTATAGAATGACTATCACAGTTTTTGTAAATAAATAATCCAGGTAAACTATTAAATCAATCAGTCAACCAATGAGATAAATGTGATGGAATAAGTCCTTGTAAACAAACTTGTCATATGTTTATATGGAGGCCACAGGACCAACTGAGTTATGAGTCACAGGCTCTGGATGAAGTCAGCTGGGGTCATCAGAAATGTAAAAATCTGAAAGGACATCTCAAAAGGTCAATCTCAGGTTCTACAATAGTGATGTTATCTATAGGAATCATTGGAGAGGTTACAAATCTCGTAACCTTCCAAACAATGGCTGGCCATCATTTAACTACTTCTGCTTCTTAGTAGAATTCAGGCCCCTCTCATAATCCTAACCTTGTGGACTTTCATTAGTTTTACAAAGGTGCTTTAGTTTGGGGAAGGGCTATTATCATACTTGCTTTAAGTTTGGACTATAAATTTCTCCCAAAGTTAGTTTGGCCTATGCCCAGAAATGACCAATGACAGCTTGGACATTAAAAACAAGATGGAGTCAACTATATCAGATTTGTCTTACTGTCATAATTTTGCAAAGATGGTTTCAAGGTGAAGATCTCATTGCAGCCCTTGTCGGGAAGAAACAGGGGCTGTGAGACTGTTGACCACAGCATCTGCATGAGTTGAGTCAGAGGACTCACTAAGCCAGCAAATGGAGGGGATGACAGAATTTGGGAAGAGAAAGGGCAGGAGAGGGAAAGAGAGACAAAGGGAAAGAGATGGCCAGGGAGCAGGCTGCCCCAAAGATGACACGATCTGCCATTTCTTACATGAAATTCCTTTCTTGCTTCCATTTCTTCAATAAGTAGTGTTCTTGTATAAGTAGCCGCTCTGTAATGCTTTGTATATAATAAAACTTCAATTAGCTAATTGCTCAGGGGAAGGGGGTGTTGTTGTTAATTGAATTATCTGATTAACTGAAAGTTAATTAGCTAGAAACCCATTGTAATTCCAAGGCATGCTGTGAATATGCCAGCATATCTAAGTTCCCTTTCCTGTCAAGGTTAGGAAGGGTAAGGAGTCAAGGCAGAAAGGAAGTGGAACTAGCTTTTACGAAAGGTCTAAGATGAGTTCAGGACTTTACATGAATCTTATTGTCCGATTTCATTCTTGTAACTATGATGTAAGGCTAATATTACTATTCCATTTTATAGATAAGAAAATTGAGAAATATCTTAGCCATTACAGAATATTGCTTTGCTGCTTGAGAACATGAAATATTCTTAGAGGCATCTCTGGGATATTACTCCACAATGAATAGGTCTTTGCAAACCTACCCCCAAAGACCAAGGGAGCTGAGAGGTGGAAGAAAGTGGCTGACAAATGCAGTTTCTCTGAAAGAAACATTTCATAGGGACTTATAAACAGAAGTCATGTCTTGGGTGGCCACTGTTACCCCCGAGATTTGGGGCTTATATACCGTAGGGAAAAGGTATTTTGCTTTAGAAGAACTGTGTTGAACAATTGAAGTTGACTTCCCAAGGAAAGGCAAGAATTTGCCTAGAAGCAGAATTTATGGCAAGTACGTGCTCTTACTTATGTTCTAAGATAAAGTAGAAATCTTAGAACATTCTTGGAACTGAGATTAATCAGAAATCAACATGGCAGATTTACATCCAAGATGAAGTTGCTTTAGCCTCCCCATAGATATCAAAGCTAGAGTCAAGTCAAGTGGAGGTTTTAGACTAGAATGTTGCCCCTTTAATAAGCTCTGATCCTCACCCCAACTTGCTGGCGACCTTGACGAAGCTGAAGGTCACTGAATGAATATACCCGGAGCAAATCACACTGGGTTCAAATTCTCACTTTACCATTTTCTGGGTTGTGTGCTCTTGAGCAAACAATTCTTCATCTTTATATCTCAGCTTCTTCATCTGCAAAATGTAGCACTGCTTACCTTGGAGGGGTGCTGGGGTACAAGAGATGGATTATGCATGAAACATAGCTTGATCACTATCATTGGCAAGGCCCATGGCCTTGTTAGGGGAGCAGAGATGAGCTATGATAAAGACCTGGCAGAGGCCTTCATTTTAAGATAATCCCTGACATTTCCCTTTATATTAAATGTATCTTTGTTTTTATTTTTTTGAGACAGAGTCTCACTCTGTTGCCCAGGCTGGAGTGCAGTGGCACAATCTCGGCTCACTGCAATCTCTGCCCCCCGGGTTCAAGTGATTTCTCCTACCTCAGCTCCCCCTGAGGTTGGGATTACAGGCATACACCAACATACCCGGCTAATTATTGTATTTTTAGTAGAGATGGGGTTTTACCATGTTGACCAGCCTGGTCTTGAACCCCTGACCTCAAGTGATCTGCCCACCTCAGCCTCCCAAAGTGTTGGGATTACAGGCATGAACAACCATGCCCAGCTGCTGTATAAATTAAATCTTGATACTAATCTTCCTTTCTCATTCTTTAATTCTTTCCCCTCCAAGTATGATGCACAAACCCTGTCTTGGAAGTGTCTAGTTGCTAATTTCAGTTTACTCCGGTGTTCTTGGATTTGCATCTCCAACAGAAGAGAACACAATGAGACCCACAGGCATTGTTAGCCACTAAATCAAGCCTTAGTTTGGCTAAGTCACCAGCCTCTGCTGCCATCGTATTTTTAGGGAATGAAAAGAACAGTTCTTTTTGCTCAGAATGCTAGATTTATATTGCTTTCACTTAGCAAGTTAATAATTGATAAGTTGGGGCAGCAAATTAACACTGAACAAAAGAGCCTGGCGGTACCAGGGTCCTGGGAAGGCTGCCTAAATCAATATACACTCATGAATTTTGAGTGCAAAAGGTTGAGTTGAGAAAGAGCACAGATTTAGACCTCCATTAATATTTGAAACACACTCTGCACAGGAGAGGTTTGCTACAGCCCAAACGTTAACTGTAGGGGCTTCAGAGAAATGGCTTCTAAACAAATTTGATAGCAGGAGATTTTCCCCTCCGAAGATTTTGCGGGAAAAATCAGTCATCTTTGTTGTTTATGCTGTCAGAAGCCATCTATTAAAGATCTAATGAGGGTATTTTTTAACCAATTAAACATACCAATGCAACATTTATCTGACTCAATATTCATGGATGCTAGAAAAAGGAAACGCATCGTCCTCTGTGATCAACTCAGATGTGGTAAAATATTCCAGCCACTCCTACATGCTCTGTCCTCCCCATGCAGGATCTGGCCTTAAAATTTGATTAATCTAAACATTTTGTAAGGTGTCAAAAGAGGTTTCTTGCCTGATGCCTCATGGTCACCCAAACTGTGCCAGCCCAAATGAGGCCAAAATAATATCATCATTCACAATTTGCTTTTGAAATGTCTCCTGCTGGGCCCCCAATTTGAGCTATCAAAGCTGGAAATTTTAAACCAAGTGAGAAAATGCTTCTAACTTTAGTGATTCATTGAACCCAGCGTCCTGCTCTAAAGTCATCTGCAGTGTCTGATAACAGCAGTGCCATGGCCAATGAAGATGTTCCCTGTCAGATGTTCACCGTGATGGCCACTGTAGCTGTTCAGTATCTGAGACCACGTGAGCACTGATATGCTGCTAATCACCTAGTCAGAGAAATAATTCTCTATGAGTTAAGGGCTCACCTTTTAGAAGACATTAGATAGAATGTTGGCAGAGCACGGTGGCTCACACCTGTAACCTCAGCGCTTTGGGAAGTCGAAGCAGGAGGATCGCTTGAGCCCAGGAGTTTAGATCAGCCTGGGCAACGTAGTGAGACCCCATCTCTCCAAAGAATAAAATAATAATAATAATTAAAAAATCTCACAATTGGAAGGGCTCTGAGTGATTATTTAGTGGAGCCTCCAACTTCCTACACAAAACAGCAATTCCTCCCGACAGACTCAGGCTTTACTTGCATACCCCTGGTGATGGTGAGCTCATTACCTTGTGAAGCAACTCATTTCTTCTCAAGATACCTCTGACTTTTGGAACGAAGCTTCTTGTGTTGAGCTGTAACCTGCCTCCCCATGCCTAAGGCACGAGAAGATCACTTGGAAGCCTCACAGATGTGGCTTTCTGAGCACTGTCTGATACCTCATTGGTTTGCCAATGCTGCTCTTCTCCCATGAAGCAGTTAATTGGAAGAATAATTCAGAACATGTGCTCATTACTGGGTCTTAGAGGCTAAAAGAAAAATTTGGCCCCTCCACAGCACAGATGGTATTTGTTCTTTCCCCTGGAATTCTCATACTGGCTATCTTAATTAATGAATTAATGTAATTTTTCAGTCGAGTGGTCCTAAGGAATACTTATTTTTGCAATCTCCTCTTCTGCCCATCCACATGGTTTTTCTGTTTCCCCTCCAATACCCTAATTAACAAGCAAGGAAAGGTCAAAGCTACAGCTTTTAGACTTGCTGAAAAGGACTGAGATTCTTTTTGTTGTTTTTGAGATGAAGTTTTGCTCTTGTCGCCCAGGCTGGAGTGCAGTGGCACAATCTCAGCTCACTGCAACCTCCACCTCCCTGGTTCATGCGATTCTCCTGCCTCAGCCTCCTGAGTAGCTGAGATTATAGGTGCCTGCCACCAAGCCCAGCTAATTTTTGTATTTTTAGTAGAGACAGGGTTTCACCATGTTGGCCAGGCTGGTCTCGAACTCCTGACCTCAGGTGATCTGCCTGCGTCGGCCTCCTAAAGTGCTGGGATTACAGGCGTGAGCCACCGTGCCTGGCCGGGACTGAGATTCTTTAAACAAATCACATTTAAAGATACATAAAAAACACCTGTCCCCCAAATTCCAAGACACTTTTAAAGTAGGGCCAGGAACATCGGCTATGTAGGATGATTTGTTCCCTCATGAGGAAGATTGCCCTGGTCTGGGCTTCTGCAATCCTTCTTTTAAGTAGTCATCTGTTATTCTTACCTGGGGGAAAGAGAGAAGTTGCTGGAGGAGAGTGTCCCTTATTGAGTCAAGTAGGACATGAGTTTTATTCCTGGCTCTACCAATTTCTAGCTGTGACAACTTCTGCAAGTTGCTAAAGCCTTTTGGACTCCAGTTTGCTGCATTGTACAATTGGGATAAATATTCCCAGCTCATAGTGTTCTTACAAAGTGAGATAGTGTACTCAAGGGACTTAGCATGGTGGATTGGTTAGCTGTGACTAGGTCACAAAGCACCCCAAATTCAGAGGCTAAAATCATGAAGCATTTATGGTCTCTCACGTATGTACGCATCAGCTGAGAATTCTGCTAGTTTGGGCCAGGCTTGGCTGATCTTGGCTGGGCTTGTTCATGAGCTTGTGCTCAGCTGATGGATGGGCTGAGGGTTGGCTAGCTAGGATGGCCTCATTTGCATGTCTGGCAGTGGGCTGGGAGGCAGCTGGAGTTATTGGACCACATGTCTCTCAGCCACCAGCAGGCTAGCTTGAGCTGCTTCACATGGCAGAGGCTCAAAGAGCAGCAGAAGTGTGTACAGCTTTTCAAACTGGCACTGCATCCCTTCTACCACGCTCTCTTGGCCAAAGTAAGTCATTCATGGGATTGCAGCATGGATTCTACCTCTTGATGGGAAGTCACATTGCAAACGGCAGCCACTTTTTGCAATGAATCTGCTTCACACCAAACAGGGTACAAGTACTCCAAAGACAATAGCTGTTAAAGACGGATTTCACAGGCTGAAAATTGCAAGGACTGGTTTTGTCTATAGCCTCTCAGTGGAAGCACTTACAAATTGTCCATTAGGAATCCCACATCATAAGCATTTATTGTCAATATTAGCAATGCCTCATCATTATATTTTTACTAGAATTCATGGAGGGGATGGAGAGCTGGATCAAGCTGTTCGAGGTAGAAGGTGGACAAGTTTCTAGGACAGAATGGAGAGAACTCCTGGTGAGACTTGCTTCTGTCCTTGCAAGGGAGGCAACTGCCAGGAAATCCTGGGGTTCAGAACTGTGTTCTTGACATGGAGAGGAGCTGACTCTTTTTTTTTTTTTTTTTTTTTTTTTTTTTGAGATGGAGGCTTACTCACTCTGTCACCTAGGCTGGAGTGCAGTGGCGTGATCTTGCCTCACTGCAAACTCCATCTCCCAGGTTCATGCAATACTCCTGCCTCAGCCTCCTGAGTAGCTGGGATTACAGGTGTGTGCCATCACGCCCAGCTATTTTTTTTTTTTTTTTAATTTTTAGTAGAGACGGGATTTCACCATGTTGGCCAGGCTGGTCTTGAACTCCTGACCCCAAATGATCCTCCTGCCTCAGCCTCCCAAAGTGCTGGGATTACAGGTGTGGGCCACCGTACCAGGTCCAAAGAGCCCACTCTTATGGTTATTGTCTTAATTTCCCCAGATGGGACAGGGTGCTTGTATGCTCCTGGCCTGGTTTTAGGATCCTTGTATTTAATTCTTATGCCAGCTCTGTGGTTTCTCCATTATTATTCCCATTTTACTGTTGCTGAAGTTGAGGCTCTGGCAGCTAGGATGATTTGCAAATGGCAGAGCTAGGGTTGAACCCAGGGAAGTGCCGTTTGGTAGTCAGGGCATTTTCTTCATGCCTAGCTGCCCTGAGTTTACCAGCAGCAAGACCAGGGTAAAGGAGGAAGAGAGGTCGTCTTTAATGAGTGCCTGACACAGGTTAGGCATAGGTCTAAGCTCTTCCCATCATTATCTCTTCTCATCCTGATTGTCCTACTACTTTTAGCCCTATTTTACAGATGAGGAAATTCAGATTCAGAGAGGTTATGCAGCCTCCTCCAGGTTGCACAGCCAGGAAGTAGCAGAGCTGAGATAAAAGCTCCTCTGATTCTTCACTACCACTTCACTGCAAGACCATCTTTTATTTTTTTATTTTTTATTATTATTTTTTTTGAGATGGAGTCTCCCTCTGTCACCCAGGCTGGAGTGCAGTGGCGCGATCTCGGCTCACTGCAAGCTCTGCCTCCCGGGTTCACACCATTCTCCTGCCTCAGCCTCCCGAGTTGCTGGGAGTACAGGTGCCCGCCACCACGTCTGGCTAATTTTTTTTTTTGTGTGTGTGTTTTTAGTAGAGACAGGGTTTCACCATGTTAGCCAGGATGGTCTTGATCTCCTGACTTCGTGATCCGCCCGCCTCGGCCTCCCAAAGTGCTGGGATTACAGGCGTGAGCCACCGCGCCCGGTCCCCAAGACCATCTTTATAGCAACGAGGAAAAGAGGAGGCTCTCCAGGAACTCCACATCCTGTAGGCTGATTCCCCTCTCAGAAAAAAGCCCCTGTAATGAATGGTTCAACAATCTCTGGGAAGTGGCAAGTGCCCTGGGCTTTGGGAATTGGCTGATAAACATAGTACTGCTGTCAACCAGGGGCTCCTGGACCACCTGGGCTGATTCTAGTTGCTCATAATCAGGGTAGGGAAGACTGGATGAAGCCAAGTGACACTGTCTTTAATCTAGAAGGACTCAGAATGGAAGTACCAAGGACAAATCAAACCAGCCTGCAAAATTGCTCTTGGCTTTGCAATACCCACTTAATAAAAACAATATTCAGGCCAGGCATGGTGGCTCACACCTGTAATCCCAGCACTTTGGGAGGCCAAGGCAGGCAGATAATGAAGTCAGGAGATTGAGACCATCCTGGCTAACACAGTGAAACCTCGTCTCTACTAAAAATGCAAAAAATTAGCCGGGCGCGGTGGCGGGTGCCTGTAGTCCCAGCTACTTGGGAGGCTGAGGCAGGAGAATCACCTGAACCCGGGAGGTGGAGGTTGCAGTGAGCCGAGATCGAGCCACTGCACTTCAGCCTGGTGACAGAGTGAGCCTCCATCTCAAAAAAACAAAAACCAAAACCAAAAAACAATATTCAAGTGTATTAAACACATTTCTAAAAGTTTTAAAAAATGTTTAACTTTCATCAGCTTCAGCATTTATGTTGCTCCCACATTTTGCATAGAACTGAACCCTTAAATCTGCTGACACCCATTGAATTGATCCTACTCTGGACACTGAGGCATCAATTTCTTCTTGCAATTTTTTCTTTTTCTTTGCTTCTTCTAACATTTTTTTGTGTTTCTTTTCTCCTCCTCCTCCTCCCTCCTCCTCCTCCACCTCCTCCTCCTTCCTCTTCTTCTTCCTCTTCCTCTTCCTCCTCCTCCCTCTTCCTCTCCTTCTCCTTCTTCTTCTTCTTCCTCTTCCTCTTCCTCTTCTTCAACAAGGTCTTGCTTTGTTGCCCAGGCTGCAGTGGCACAATCATAGCTCACTGCAGCCTTGAACTCCTGGGCTCAACTAATGCTCCCTTCTCAGCCTCCCAAGTAGCTGGGACTACAGATGCATGCCACCATGCTCTGCTAATTTTTGGTATTTTGTAAAGATATGGCCTCGCTATGTTGCCCTGGCTGATCTTGAACTCTTGGGCTCATATGATCCTCCTGCCTCAGCCTCCCAAAGTGCTAGGATTACAGGCATGAGCCACTGCACCCATCCTTCTTATGTTTCTTCTTGAGAATGACTAATGAACACATTACCATTTTGATAAGGTATCATTAAGCCATTGTCATCTGCAAGAATGATGTCATCCCAAGCATCTTCTAAATTATAGAGGTGCTTCTTTTTTTACTTCTGTTTCTTCCTTTAGCTTGGTGGAGCTAAAGGAAGAAACAGAAATACCTTTAGCTCCACCTCCACTTCTCTGAAAATCTGTTTGTCTTTTGTTTATCTTTGAAAGTAACATGGATATTTTTGCTGGCTTCATGGTGGCCATCATCTTCGCAGCACCATCTTGATACACTCGGTGTTATGGGGCTTGTCAGCTCTTCCAGGCAGAGGCTGGGTAGGGTAGCAGGCACATCAAAGGGCTCTGCAGAAGTTGTGGAGGAAGAACAGATGCATTCTGAGGATGCAGTCACATGAGTCCCTGTGACAGCAAGAAGGTGAGACTGACTGCCTCTAGCCCTACCTGCTGAATCGACGACCCTGGGCCCCTTGTTCAAACCCTTTCTACCTCCTGCCATGTTCCCAAGTGGCTGCCTCGCCTTGGCTGATACCTTAGCTGCTTCATCCCCTCTCTGCTCACTTGGTCACCTCTGCCTCTTCTGTGGCCACTGTCACTCTCAACATCTCCTCCTTGGGCCTGGGGCATTTTACATCTCCACCTCTCTCTTGCTTCATGTGACTGATATTGCTCTGGGCATCTGAATCCAGATCCCGGGCAGCCCAGGGTGGTGGTCTCAAGCCCTGCTCTGGAGGCAGGCTGCCCTGGAGCTGAGCTGCCTGAGGTTGGGCCTGGGCTTCTGGCTGAGGAGTACTTCTCTGACCTATTTTTTTTTTTTTTTTCTAAGAGGCAGTGTCTTGCTCTGTTGCCCAGGCTGGTGTGCAGTAGTGCTATCCTAGCTCACTGCAGCCTTAAATTCCTGGACTCAAGTGATCCTCCCTCCTCAACCTCCAAAGGAGCTTGGACTTCAGGCATACACCACTATGCCTGGCTAATTATTACTATTATTACATGTTTTTTAGAGATGGGATCTTGCTATGTTGCCCAGGCTGGTTTCAAACTCCTAGCTTCAAACTATCCTCCCACCTTGGCCTCCTAAAATGTTGAGATTATAAGAATGAGCCATTGCACCCAGGTTGACCTAGTTCTGGGAGCCTAGGGGGATCGTGCAAAGCACTGAGCCCCTGTGTCTGTGGGACTTCCTGAAGGGAAGGCTCCAGGGTTTCTATCCTCTTGACCTATTCTTGGGAACCTTCCTTGTATGCCTCCTTTGTCATGGAGCTTTTGAAGGTCCCTTCTACCCTCTTCCATTTCTTGTTCATGTCTCTCCTGCTGGCCTGCGAATGCTCTAAGCACAGAGATCTGGGCAGGGACTGCTCTGTGCACCCTGTGACCAGCCTGTATCCAAACCCCAGCAAATGGAATGGAATCTTTCTTCCTGGGAGCACATCCGTCCACCCTGCCCTCTCCCCTGGCCCCACACAACATTCATTTTCCTCCCTGGATCCCTCAGTTCTCACTCCCCTCATTACTCATTCTACAGTTGTCTAAAATGACATTGCGGGAAAATACAGAAGAGAGACATCACGGGTACCCAAGGGTGAGTAGTGAGCATGGTGCAGTCAGGGGTGACTTTTCAGAGAAGGGGAGGTTGGGGTGAGTCAAGGTGGGCCGTGGGCTTTGCAGGAAGGATGAGGGAAGGACCCTGGGTGGGCAAAGGCCAGAGGGCTTGAACCTGCGTGGAGGGAGGGGCAGCCTGGTTGTGCATGCGGTGAGCATGTGTGTGAGTGCATATGAGTGTGCGTGTGTGTGCGTGGGTGACTGTGTGAGTGTGTGTGTGTGCAGATCAGTAATGAGAAGCCAGGTTGCTAGGCAGCCAGTCCCAGATCTTTGAGTGCCAGTTTTGAGCTGCCTTGAGTGGCAGCAGCAAGCCACAGGAGAAGCTAAGTGAGCAGCCACCTCCCTTGCATTTCATCCCCAAGCTGGCCGTGCCCTTCTGCACCCACAGCATGGCTACCTTGCTGTGCATAGCTGGGCGTCGAGAAAACTCACGGTTAACTCCTCTGTCCACTGCCTGACACCAGTGTGACCGACAGCGAGTTCTGACAACTCGACCTCTGAGTTGCTTCTTGGATCCATGGCCTCCTGCCCGCACCTGTCCTGGCCAGGCAGGATCTCCCTGCCTCCAGCCATTCCTGCCCTAATCACTCTCCACTCTGCTCTCTGCTGCTTGGTTGGCTGCCCTCAACACACTCCTCTGTTTACAACCTTTAAAGGAGGAATGAGAGTCCACAGTCTTGCATGTGGCGTTTACTACCTCACTGACCTTCTGACTCTTCAGTGCAAGGTAAGATCCAGCTCCAGCCCCAGTGAGTTACCTCCTCCCCCCGTAACATCTTCTCTGAATGCCTCCGTCCACATCTTTGCAACTTTTTCCCTCTTCTTTCTTTTCTGTTTGAAATGCTCTTTATCACCTTGTAAAATCCTATTATCAGCTCAGAAGTCACTTCCTCTCTGCAGTCTTTCCAACCCTGGCAGGTGGAATTAGTTTCTCCAGCTCGAAGCTTCCTCAACCCTCTGCTCATTCTGCTGGCTCTTGCCTTCACTCCTAGACTGTTGCATTCACACCTGCCCCACCTGCCTGATGCAGCCCCAATGCCTGACACAGGGACAACTCGTAATAGCTGCCTTGTCGGTGGTGGCAGGAAGGAGGGACACACCAGCCCAGGCAGGGTCCCATCTGATGCACCCATCCTCTCCTGGGTTTCCCAGGCACATTCACAGGGGCAGCTCTTGCTCTCGATCAGTCTTCTAGTTCTTGGTCTTATTCACATTCTGTTGCTAGATTTGATTTACTCCAATTATTCCCACAGTCCCGAAGGGCTGCTGGGGACTTGTAAATTCAGCTTTCTGAATTCTTGCTAACCACAAGCAGTTTCTCTAGGGGGTGTCTTCTTCCCTATCTAAAGTTTCTTTCTGAAGCTTATTGAATTTCAAGACCACATTATATTTCCAGCTGGTGTTTTTCAAAGATGGCACATCCTCTGCTGGTGCCCGGATGTAGGAAGCCACACGTCTGGACGGCCTGGGGAGAAAGGAGCGCTGGGAACGGTGACCTGCTGCAGTGTAGGATGGTGAGTGAGGCTTGCAACCAGAGAGAGAGGCTGGCACTCATTGCTGTGAGAACTTGGCAGGCAATTAATTGCTCTGTGCCTATTTCCTTATGTCTAAAATGGTGTAAACACAGTGTCTCACTTCTGTGGTCACTATAGGGTTGATTAAGCTAATATATGTAGTGTGCTCAGTGTCTAACACAGAGTAAGCACTCCAAGTTAGCTGTGTTATTGCCTTTTCTTTCTGTCTTCCTTTCTTTCCTTTCCTTTCCTCTCTTTACTTTCTTTCCCTTTCCTTCCTTCCTTCCTCCCTCCCTCCCTCCCTCCCTTCCTTCCTTTTCTTTCCTTCCTTCCTTTTCCTTCCTTCCTTCATTTTCCTCCCTTCCTTCCTTTCTTCCTTCCTCCCTCCCTCCCTCTTTCTCCCTTTCTCCCTTTGTCCCTTTGTCTCTTTCTCTCTTTCTCTCTTTCTTTCTTTCTTTTCTTTCCTTTCTTTCCTTTCTTTCTTTTTAAAATAGAGGTAGGGTATCATTATGTTGCCCAGGCTGATCTCAAGCAATCCTCTTGCTTCGGCCTCCCAAAGTGCTGGGATTACAGGCATGAGCCACCATGCCTGGCTCATTATTGCCTTTCCTTGTGTCATCGATTTGTAGCATTTCAGAGCTAGGCAGGGCTAGAGAGAAGAGTTCACATCCTTAAGTTCATCATTGAGGAAACTGACATTCTCAGAGGGGAAGGTTTTTACAAAATCACAAAGCAGGTGTGTGGGAGGACTGGAAAAGTCTGGAGCAGGCTGCGGTCCAGGCCAGGGCTCCTTCTTTCTACATGGTGCTGGTGTTTAGGACATTGGGTGCTCAGAGATGAATGCAGATGGTGGCTGCATTGCCATTGGGAGGTAGGTGGGTGGCAGCTGCAAGGCGTCGTGACCTCGCTAGCACTGGAATTGCACAGCTGCTGGTCTCTGTCCACATAAGACAACCTCTGTTCGGAGCAATTAAAGGCGAATCTGGACCCCAGAGATTCTCTCAGCTCTGCTGTGCATCTTTGTTTTTTGTTTTTTTTGTTTTTTTTTTTTTGTTTTTTTTTGAGATGGAGCCTGGCTGTGTCATGCAGGCTGGAGTGCAATTGTGCGATCTCGGTTCACTGCAGCCTCTGCCTCCTGGGTTCAAGCGATTCTCCTGCCTCAGCCTCCTGACTGGGAATACAGGCGCCCGCCACTATGCCTGGCTAATTTTTTTATTTTTAGTAGAGATGGGGTTTCACCATGCTGGCCAGGCTGGTCTTGAACTCCTGACTTTGTGATCCACCTGCCTTGGCCTCCCAAAGTGCTGGGATTACAGGCATAAGCCACCAAGCCCAGCGCATCTTTGTTCTTTTTGGGTGAACATCATCAAACTATTAAATGAGTTCAGGAAAATTTAAGCTAAAAAGCTCCACTGGGAAGGCTGGAAAATGGGAGTTCAGACAAGTTAAGTTTCTTGCTCAAAGTCATGCAGCTACTGAACCCAGGAATTCTGCCCCTCAGACCCACTGTCCCTTCTTGCCTCTCAGCTTCCCTGGTCATCTGAGTTTGGCACTTGTCACCACATGGGCTGAACTAACCCTTGAATGCTTTGGCCTCTGGGGAGAGGTCAGCCCTGCATCCTTCTTGGCAAAGGACAATCCTATTTGCCCTATGTGTGGTGTCTGGTTTGAATTGTTTTCAAGGGACAGGACAGACAGAGCTAGAAATGATGCCATGGTCCCGGCAAGTGGGCTGTGGTTTCGCAGGCTGCAACCTCAGTGACAAATCAGAGTTTTAGAGAGAGGTGGCATCTAGAAGTTATCTGTTGTGGGCCAACTCAGTGGTGTGGAAACAGGAGGAGGAATGGGTAGGTGTGGACTCCACCATCATCTGGAGAGACACAGCAACAGAGTGATTTCCACAACTGACTGGATGGTGAGGTCCACGCTGTGATACTCTCCATCCTCTGCTCGGGTGAGCTTCAGAGCTGGATGGCCTTCTGGGTTATGGCCATGGTAAGTCCTGTGTACATGGTGGTCTATGCCTTCAAATGCAAGCTATTTGCAATCCTTATCAGGCTGGGTAGTTCTTCATGGCTTTCAGGTTTGTATGCATGACCTCATCATAGATGTTCCTGGGTGAGGATAGAGAGCATTCACTTGCTGTGCCATTGAACAGTTTCTCACTCTGTAGCCCAGGCTGGAGTGCAGTGGCATGATCTCGGCTCACTGCAACCTCCGCCTCCCAGGTTCAAGCAATTCTTGTGCCTCAGCCTCCTGAGTAAATGGGATTACAGGTGCTCACCACTACACCTGGCTAATTTTTTTTTTGTATTTTTAGTAGAGAAAGGGTTTCACCATATCGGCCAGGCAGGTCTTGAACTCCTGACCTCAAGTGATCTGTCCGTCTCGGCCTTCCAAAGTGCTGGGATTACAGGTGTGAGCCAAGGTGTGAGCCACCGTGCCCAGCCTGTTCCCATTTTATTTCTAAATTATTACTATTATTATTTTTAGAGATAAGGTCTCACTCTGTCACCTGCAGCCTCTAACTCCTGGGCTCAAGTGATCCTCCTGCCTCAGTCTCCTGAGTACAAGCAGGTACCATTGTACCTGGCTAATTTTTAACTTTTTTGCTGAGATGAAGTCTCACTAAGTTGCCCGGGCTAGTCTCAAACTCCTGGCCTCAAGCAATCCTCCTGCCTCGTCCTCCCAAAGCTTTGGGATTACTGGTGTGAGCTATACCATGCCTGACTTGTTCCCATTTTATGAGGAAATTAAGAATGGAGAAATGATGCAGCCGCTTCACTGACCCACAGAAGACAAGAATCCAGAAGTCCTGGTTCTTCATTCAGAAGCTTTTCAATCGCACAACTTTTTCTTCCAGTGGGAAGTCCTCCAACCTTGCCTTCCTTAAATACATCTCAACAGTGAGAATGTTCTTTGGGGTGCAGTCTTAAGTCTTTACAATGACCCAAAAGGTTTGCCCTGCTCCTGGTCAACCCACAGCTCACTCACTCTCCATCCACATTGAACTCGTGGCATAGCAGGTCCCCAACCTTTCTGGCACCTGAGACTGGTTTCATGGAAGACAATTTTTCCAAGGATGGGGTTGGGGAATGGTTTTGGGATGATTCAAGTTCATTCCATTTATTGTGCACTTTATTTCTATTATTATTACATTGTAATATATAAAATAATTCTACAACTCACCATAATGTAGAATCAGTGGAAGCTCTGACCTTGTTTTCCTGCAACTAGACAGTCCCATCTGGGGGTGATGGGAGACAGTGACAGATCAGCAGGCATTAGATTCTCTTAAGGGGCACACAGCCTAGATCCCTCACATGCACAGTTCACAATAGGGTTTGAGCTCCTATGAGAATCTAATGCTGCCACTGATCTGACAGGAGGTGGAGCTCAGGCGGTAACACAAGTGATAAGGAGCAGCTGCAAATACAGATGAAGCTTCACTAACTTGCCTGCCACTCACCTCCTGCCGTGCAGCCCAGTTCCTAACAGGCCAGAAACAGGTCCATGGCTTGGGGGTTGGTGACCCCTGTCATAGCAGGTTCTCATTTTTCCCAGACTTTTTTTTGCCTTCAGCCCTTTGCACATCCTGTTTCCTCTGTGAGGATTCCTTATCTCTTCTGTCTGGCTAACACTGAGCCTTCCTCCAGGCATCAGCCGGGTTCAGTGTCTCCTCCTGGAAGCTGTTGTCTCTGAATTCCTGAGGCTGTTCAGGTAGCTGCCCCTCCTGCAGAGGTTCTGTTGGAGTAAGACCCAATGTCCCTGGATCTGGCCTCACAACAAGGTGATGTTCAAGGAGAGCCTGACATAAGAACAACAGGGGAGAAATCAGCAGGCTACGCCAGTCCCTTGAGCTGAATCAGGCATATTATGGGATAGATGGCAGGAAGGAGGGGCCATATCCCTCCTTCCTGGGACCTTGGGAATGCTGGGGAGCAGGTGAGGTGGAGGGAGGTTGTTCCATGAAGAACTGGAGCATCTACAGCATAATTCTCCAGCTTCCTCATTCCAGCAAGCTCACGGTCACGGCTGGACATGTTCAGACACCTTTAAGTAATGTCTTTAAAGGCTCTGTGCACTTTAAAGTGGTGTTTTATTTAATTTCAACAAAGTTGTAGTTGCAATTAGATCTGTCCAGATAATTAACTCCAATTTACTAGTTTGCAACTAGTAATTAATTACTAAAGTCTCCTGAGTGAGCCTTGGCAAGGAAAGTCGCTCCTCTGAGAACAGAGGCTTTATTTGAAAGGCTCAGAAACATGGCCACCTTTGGGAACTTGTTGTCCCTGAAATTCATTATGGCTTGGCCCTGACACAAGGTTATTGGTGACACTGGGCAAGTATCTTAACCTCCCTCTTGGGAGAAGGCAGCGGTTCTTCACTGAGCTCACAAGAACCAATCATTAGAAGAAACAAGATTCCTGAGTTGGGATGCAACTCCTTCTCTTTCCCCAAAGCTGCTTAGTTGCTCCTGGGCAAGGTTGAAGAGTGTTTACCTGCTGTACCACTGAGCATCTCCTGGGTCTGGAGCTTGTGCCTTGGTCACCATTTTCTTTTCTTTTTTATATACTTTAACTTCGGGGATACATGTGCAGAACATGCAGGTTTGTTACACAGGTATACATGAGCCATGGTGGTTTGCTGCATCCATCAACCTGTCATCTACATTAGGTATTTCTCCTAATGTTATCCCTCCCCTAGCCCCCTACCCCCCAATAGGCCCCAGTGTGTGATATTCCCCTCCCTGTGCCCATATGTTCTCATTGTTCAGCTCCCACTTATGAGTGAGAACATACAGTGTTTGGTTTTCTGTTTCTCTGTTAGTTTGCTGAGAATGATGGTTTCCAGCTTCAACCACATCCCTGCAAAGGACATGAACTCATCCTTTTTTATGGCTGCATAGTATTCCACAGTATATATGTGCCACATTTTCTTTATCCAGTCTATCATTGATGGGCATTTGGGTTGGTTCCAAGTCTTTGCTATTGTAAACAACGCTGCAATAAACATACATGTACATGTGTCTTTATGGTAGAATGATTTATAATCCTTTGGGTATATGCCCAATAATGGGATGGCTGGGTCAAATGATATTTCTGGTCCTAGATTCCTGAGGAATCACCACACTGTCTTCCACAATGGTTGAACTAATTTACACTCCCACCAACAGTGTAAAAGCGTTCCTATTTCTCCACATCCTCTCCAGCATCTGTTGTTTACTGACTTCTTCTTTTTTTTTTTTTAATGAGACGGAGTCTTGCTCTGTCACCCAGGCTGGAGTACAGTGGCATGGTCTCTGCTCACTGCAATCTCTGCTTCCCGGTTCATGCCATTCTCCTGCCTCAGCCTCCCGAGTAGCTGGGACTATAGGCGCCCGCAACTATGCCCAGCTAATTTTTTGTATTTTTAGTAGAGACGGGGTTTCACTCTGTTAGCCAGGATGGTCTTGATCTCCTGACCTCGTGATCTGCCCGCCTCAGACTCCCAAAGTGCTGGGATTACAGGCGTGAAGGCGTGAGCCACCACGCCCGGCCTGTTTACTGACTTCTTAATGATCGCCATTCTAACTGGTGTGAGATGATATCTCATTGTGGTTTTGATTTGCATTTCTCTAATGTCGGTCACCATTTTCTTATGGACCCTTTGAGGAATCCAGGAAGAGAAATGCATCTACACGAGCACCAAACAACACATACAGAAGTGTTCATAGCAACATTATTGATGGTAGCCCCAAACTGTAAACAAACCAACAATTCATCATCGGGAGAATGGATGAGTTATGGTACAGTACAGAGAATGCAATGCTATCTTAGCAATTATTGCTATCCACCATGACTCAGGATGAATATCACAGACACGTGCTAAGCAAAAAGAGATCAGACAAAAAAAGTAAAACATATGGAATGACTGTGTTTATACAAAGTTGGACAGCAGGTAGTTTTAGGGTAATAGAAGTCAGAGTCATGGCCGGGTGTGGTGGCTTACACCTGTAATCCCAGCACTTTGGGAGGCCAAGGCAGGTGGATCATGAGGTCAGGAGTTTGAGACCAGCCTGGCCAACGTGGTGAAACCCCGTCTCTATTAAAAATACAAAAATTAGCCAGGCTTGGTGGTGGGTGCCTGTAATCCCAGCTACTCAGGAGGCTGAGGCATGAGAATCGCTTGAACCCAGGAGGTGGAGGTTGCAGTGAGCCGAGATCACCCCACTGCACTCCAGCCTGAGTCATGGTTACCTTAGGTTTGGGGATTAAGCATGGAGAAAATGCAGGAGGGAAGCTTTTGGAGCGATGGTAGTGTTCTGTATCTTGTTTTGGGTGATGCCCTCCTGGGTATTTTTACTATCTAAAACTCCTGATTGAGCAGCACATTGAAGATTTGTGTAATTTATTGCATTATACTATTCTTCAGTAGAGAAATTTACTAGAAAATCCAAAATGGGCCTGGTGTGGTGGCTCACGCCTGTAATCCCAGCACTTTGGGAGGCCAAGGCAGGCAGACTACTTGAGCTCAGGAGTTTGAGACCAGCCTGGACAACATGATGAGACTCTGTCTCGACAAAAAAAAAAAAAAAAAAAAAAATACAAAAAAATAGCTGGGCTTGATGGTACACATCTGTCATCCCAGCTACAGGAGGCTGAGGTGGGAGGATTGCTTGAGCCTAGGGGGCTGAGGTTGCAGTGAGCTGAGATCACACCACTGCATGCCAGCTTGGGTAACAGAGTGAGACCACGTATCAAATATATATGGACTCAGGCCTCACCTTAGACTAACTGAATGATAATGTGGGTGCTACACTGAGGCTTGAGTGAAGGTACCTGTACCTGTCTGGCTTCCCTGGTGATTCTTTTTTTTTTTTTTTTTTTTTTGAGACAAAGTCTCACTCTTTTCGCCCAGGCTGGAGTGCAATGGCTCCATCTCAGCTCACTGCAACCTCTGCCTCCCAGGTTCAAGCGATTCTCCTGCCTCAGCCTACTGAATAGCTGGGACTACAGGCGCCTGCCACCATGCCCAGCTAATTTTTATATTTTTAGTAAAGATGGGGTTTCAACATGTTGGCCAGGCTGGTCTCAAACTCCTGACCTTGGGTGATCTGCCTGCTTCGCCCTTCCAAAGTGCTGGGATTACAGGCAAGATACTGAGAATGAGTAAGATCTGTTCAGTCTAGACACTTCTCAAAAGAAGACATTCATGTGGCCAAGAAACAGATGAAAAAAAGCTCAACATCACTGATCATTAGAGAAATGCAAATCAAAACCACAATGAGATACCATCTCAAGCCAGTCAAAATGGTGATTATATAAAAGTCCAGAAACAACAGATGCTGGTGAGGTTGCAAAGAAAAAGGAACGCTTTTACACTGTCGGTGGAAGTGTTAATTCATTTAACCATTGTGGAAGACAGCGTGGTGATTCCTCAAAGATCTAGAGCCAGAATTATCATTTGACTCAGCAATCCCATTACTGGGTTTATACCCAAAGGAATATAAATCATTCTGTTACAAAGACACATGCACATGTATGTTCATTGCAGCAGTGTTCACAATAGCAAAGACACAGAATCAACTCAAATGAACGTCAATGATAATAGACTGGATAAAGAAAATGTGGTACATATACACCATGGAATACTATGCAGCCATAAAAAGGAACAAGATTATGCCCTTTACAGGGACATGGATGGAGCTGGAAGCCGTTATCCTTAGCAAACTAATGCAGGAACAGAAAACCAAACACCACATGTTCTCACTTATAAGTGGGACCTGAACAATGAGAACACATGGATACATTGGGGGGAACAACACACACTAGGATCTCTTGGGGGTGGGGAGAGAGAGCATCAGGAAGAGTAGCTAATAGGTGCTGGGCTTAATACCAAGGTGGTGGGTTGATCTGTGTAGCAAACCACCATGGCACACGTTTGCCTATGTAACAAACCTACGCATGCTGCCTACGTGCCCCAGAAGTTGAAACAAAAGTTGAAGGAAAAAAAAACAAGATCCATTCAGTCATTGTCTAAATGGTGAACCAGGCAGACAGGCACCAGTGATAGCACTGGTATATACTCAGTAATGGGATTGCTGAGTCAAATGATATTTCTGACTTTAGATCTTTGAGGAATCACCACTATCATGGATTTGGATGCTCTGATCTAACCTTTGGGAAATCCAGGCTTTGATCTGGTGGTCTCAGTATCTTGCCTAAGGTCATTCAGGAGTGCTGGGGTTTGGATCTAGGCTCCAGACTTTTCTGAACCAAAGAATGGTAGATCCAAAGCTTTATACAAGGGGAAAAATTAAAAATATTTGAATAGATCATTGATAGCAGGAAAATAATAGACAAGAAAGGGAGTAAACCTGCCTTTCTGACTCATACTCGATGCAAGATCTTCATTTGTGGAGGCGGAAAAAGTGGATTTTGAATGTATGTTATAATCATTATTGCATTTTTTGTTTCTCACCTCAAGTAGGGCCTCAGATCGAGCCTGTCTCCTAACAAGGATACACTGGGGGTTGCGTTTTATCTTGCTCTGACACTCTCTACCACTGTTCTTGATCTACCGCCCTGTAGGAGAACTCCAGACTAGGGACTCTTCCTCAGAACGATGTTATGAGCTGAGATTAGTTAGGCAAGTGGCAGAATGAATACATAAGCAGTGATTTTTGCATAATGAGGCGTGTGAAATCCCACTGGAGGTTGTTAAAACAGCAGACAGACTGGGGTAAACAAGGAAGAAGGTAGGCTTTGAAAACAGATGGCTTTGAAAACCTGGCAAAGCCCTGTTTCAGACTTTTAAAAATTGGTTTCGTGAGCGCAAGCTATTTTTTTTTAAATCTACATGCATATTTTAAAGTTCTGTTTTAATGATAAAGTTCCGTGGGTAATTGAACATCAGTTTACATCCTGCTGTAAACATGCTTATAGCCAGATGTGATGGACAGCTTGCACAGAGACCCGAACTGTTCTGGTACATTTGGATTCAGAGACATTATTTGTATTTCAGTTTGGAGTAGCTTTTCTGACTTCCATGCTGCGTAGGTATATGGCAGTGGCCTGCCCCTCTTTGCCCGCAAGAGGCCACCTCCACGCCAGTATAAGAGCTGCTCTGAAGGCCCTCTTCCTTATCTCTCCTTATTTTCTCCAGGAGATGGTCTGGCCCTTAACTTCTTTTCCTTGCTTCATTTCCATCACACCTGACCTTATTCCTCTTATCTCTCACAATGTGTCTAAACCATTTCTGAACCTTTGCATTATTTCTGTAGTCAACTGCCTTCATGAAGGCTGAACCCTTTCCTGGAGTGCTTTTCTGTTGATAGATCCCAAATCAGTCACCCATCAGCTTCCCATTTCCAGGTAATTTGACAGAGGATGGACCTCTCCCAGTCCGTGTTGATACAATTATTTTACTTCTGAATTCAAGGCAGCCTCACTGACTTTTGTGTATTTATTTCTGTATGATGTGGACATTATTATGTTTTGGCCACATTCAAGGGAACTCCACTTAACCAATTCACTAGGTTAAAAATGCTTTCTTGGCTGGGCGCAGTGGCTCACACCTGTAATCCCAGCATGTTGGGAGGCCGAAGCAGGTGGATCGTAAGGTCAGGAGTTTGAGACCAACCTGACCAACACGGTGAAACCCCATCTCTACTAAAAAATAAAAATAAAAAAAAACAATAAAAAATAAAATAAAATAAATTAGTCAGGCATGGCGGCATGCGCCTGTAATCCCAGCTACTCAGGAGGCTGAGGAAGGAGAATCGCTTGAACCTGGGAGGCAGAGGTTGTAGTGAGCTGAGACTGCACTCCAGCCTGAAAGACAGAGCAAGACTCCGTCTCAGAAAACAAAAAACAAAAAACAGAGCTTTCTTAGGGTGGGAATGGTGGCTCCTGCCTGTAGTCCTAGTGCTTTGGGAGGCTGAGGTGGGAGAATTGCTTGAGCCCAGGAGGTTCCAGGTTGTAGTGAGCCATGATCACACCACAGCACTCCAGCCTGGGAGACAGAGTGAGACCCTGTCTCAAATAAATAAATTAAAAAAAATAAAATGCTTTCTTCTTAATAATCCCAGCCCTCCACAGTCCACGTCCTCTTTCTCTGATCACACTGCAAGCACATTTGGAGTGCTTTGAGACCATCTTGGCTGTCTTCAGCACTCCATACTAAGTAGTACATCCAGTGGATAATGAGAATCAAGACTTATTCCTCTCTGAATGGGTGGCAGGGGGCTTGGATGAATGCATTAATCTGGAGTGGGGTTGGGGCAACTAGGAGACTTGGCCACTGTCAGATAAATGGGACCTGAATGAGGAGGATGGAGTCTTGATGTTCCACAGCAAGAAGCCATCACTCAACACCTGCTCTCTGAGCGCTGTTGTAGGCGTCTGCCCTGAGATGTTTGGTTTCCTGGGTTTGTGGCCTGGTATCCCATTCCATGTGCCTTTAGCTTTTAAAATCTGAAGGCAGGGCTAGATTCACATTGATCTGCGATGAGCACTTGGGAAGTGTTCTCAGCCGCACCTACTCCCCTGGATCCAAGTCCTCACTGGCACCCTGGGATAATGGCATCTTTCCAGGTCCAAAATTCATGCTCCAGTTTCCCATCCAGGTCAATATTAGATGTTCTTGCTATAGTCATTTTTTAATGGAACCCTAGAATCTCAACCCCAAAGTCCAGCACAGAAACCCTGGAGACCCTCTGACTGGGGATCATCTCCAACAGAACCGTACATCTCAATCACAAAACCCTAGGCCTGCTTTCCCATTCAATAGAGATATTACAAGTTTCAGTGTCTGGCATCATAATTTATCCTTGGAAGGACAGTCAGATCAGCTTGCTTTCAATAAATAGATTTTAGAACAAAACGCTTCTGTGTAATTATGTTTACTAATAGTATTAACTCATTGCCCATGGGCAAAACACAAAAATCTTTCCATTGCAACAAAAGAAAACCTGGTGAGCTGAACTTCTGGGCAGACATAATGCATGGGGTGGATAAAACCCTGGGAAAATGGGAGCCCTCCAAAGGGTGATTTAGGGAAAGATCTGTACGATACTCTCCATCTTGGATGTCCCAGAATTCTATCATTACACTTTTCTCATATATATTTGCATGTCTAATGTACTTGTACTGGCATCCATTATGACTGGTCCAGTGTGTGTTCTGTTTGGTGGATGATATTCTGAATATTCTGCCAGGTTCTAGCCTTTGTAGTAAATTTTACTTTAGATATTGCCCTGGCATAAATCACTCAAAACATTTCATCTTCCAAAAATTGTGCACTGACCTTAAGATTCCATTCAAGTGTTTTGTGAAGACCTACATTATATTGCAGCTCATATTCCTGTTTTCTGGCTTGTGTTGGGTCTATTTGGATAGAATCCCTATAGACCCCCAGTTCATGGTCTAGTTCAAGTTCCCCAGACTGTTTGAAGCTGCTTCTAACCCCAGTAACCCCGTGAGCATCCTCTGCCTGTCTTCCGCAGTGTTTGCAATGCTTCTCAGAATGTTCTTCTCTCATTGTAAGCTTACTGAGGACAGGGTTCCATTCCTCCATATCCCACTAAGCTAGACTCCATCCTTGGTGACCCATAATTACTGGAGGATTGACTTATTTCAGAGAAACAGAGCAAAAACTTTGAGGGAAAGTTTTGCTGGGGATGTTTGTTTTCATGTTATTTTTATGATTTTTAACTTTTATTTATTTATTTTAGAGGCAGGGCCTCACCCTGTCGCCAGGCTGGTGTGCAGTGGTGCAATCGTAGCTCACTGCAGTCTCAAACTCTGGGGCTCAAGTGATCCTTCTACCTCAGCCTCCTGGGTAGCTGGGACTACAGGTGCACACCACCATGCCTGGCTAATTAAAAACAATTTTAAAAAAATGGAGATGGGATCTCGCTACGTTGCCCAGGCTAGTGTAGGCATGTTTATTTTCAGAGTTGCGTTGGTAGTCTAGACAACATGGTCTCTCCATGGCCTGTCTTATTTGTTTTTATTATTTTACTTAGAAGAGAAATCCTCCTACTTTTATTTGTAGAGTCCTGGTCCTGAGCTGTTCTTTCCACTCTCTCTTCTATTGTCCTCCTGACTTAGGATTTTTTTTTTTTTTTTTTTTTTGAGATGGAGTCTCACTCTGTCACCCAGGCTGGAGTGCAGTGGTGTGATCTCGGCTCACTGCAACCTCCACCTCCTGGGTTCAAGCGATTCTCCTGCCTCATTTTCCTGAGTAGCTGGGATTACAGGAATGCACCACCATGCCCAGCTAATTTTTATATTTTTAGTAGAGACGGGGTTTCACCGTGTTGGTCACGCTGGTCTCGAACTCCTGGGCTCAGATGATCCACTCACCTCAGCCTACCAAAGTGCTGGTATTACAGGCATGAGCCACCACACCTGGCCCACACTTAGTGGGATTTTTCAAGTTATGAGAAAACAAATCACTTCATTTTTCTTGGTTATTGGCCCCCAGTGGATAACATTCTTCGGTGCCTATATGCACTTTCACATCTGAAAGCTACCATTTTCTCGGTTGCACAAACTCTGTTGTTAGGGAATGCATGGAAGGAACTTGGGTATTCTCAATGATTATATCTTGGTTAAAGTATACCAGGGATCAGCTGTAACACCCAAACTGGGGGTTCCCAATGCAGAGGCATTCCTCCTGGAGGGGACTTATACCATGCAGTCCTTTATACGCAGGAGTGGGGGAAGGGCCGGTGCTTCCTGGTCTTGGTGTCCAGAAGTCTCCAATTTGATGGAACCAACTGCAACCACCTGTTCAATGGTTTGCCCTTTGGAAGCACTTTCACTCATATGATGTCACTCCTTCTTCTCAGTTGCCCCATGAGGAAGCCACCTCAATTGGCAGAGGGGAGGGCTGAAACCCCGAGGGCCTAAGCAGCTTGTCCAGACTGTGCAGCTAGTACCAAGATTAAACTCTATCGGCTTCCTCCTCTTGTCTCCCCAGAGAAAGTACCGCTGCATACTCCATACAACAGATGGCTCGTAAAACCCAGGAACTCTGAGTAGGAAGTTTAGGTGTTCTATAGAGCAATCATCCAGGAAACAGGGAGGTTTCAGGTCCATGCCTCGGTTAAGCTGGCTGCTGTCATGCTGGAAGGCCTCATGGTTTCTGGAGTCCCACTTCTCACCTTTGCACTCTCCAGCAGCTCTAAGCAGCTGAAATTCTTAACACGCAGGGCTTGCCACTTTTCCATCTCTGACATGAATGGAAGCCATCACAGGGACATGCAAAGGTGGACAGAAGAGAGACAGATCTGTCCTTGGAGGTGAGAAATTGAACAGGGCAGCAGCAGGACTAATTTTTGTGTTTATTGGGAACCAGACCATTCCCAGAGTGCACAACAGTTGGTAGCTAGTCTCTTGTCCCGATCTGGGGATATTAGGGATGAGTATGGTGTCGGCTACACAGTCTCTAAGTCCTGATTATTTTCTTTCTTTCTTTCTTTCTTTCTTTCTTTCTTTCTTTCTTTCTTTCTTTCTTTCTTTCTTTCTTTCTCTCTTTCTTTCTTTCTTTCTTCTTTTCTTTTCTTTCTCTCTCTTTCTTTTCTTTTTCTTTCTCTTTTTTCTCTCTTTTTCTTTCTCTCTCTCTTTCTTTCTCTCTCTTTCTTTCTTTCTCTCTCTCTTTCTTTCTCCTACCTTCCTTCCTTCTTTCTTTCTTCCTCCTTCCTTCCCTCCCTCCCTGACTCTCTCCCTTCCTTCCTTCCTTCCTTCCTTCCTTCCTTCCTTCCTTCCTTCCTTCCTTCCTTCCTTCCTTCTTCAGAGTCTCACTCTTGCCCAGGCTGGAGTGCAGTGGTGCAATCCTGGTTCACTACAACCTCCATCTCCTGGGCTCAAGCGATTTTTGTGCCTCAGCCTCCTGAGTAGCTGGGATTACAGGTGCCCGCCACCATGCCTGGCTAATTTTTGTATTTTTAGTAGAGACGGAGTTTCACCATGTTGCCCAGGCTGGTCTCAATCTCCTGACCTCAGGGGACCTGCCCACCTGGGCCTTCCAAAGTTCTGGGATTACAGGAGTGAGCCACCATGCCCGGCCAGGCCTGATGATCTTCATTGTAATAATTCTACAGTCATGTCTTCAGGACTTTAATTCAAAATTGGTCTCTTTTGCCCAGACTGCTGTCACAGATTTCTCCTGGGCTCTCTGCTTCCTGGTTCCTTCCTCTGACTCATCTGCCCCTTGTTGCCCCGGTGAAAGTGAGACCTTCCTGATCTCCTCTGCAATTCTCTGCAGTCCATACTTTTAGATCCCATCTTCAGTCTGGCATGCAGTGATCTCCACAGCCCAACCCCTGATCATCTGTAACAATCTCACTTGCTGAAACCCTTTTCCTCATGCCCTGTGTTCCAATCGTGTTGAACTACATTCCATTTCCCCAAGTGCTTGCAATTTCATGCCTCTCCACTCTGCCATGGTGGGTAAGTTCTGCCTGTGACTCTGTTACCTGCTTCTTTGCTCAATAACAGATGGAGTCTCGCTTTGTTGCCCAGGCTGGAGTGCAATGGTGTGATCTCGGATCACTGCAACCTCCACCTCCCAGATTCAAGCGATTCTCCTGCCTCAGCCTCCTGAGTAGCTGGGATTATAGGTGCGCGCCACCATGCCTGGCTAATTTTTGTATTTTTAGTAGAAACAGGGTTTCACCATGTTGGTCAGGCTGGTCTCGAACTCCTGACCGCAAGTGGTCTGCCCACCTTGGGCTCCCAAAGTGCTGGGATTATAGGTGTGAGATACCGCGCCTGGCTGCATTCCTCTTTCAAGTTTCAGCTCAGGCGCTATTCTTCCAGGAGACATTTCTCAACTTCCCGTTGGGGTTGGCCCCCTCTCCCCTGTCCTGCAGCCCCTGTACGTCCTTTGATCCAGTTCTCACCGTACCATGGAAGTTTACCCATTGGATAGTTCCTCCCTCTAGATTATATGATCCTGAAGTTTTGGGCTCCTAACAGGGTTATGAGACCTAGTTCAGTGACTATTTCTTGACCTAAACAGCTCAAAGATCCATTAAGCCAGCTTGAGGCAGAGGGGCTGAGAGGCGCCTTGTGAGCAGAGAACAGAACTCAGGCCAGCAGAACAACTGCGCCCAGAGACTTCTGGAAAGAGTCTATGAATCCTTTTGCTACGGTCCTGAGAATCCTGGAGGCCTCCCCGCACCTGGCCGCAAAGATCGTCATTTGGGGGCATGTGTGAGCCCTGCATGTTCTTAGGGTTTTTTTTTTTCTATCTCTGGGGTTAATGGATCCATTTCCTGTAAATGGAGCCGGGTGTCCAATACACATCAGGGAGAGAAAGAGCCCAGGGGGAGAGAGGGGAAGGATGTGCGGTTTGAGTTGGTTAAACAGCCGACAGCTGCACGGACTTAATTGGGTTTTATTCTATTTGATCTTGGATAAAGAGGATTTTTGAGAGTCCATTTTCTCCTTCTTAAGCGTTCTTGCTAAAAAAATTAAAAAATAAGATAAAAATCCTGGGGTTGGCTGGGTTTCCAGATCCTTGCTAGCCCTGCTGGCTGCACAGGGGGGCAGTAGCACACCACCGTCCTGCTTCGGAGCACCCACGGGAGCTGGTGGATAAATCCGGAGTCTTCGCTGGGAATTTTAACTCTCGTTAGCTATTTTCCATTTCATAGCTATCGGTGAGAAACATCACTTAAGACAAAGTTGGAAATAAATTAAGCAGGGAACCACATCAAGAGGTTTATATTTGCTTTCTTGCCATCATCTGTGAATTTTTATCCTTTGAATATTTCCAGACTGGATCACAGACCCTCAGTTTGCATCTGATGGTGCCCTACGGTGGTTCCCATCAACCTGAGGATGTTCCCAGGGATTCCAGGTCAAGATGGGAAATCTCTGCGTGCCAGCTAATGGTTGGTGAACGCCTAGGCTGTTCCAGGCACTGTTCCTTGGGTGGTCATATGGGCGACTCAGTTTTAACATTCTGGAAGTTTCACACATTATCCTTAGATAACAGAAGGAGGGTAAGGCTCACACAGATCAAGCGAATTGCCCAAGGTCACACAGCTCAAGGGCATAAAGGAGTTTTCATGTCTCTTCTGGAAAGGCAGAAAGGGTGCTGACTGTCTAGTTCACTAATGTATTCTTTTTGGTCTTTTTCTGAGATGGAGTCTTCCTCTGCTGCCAAGGCTGGAGTGCAATGGCATGATCTTGGCTCACTGCAACCTCCACCTCCTAAGTAGCTGGGATTATAGACACCCACCACCACGCCTGGCTAATTTTTGTATTTTTAGTAGAGATGGGATTTCGCCATGTTGGCCAGGCTGGTCCCAAATTCCTGACCTCAAGTGATCTGCCTGCCTCAGCCTCCCAAAGCGCTGGGATTACAGGAGTGAGCCACCGTGCCCAGCCACTAATGTATTCTTAACACCCAGGGCAGTGCTACCTCGTTGACACCTAACAAATATGTGTTGAGAAAGTAGATGGCTGAAGAACGTGTTGACTCCCAGCATGGTTTTCTTTGCATTGTACTGTGCTTTAAGGAGGCTTTAAGGAGGCGGCTGGCAATTCTTCCAGCATTCCAGCGGATGCTCTTTTGCTATAACAGCCCTTGGATTCCAAGAGAAAGCGCCTCCCTCTCAGGATCCTGATCCTGCACATTCACACTCCAGAATCAGAAGGCTGGGGAGAGCGATCAGCACATCTTAAAGTGTGATTCCTTGTTGAACAAATTCACCCTGAGGCAAAAGAAAGAAATCCCAGCAGGGTGCACGGAGAATGTCAGATTTCATCCTAAGTCAATGACGTGGAACTGGGAGGTAAGGAGATGTTGGTTGTGCTTTGGTTCTAGTCATTCCAAACCAAGGAAATATTCAGGAATGGGCAAAAAGAGGAGGTAACCCAAGGGGAGACTCCTGTGTGAGACAGAGACTCAGATATGGGAGAGAGGATCACTGAAGGGCAAATGGCCTACTTGGGAATGGGGCCTTCCAATGGCCACCAGTTTATACGTATGGTTCCATCTTGCCTGCCTCTCTGCTCTGCACTGGGATAAGAAACCTTGGTGAAGGAGAATGGGGCATGGGGTTGTTGAGTGGTCTAGAGAGTGACAAGGGTCTGGAGAGCTGGGAGGCTTGTTGGGTTCCACGCTAGAGTGCAAGAGGAGCTCTAATAGCCCAGAAGGGTCTGAGGACAGCTTAGAATAGGAAGAATGTGCACCGAAGCCAGGAACTAAACGATTTCTGTGGACCAGAAAGGGCTGTAAATTCCACATGGTTGTTGTTCCCACCTCCTGAGAGCCGCCCTGCAGAAAAAGGCACTGTAACAGAACATGAGTCAGTGTGCTTTTCTTGGGGGAGCTGGGCAAACTGTGTCCCCCTCCATAAACAGGCCTGGGAAGGATGGAGCCCCATGGAGGAGACAGTGATGGAAGAAGATAGGTGGCTAGAACCAGAATCAATAAGAAAGGGGCCAGGTGCTGTGGCTCATGCCTGTAATCCCAGCACTTTGGGAGAGTGAGGCAGGTGGATCACGAGGTCAGGAGATTGAGACCACCCTGGCCAACATGGTGAAACCCCGTCTCTACTAAAAATACAAACATTAGCTGGGCGTGGTGGTGCACGCTTGTAATCCCAGCTACATGGGAGGCTGAGGCAGGATAATCACTTGAACCCAGGAGGCAGAGGTTGCAGTGAGCTAAGATCGCATCACTGCACTCTAGCCTGGTGACAGAAAAAGACACTATCAAAAAAAAAAAAAAAAGAAAGAAAGAAAAAGGAAGGAAGGAAGGAAGGAAATGAATTCTTGGTCCCTTCAGCAGGAAGAGAGAGGGCTCAGTTTTCCAGCCTAAGTTGGAGAATGGGCTGTACAGAGTTTCTAGAATCCCCTATGGGTGTGTGTGGTGAGTCCAGTCCTAAGGTGGGCTCAGAGCTGTCTGGGTGTCTGTCATCATCAGTCATTAGACAAGGTTGGAGGTTTATAAAGCAACAGGTTTCTGGTCTGCTTTGTGGGTAGAGCCAGGCTGGTTTCTTTGTTTGCAACAAGAAAGACACTCATTTAATTTTCTTCAAAGTAGATTGTGGAGGAGATATTGTTAAGACTTATGAGAGCCAGCCGGGGTCCCAGAACAGAGTGGGAGATGTCTACAACTTCCATCTTTCTGATCCTTTTTGTTGTTGCAGGTTATGTCAACTCACAGTTCCTGCTCCCCAAGACTTTTGTTGCACATGAAGTTTGGTCTGCTAGGGTTCTGTTTCTGCTTCATCTCATCTTTTTGCTTTTCCTCCAAGTGCTTATTGGTTTAGGCTCTCCATGTTCCCAAGGGTGAGCATCTTACTTCCTCACCTCCTCTTTCTCTGTTAGGCCCTGTTGCAGGATATTTGAATTGGTGACCCTTGGTGGACTGCCACTTCTGATCCTATCAGCCATAGGGAAAGGATGGAGGGCTATTTCATGCTTCTGTCTCCGTTTGAACATCAGGCTCTTATCTGTTGCTATAGGGTGTGTTGACTCGTAATTCTTGCCCCACACACTTGTGCTGCACACAATTTCTGCTCTTCGTGTACAGCATGGCAGCCCAGGCCTTCTGCAGAAGACAATGAAAAACATCTCCTGGCCAGGCTTAGAATATGCTTCTGAAATGACCACGGGTAATTTGGCATTTATGAATCTTGAACATGACACTGTTGTAAAGATCTTATCTGGAAATATGATACAAAGAGTAAAGGCAAGGTTCAGGCTTCCACCCAGTTTTCATCTGGACCAGAAAGTTTACAAATTAGCCACCAGATGCCAAGCAGGACTTTGCCAGAAAGAGGCAATTGTTTGTTACAGACTGTCAATGATACTCATCTTACCTAAGGCATCTCCGCACACATGGCTGCCCAATCTGCAAACCTTAGACTCAACCTCCTCTTATCCCATTCCCGCACTCCCCATAGCCACCCTGGGGATTCCAGGTTTTGACAATTCCACTGCAGTGGCTAATTTTATGCACCAACTTGACTGGGTCGTGGGGTTCTCAGATATTTCGTCAAACATTATTCTGGGTGTATCTCTGAGAGTATTTTTGGATGAGATTAACATTTGGATTGGGTAGCCCTCATTCAATCAGTTGAAGGTCTGAATAAGACAAAAAGGCTGACCCTCCCATGAACAAGAAGAAACTCCTTCTGCCTGACTGCTTGAGCTGGGACATCAGTCTTTTCTTGCCTCTTAAATGGAAACCTCAGTTATTCTGGGGTCTTGAGCTTGCCAGGTTTTGGACTGGCTCTTACACCATCAGATCTCTTTCTTCTCCAGCTTGCTGACTGCAGATCTTGGTACTTCTTAGCCTCTGTAATCAAGTGAGTTGATTCCTTACTATAAATCTCTTTATATCTATAGCTATTTATCAATATCTATCTCCTTTTGGTTCTGTTTCTTTATAGAACTTTGATTAATACATCCATTTTTGAAATGCTTCTTGAATCTATGCTTTCTTTCCCAACCCCAGAGTCACATCCATGGTCCTCATTTGAGCCAAGTTTCCTTGACTAAAATAGGGGTGAAGAACTCGACTCTCCACTTGCTGTTCTCCCTACTACCCCATGCTCTCTGAAGTGGCTGAAGGGGCTTCCTCTTCATGGAACATGGGTTGAAGCTACTGGCCTTGCAGGTCAAGACCAACTCTGTAGCTTGGTATTCAAGCCAAGCAGAAATTGGCCCCTGATGGCCTCTCCAGCACATCTTCTGGTGTGCATATTCTTTGTTGGGGAGACAAACATTTTTGCTAAACATGCCATGTTCTTATCTTTGGCACATATTATTTCTTCTTCCTGGAAGGCCCTCCTATGTCCACAGCATGCTGCACCCAACAAACTCTTTTCCATCGTTCAAAATGAGCTCAAATCTAACCTTGTTTGTGAAACCCATCCTGACGGCAGGTGGAGCTTGTCAGACTCTTCCTCTATCTCCTATGCCACTTAACCCATTGTATTGTCATCATTAATGTGTTTTTTCCTCTCATCCTTCTCCCTCTACTGCAAGTTCCAGGAAGGCCAGAGCTCTACTTCCCCAGTGCCTAGACGAGTTCCTCACCCTTAGTAAGGACACACTTCAATTTGTGGAATGAATGAACAATAAGTATACTGTATTTGCTTGGGTATAACTAGGTTTTCAAAATGTTGGTCAGTGAGACAAGCACAGATCCCTTAATCCTAAAGGTTTATCCAGATTATTTGACCTAATTCTTTAATACCACATCATCGGATAACTCTGGGTGAGCAGACCATTGTAATGTCAGCAAATACAGTGCTGAATTTCAACTCCGCCAGAGTGTGGAGAGCTTGGAGTCCTTTAATGAATGTACATAGAGAGAGATGTCAGGAGATTAGCATTTCTTGTAATGAGAAGGAGAGACACATTCATCAAAATTGCTCAAGTGCTATCGGTAGAGTGTCTCCAACAAAGACCTTCAGTCAATGGCAGTGAGAGATGGCAGTCTTTACAGGTTGGTCATGGAGAGGCTTGTTAATTTCACAGTTTATAAAAGATTAATGGTAAAGGAAATAAGATACAGCTACGGCCATCTAATTGCAGAGAACATTTTGTCTAAAATATAACCCAGAAAAAAAAATAGAAAGGGGAATGTAACATTTTCTTTGGAAATAGGACTTGACCTCTATATTTTATTTCAGAAGTGATGGCAGCTCCCTACCAAGGGGACTTTCACTCTAAGTCTGGAATGTGGATAGGAAAACAACAGTGCCCCATTTTACCGGGAACCCGGGGAAATCCTGCCTTTGAGATCTGTCTGAATCAGAAAGATAAAAGTTGATTCCAATTCCCTGAAATCCAAGGGATGCATTGGGTCACCCCGACATGTCATTTTCAGTTTTGAGAACTGGGTCTCCAAGGTGGTCTCCAAGGGGTCTCCAACCCCTTTATTTTGCTATTAGAATTGGTTGATGACTCTCTGAATGAGGCAGAGAATTCCAGCCCCCACCTTGTGTTATAGGGGCTAAATTGTATCTCCTTCCCCCAAGAATGAAACTATTGGAGTACTAACCCTCAGTGCTACAGAATGTGACCTGATTTGGAGACAGGGTTTTTATAGAGGTAATCAAGTTAAAATGAGGGCATTAGGGTGGTTGCAATCCAATATGACTGGTGTGCTTATAAAAAAGGAAGAAATGTGGACACAGAGACTGATACAGATGCGGGGGAACACCGGATGAACATGAGGGAGATCAGGGTACTGCATTTACTAGTGAAGGAATGCCAGATCACCAGCAAACCACCAGGAGCTAGGAGAAGGGCATGGAACATATTCACCTTCACCATCCTCAGAAAAGACCAACCCTGCTCATAATGCATTTATGAGCCAACAAATTTCTGTTGTTTAAGCCACTCTGTCTGTGGTCTTTTGTTATGACAGTCCTGGCAGATTAATACATCTCATGTTCTGTTTCTTAATTTAGGCTTTCTGGCTAGGATTTTGTGGCCTAGAAACAAAAGCAGAATGATTCCATCTCTGGTATTTTTTTTCTGAATGTAAATGATAAAAGCCAAAGACATAGCTCCTGGTCCTCCTTTTCCACATTGAGGGATCCAAAAGACGAGAGTTTAAATCCCGTGGTTCCCATCAACAATGTTAACTTCAGCAAACCACTTGGCCTCCTGAGCCTCAGTTTCCCCATCTATAACACTGGGGTATAAAAGCATCCTTATGAGAAACTGGGGAGATGGAATGGAGGACTGTGGTAACTGCACGGTTTAGGACTCGGCTTTTTTCTGTCCCTTATAAAACAAACTACAATTTGCTTCTCCAATTGTTGGAGTGAACACTTTATACTTCTCTTGCCTTCCTTTGCACCTACCCTTTTTCAAGGGTGGAGTGTTGGTACACCTTTGTATTAGTCCGTCTTCAAGCTTCTGATAAAGACATACCCGAGACTGGGTAATTTATAAATAAAAAGAGATTTAATGGACTCACAGTTTCACGTGGCCGGGAGACCTCACAATCATGGAGGAAGGTGAGGGAAGAACCAAGGCACCGTCTTACATGGCTGTAGGCAAAGAGAGAATGAGAACCAAGTGAAAGGGGTTTTCCCTTATAACACCATCAGAATTCATGAGACTTATTCACTACCACAAGAACAGTATAAGGGAAACCAGCCCCATAATTTAATTATCTCTCACCCAGTCCCTCCCACAACAAATGGGAATTATGGGAGCTACAACCCAAGATGAGATTTGGGTGGGGACACAGCCAAACCAGATCAACCTTATTGGTGAAAACTAATTATTTTTTGGGGCTTTGTCTTATGAAAAGAAGGAACTTATGGCAGAGATTGCCTAGCTGTTCATTAAACACGTTTCATCTTCTTCCTAGACACACAACCTGAGCTTGTTTCCAAGCCTTTCTTGGAGTTAACTGTGGCCAAGTTACTTAGTTCAGCTGATGGCAAGTGGGCAGAAGTGCCAGGAACCACTTCCATTTCTGTCCCATAGAATCTTTGCATGCGGAATGCTGCCTGCATTTTCCTTCTTAATGCTGATAAACATCTTGACAATAGCAGAACCCAAACATGGGAGATTATTTGGGTTTCTGAACTGCTAAGGCGAAGCCAAGTTTGGAGCCCACAGTTTGAGAAAGACAGTTATTGTATTAAGCTACTAAGATTAGAAAAGTTTGCATGAGCAAGCATTACCCCAAAGCATTCAATATGATTTTGGCTCAGAAGTGGGAAAGATTTTCAATCCTTCTTTTGCCCACTTGTGCCTCATCAGTAAGAGAAGCTGCAGTTCACTGTGGTTTCATGCATCTGTGCCTTGGATTGGGACCTGAGGTTGCCTCTTAAGGAGAGCTGAGTATTTGAGCTGGTGGTCTGTGTACTTCTGGGGCTTGCACTGTGGTTTCATGCATCTGTGCCTTGGATTGGGACCTGAGAGTGCCTCTTAAGGAGAGCTGAGTATTTGAGCTAGTGGTCTGTGTGCTTCTGGAGCTTGCATTGGTAGGGAGGGCTGCCATCTTTGGCATCAGCTAAATGAATGGACCCAGCGCTCCCCTGCAGTGGACCTCGCAAACTCCTGGGGAGTGTATCACACACGTCTAGGGCCCCATTCACATTCTCTTGTCCTCCCATTCAGTTTTAGCCACAGCTGCAGTGGAAAGTTTCTGAGTTGGCTTCTACCTACCTTGGTCTGATAACAACTTACCTTATGCACCCATAACGATCTTCTGTTTTCTACCCTTCGTATTTCTCTGACACTCCTGATGTTGGTAGGAACTCACTCATCAAGCAAGTGTGACCAGCCTGGAGGTGGAAATCCACTCAGCCAGCAGATTTGGAAGCCAAAGGTTGCAACTTACAGGCTGATCTTGGGTGGACTATTCCAAGAGCCCCAGATGCTCACAGGAGTGGACTCAATCATGCCTCCAGTGTGGGTTTCTTCCCCTTCCCTCACTCTCTGTGGCTGCCCATGGCTGATCCCTGAGATTTTCCTGCAAATAAGCTACCCAGACCCCAGGTTCTTCTTTGGGGAAATACAAGTCAATACAGGCAGTGATAGGATGCCCCTACTCTAGCCTCATATCCAAGCCATGTCTCAATTTCAACTTTGTCTTGTACTTTGGCAATTATTGGGCACTTTAATAAAGTGGATGTTTGCTCTCATTTGCAATTCCTTATATCTCTTCCCTGGTGATTAGACTTTGATGGAGATAAGGGGCGAGTCTGCACTCTTCATAATCTGTAAGAGATACCAGGCATGGGAAAGCTCAGTGACCAATACTAGAAAGATAGTACCCCCAAAGAATTCTTATTTTTTTAACTTTTATTTTAAGTTCAGTCATATATGTTTGTTATATAGGTATATAGGAGTTTGTTATATGGGTAAACTTGTGTCATAGGGGTTTGTTGTACAGATTATTTAATCACTTAGGTATTAGTCTAGTACCTATTGGTTCTTTTTCCTGATCCTCTCCCTCATCTCACCCTCCACCCTTTGACAGGCCCCAGTGTGTGTTGTTCCCCTCTATGTGCCCATGTGTTCTCATCATTTAGCTCCCACTTATAATTGAGAACATGCAGTATTTGGTTTTCTGTTCTTGGGTTAGTTTGCTAAGGATAATGACCTCTAGCTCCATCCATGTGCCTGCAAAGGACATCATCTTGTTCTTATTTATGGCTGCATAGTATTCCATGGTATATATGTATCACATTTTCTTTATGTAGTCTATCATTGATGGGCAATTAGGTTGATTCCATATCTTTGCTATTGTGAATAATGCTGCAATGATCATATGCATGCATGTGTCTTTATAATAGAATGATTATAAGGAATTCTAACTCGATACTTATTTCAGTTAGAAGATTTATGTTATACATTATTCATTGACCCAAAGGTGTATTCAATTGTATTAAAACACCACATTGGACATGCAATTCCATGCTTTGACATGCTAATATACAAAAAATAATTTCATTTCACATTAGGGCTGTGGGAGGCAGAGTTGTGGTGTCATACTGTGTAAGAAAGGTGCTTTAGGATCCATGTGGTGAATGTGAGAGCTTGTTCCTTTATTTTGAAAAAATCCTCTTTTGTAATTAATTGGAGCAAGAGATGAACTTTTACACCATTATAGTCTATCATGTGCCTTTTGCCAATTAGCATGGTTGCACTTCATGGCTTAATTTAGTATCAGTTGTGAAACTTGAAGAAATATTGGAACATCTTTGAATATTAATGCAATTTTGTTTCCCTGGGGGCATTAAGCCTTCTGGCATACTGGACTCTATTTTGTGGAGAGTTTTTGGATGTTTCAACTCAAATAAAAGCTTAGCTCACATATATAATCTTCCCTTTTTGTGCTGAAAAGGAATCTCCATTGTATTAACCCCCTTCTGGTCAAGGAGAAGAAACAATACAAAACAATCTTTAAGACAGTGGTCCCCAACCTTTGGGGCACCAGGAACCAGTTTCATGGAAGGCAATTTTTCCATGACCAGGGGAGGTGGAGGGGGAGGGGGATGGTTTGGGGATGATTCAAGCTCATTACATTTATTGTGCATTTTATTTCAATTATTATTACATTGTACTATATAATGAGATAATTCTACAACTTACTGTAATGTAGAATCAGTGGGAGCCCTGAGCTTGTTTTCCTGAAACTAGATGGTCCCATCTGGGAGTGACAGGAGACAGTGACAGATTCTCACGAGGAGTGTGCAATCCCTCGCACGCACAATTCACAATAGGTTTGCACTCCAATGAGAATCTAATGATGCAGCTGATCTGATAGGAAGTAGAGCTCAGGTGGTAATGCGAGCAATAGGGAGTGGCTGTAAATACAGATAAAGCTTCGCTCACTTGCCCGCTGCTCACCTTGTGTTGTTCAGCCTGGTTCCTAATAGGCCACGAACCAGTGCCAGTCTATGGCTGAGGGATTGGGAACCCCTGCTTTAAGAGGTAAAATTTCCAGACCAAAACAACTTTCCTTTGCTTCTTTCCCAGATCACACTTCCTGATATTTCATCTAAGGTGAAATCATCCATTTTAGAAATTCATCAGAGCAGAAAGGACTTTTTGAGATTTATCCCTTAGCTCAGTATACATTGCAAGTGTTGCAATGAATCTCCTTTTGGGTCTTGGGAGAGCTACACCCCATGGTCATCAGTCCTGACACCATCATGTGACTCCCTGAGAGATGCCAATGCTTCTGTGACCTGAAAGCTTGCCCAAAGCTGGGCGATGAGATCTCCCCATATCTCTGCATCCTGGGGAGCCTCTCAGCATCTTCTGATGCTCCTCTGTGGTTAGAGTCTAGAGCAGCCATGTCCAATCATTGGAATGCAAGAACTTTGCAAGAACTTTTTTGCTTATCTGTGGTGGTAGATATCATGAAAATTATGCACAGACCTTTTTTTTTTTTTAGTGTTAGTGTATTTTATGTGTGGCCAAGACAGTTCTTCCAATGTGGCACAGGGAAGCCAAAGCTTGGACAGCCCTGGCTAGAACCTGCTTATATGCTTGGGAAAAAGCTAAAAATTTTGAAGGAAACCTGATAGTTCATGGTTTGTTCAGCAGAAAAATGCCATCCTCTATAAGACACCTGACATTTCTCAGAGCAAGAGATGCCAAGATCCTTCCATGGGGTCAAAGGGAACCTGGCTTTCTCCCCCTGATCAGCACACTGTTTCTTGCCCACTGGGACCTCCTAAAATATGTACACAGAACTTGAGCCAAATGTGGCTGGTAAATCTGCCATATTCTCTCAACCTGTGTCCTCTGCCTGCATCAATAGTCATTGCGGGACCTGCATCCCGTCATTTCAGACAGTTAACTCCTGCACACTCTCCACCCTTAAAATCTCACCTCCGTAGAAGTGATGGGATGAAGAAATCTGCATTCTTGCCTGTTCTTCCTACTAGTTTCTTATCAACATTCTTAGTCTATACTGAGTCCACTTACCAAAAACCAAGAGCTGCTTCCAAGACTTCCTTCATCTCTGCTTTCAATTTCTCACTGTGATTCTATTCCCAGCTCACCTATCTGCTGACTCCTCAGTCTCCCCCACAATCCTTTCTCTCACAAGGATTTAATCACTTATTTGCATGTTCATCAAACATTTAGGCATCACGGGGCTTTGTGTAGCCTGAGATGTATCAGGCGAATGCCATGCCCTTGAGAGGTTCACAGTCCCGGGAATAAGGAAGAGATGAAATAAGGAAGACATGATAATGAAAATTATCAATAGTGTGGTAAGAGCTGTAAACGTGAGAAGCCCAGATAATGAAAATTATCAATAGTGTGATAAGAGCTGTAAACGTGGGAAGCCCAGGAGTCCTGGGAGCAGAGGAGGAGCTCTGGCTGGGGATTCCCAGAAGGTCCCCTAGAGAAGTGAGATTTTAAGGGTGGAGAGTGTGCAGGAGTTAACTGGCTGAAATGATGGGATGAGGGGAATGCATTAATTCCCAAAGCAATTCATGCATGTGGGATGGGAGGCTGGGGAGATAAGGACAGTTAATATCTGGACACTTGAACTCCATGGAAAGAGATTGCACACGAAGGAGGCCTTGAACTACACTCTAGACCATGAGACCCACCAGAGAACTCCTTAGCAGGGAGCAATTTTCTCTTTCAGTTTTTGGGCTCTGGTTTGGAAGCTGGATTGGAGGGGCTAAGACTGGATGTGGGTCCGAACATCTAGCGAGGGAAGGAACATAAGCCAAGGTGCAAATTTTCAGCAGATCAAGGGAAAAGGACGCCAAGAGAAGGTACTGACTGAGAGGGCTGATTGGATGGTTGGATCAGTGGGGACTTGGAGGTCTGTTGGAAGTGGCTGGGGGTAAACACAATGGCAGGATCTTCAGTGTCTCTGAACTTGTATTAGTGCTGTACATCTTAGAAGGCTCCGGGATACAAAGGATTATAAATCATTCTACTGTAAAGACACATGCACACGTATGTTTATTGCAGCACTGTTCACAATAGCAAAGACTTGGAACCAACTCAAATGCCCATCAATGATAGACTGGATAAAGAAAATGTGGCACATACACACCATGGAATACTATGCAGCCATAAAAAAGGATGAGTTTATGTCTTTTGCAGGGACATGAACGAAGCTGGAAACCATTATTCGCAGCAAATTAACACAAGAACAGAAAACCAAACACTGCCTGTTCTCACTCATAAGTGGGAGTTGAACAATGAGAACACGTGGACACAGGGAGGGGAACATCACACACTGGGGCCTGTCGGGGGATGGGGGGCTAGGGGAGGGATAGCATTAGGACAAATACCTAATGTAGACGACAGGTTGATAGGTGCAGCAAACCACCATGGCACGTGTATACCTATGTAACAAACCTGCATGTTCTGCACATGTACTCCAGAACTTAAAGTAAAATAATAATAATAATAATAAAAAGAAGGCTCCAGGATAGCCACAGTTACTGCCACATCAAGTTCTTTTACAGACCCCGTTCTACATTTGGGAACCACCTTCCTCCTCCCATCTCATCATCAATGAAGCTCGTACTCAGCCCCTTCCTCAGGCAAGGCAACCTTCGCGTTTGGCCAGTCTCTGAACTTCTCCCAACACTCCTCAATGTGACCATGTCCTTTCTCTTATTCTACAGCTCACCACCCACACAAATATTGATCCTTGGTATGGTTAATATTGCTATTTATATTAACAATGGAATTTGTTCACCAAAAAATAATTAGCACAAGAAATCTGCGTATTATTAGGGGCCTCATTAATTTCACCAAGTTTATTTAAATGACAGCAGAATGTCAGGTCAATAATGATGACTAATTAATAAGCACATCTGAATACCTTCAAGCACATTGAAGAAGTGGCTTGTAGGGCTGTAGCCAGGAGGATAGATGGTTTCTGGTAAGCAGAGGTGATACCTCCTCTCTCTTTCTCTCTCTTTCTTTTTTTTTTTTTTTTTTTGAGATAGGATCTCCCTCTGTTGCTCAGGCTAGAGTGCAATGGTACAATCATAGCTCATTGCAGCCTCGACCTCCTGAGCTCAAGTGATTCTCCCAAATATCCCTTTGCTTGCTTTGTTCAGCAGGGACACAGCCATGTGAGCCTCTCCATGGCACCTGAGTCTTCCCTTTTTGGTTCTCTGCATGTTTAAGCTGTAGTTAGGAAGCCCGGGGAACCTGTAATCACCTATGGGAGGTGATTTCATTCTTTAATCTCCTCCACGCTCCCCACTTGGAAACAGCGCAATACTTTAGGGAGCTCATATCATCAGGATGTTTAGGCAGAGTCCTCTGGCTTCAAACAGAACGGATTGTCCTGTGCACGCAGCCCCGAGCCATGGCAGAGGGAGCAAGTGGGAAGCGCCATCTATAAAGAAGCAGAGGATCTCAGAGAGTCCCCTCCTCTCAGAGCCAAGAGGGAGGGGAGCGGGATCTGAAAGCCGCTCAGGCAAGCCACCAGGAGGAAATGCTAACATTGTTTCTAGTCAAGCTTATGTGTTTTGCTTTGTTGTGTTTTGTTGTAGGGGAAATGGTTCTTTCAGATATTTTAAACCGATTGCTTGGAAAAGCCAAGCGCAATATTTTGCCAAGACTGAGAAACCCTCAGGGGCTTGTTTAGGAGTAAGTTAGAGCCAGAGTCAACCTTTCCTGAGGGGCTTCGTCTATGCGTCAGGAGCTGTGCTGGTGATGCCTCAGGGAAAACTTGGAAATCGAGAATGCCCCCATTTTAAAGGTGGGTAAACTGAGACTCAGGCATGCATCTCCTTGGGCATATCCAGGACTAGTAAGGGGCAGGGGGCAATAGTAAGACCCAGAGGGTACCCTGGCGGGGCTGGGGACTGCTGACCTATGCATTTATTATAGCCCCTCATTGCTCTGTTTCTGCATCTGCCCTCGCCCCACCAGAAGGTAAGCTGTCTAAAAATCAGGAGCATGTCTTGCTCCTTTCTGGAACCCTGATGCTTAAATGCAATCCTTGGTATACAGCAGGGACTCACTCAATGTTTGCTGATTGAATGAGAGAATGATGACCACAGAAGTCCAAAGATGCAGATGTGCACTTAGAACAAGAGCCCAGAGGGGAGCCACACAGAAAGACCAGCAAGGACCAGCCCAGCACACCACTGGCGGGTGTGGGTGCAGCAGCCCTCATCCTCACTGAGCGCCCCTGCCTGGTCGTCTGCACCGAGCCCTGGCTGTGCGTGGCCATATCCACCCTCACAGCAGGCATATGGGGAAGATGGTCATCACTGCTTTAAACAAGAGGAAACTGCAACTCTGACTGGTTTTCCAAGTCGCTGAAGGTCGTGCAGAGAGTGAAAAATGAAGCTAGGAATGTCCTTCTCCAACCCCATGCTCTGTTAGCTCTACTATGGAAACAGAACAGAGTGATGATCTTACAGAAAGGAGCCAGAGGACAAGGGGGTGCAGTTTGGGGACCTCACAGGAGAATATTTTTCTTTCTGGGGAAAGGGCAGGCAGGGTTTTCCTGGTCTGAAGCTTGGATTGCAGTTAGGATCTGAGGGGTGTGGGCAACTCCCGATGTGGTGCATGAAAAGAGAAGGCTTTGTTAATTTCGAGCAGGAAATACTGAGTTAAGAAGCAAGGTCAGGTCAGTGCGGTGGCTCATGCCTATAATCCCAGCACTTTGGAAGGCTGAGGCGGGCGGATCACCTGAGGTCAGGAGTTCAAGACCAACTTGGCTAACATGGTGAAACCCTATCTCTACTAAAAATACAAAGATCAGCCTGACATGGTGGTGGGCACCTGTAATCCCAGCTACTCGGGAAGCTGATGCAGGGGAATCGCTTGAACCTGGGAGGCAGAGGTTGCAGTGAGCCGAGATCGTGCCACTACACTCCAGCCTGGGTGACAGAGCGAGAATCCATCTCAAAAAACAAACAAACAAACAAAAAACAAAAACAAACAAAAAAAACAGGGTCAGGGTGGAAATGGCCAAAGACGGGTTTCATGCCGGGGCAGCAGCAAAGCCAGTGAGTATTATCAGGGTAGTTTCTAAGCCAGCAGGGTGAAGACTCCAGGGCAGGAGGCTTCTTTTTCCCAGCAGGAGGAGACAGAAGGTAGAAGGGACACATGGATGAGCCCTGTGAGGCGGGCACACACAGTGATCACCCTGCCTTCCCCATATGCCTGCTGTGAGGGTGGATATGGCCATGCATGGCCAGGGCTCGGCACAGGCTCCCAGGCAGGGGCGCTTCTGGGCAGCTCCCGGGACCTTGCGTTCTGCACCAAAGCCTGTGCTCTTCTCATGATAAAGCTACTCCCTGTTTTGTGCCTGACATGAGCAGCCACGTTCAGCGGAAATGCTCCAAAGCCGACTCTGGAAGATGTAGAGAAATGCATTTGATACAGAAATGAGGTCGACACAAGTTTCTCTGGAGCCAGGTGTGTGAGTCGTTCCTTCCTTCCTAGCAAAGTTTCCCACCTGGAACGCAGAAAGAGCATGTCAGTAATGTTCTCCATCCACAAAGCTAACGGAAGGAGGCTTGTTAGTGCTAGGGATGCTGGCATATCCTGGGAGACCACCCATTTCTATGCTGAGGATGCTGCATCAGGGCACCACTGAAGCTGCTCCAAGGGCCAGAGCAATCAGGGATTCTACGTAAATTGGGGAGAGCATCATGCTCCCTGGCTCTGGGTACCATCTTTTCACCGGAGACTTTAGTAGTAACAGGATTGAGCTGTTATGTTCCTCTGAGTTCTTCGGGAAACCACCTCGTAGGCTTCTGTCTCCAGTTGCTCTCTTTTTCCATAGGGTTCAGACATTAGCCTGTGGGTCTTGGCAGGAAGAACAGATAACGAGCTGTTTATATCCCTGTCCTCCTTTCCCTACATACTGTCCCAGACACCTCACTCATGCATAAACCTTCTACACATGCAAATCTGTATGAGGAGATACCTGCCTTGCACCATTCCCTACAACCTCATCGCCTGCACTCAGACACGCCCCTGGCTGAGGTTCCTTTGGGCATGGCAGATCTGTACTTACCCGTGGGAGGAACTAAGGGGCAGATGGAGTTTGATATCTGAGTACAGTGATAGCCAGTGGCATAACAAACAGGGCAGTGGGAGTGTCTACCTTGGATGAAAGCAATAAGGGAATTCATCAACCAAGCTTAGTGGCTCACGTCTGGAATCCCAGCACTTTGTGACGCTGAGGCAGGAGGACTGCTTGAGGCCAGGAGTTCGAGACCAGCCCAGGCAACATAGTGAGATCTCATAGCCACACACACATACACACAGACACACACACACACACACACACACACACAAGATTTACAAATTAGCCAGCCACAGTGGCTCACACCTATAGTCTCAGCTACTTGGGAGGCTGGGGCTGGAGGATCTCTTGAGACTAGGAGTTTGAGGCTGCAATGAGCTCTGATCGCCCCACTGCACTCCAGCTGGGCAACAGAGTGAGATCCTGTCGCACACAAAATAGAAATTTATTGTTCATTGTATCTAGATAATTTTAAAACAGCAATAAAATCGACCAGAAATTGGTCAACTTTTTATTATCATCTTATACCAGCAATTCTAATAAAATCGGTGATAAAATTGTTCTCCCTTCAAATCTCCTGTTCGTCTATGTTCTAGACAACTGTTTCACAGTAACTTCTGGTACTTGTGATATACAATATATATGTAAACTGCAAGTTAGCATTTATTATTATTTTGTTGAAGATTATCTTCTTCTTTTTTGTCTTTTTTTTTCTTTTTAAGAGACAGGATCTCGCTCTGTCGTCCAGGCTAGAGTGCAGTGGCACTATCATAGCTCACTGCAGCCTCAAATGTGTAGGTTCAGACAATCCTCCTCCCTCAGCCTCCTGAGTAGCTGGGACTACAGGTGCACGCACTATGCTCAGCTTTTAATTTTTATTTTTTGTAGAGACGAAGTCTCACTGTGTTGCTCAGGCTGGGCTTGAACACCTGGCCTCAAGCCATCCTCCTGCCTCAGCCTCCTAAAGTGCTGGGATTACAGGTATGAGCTGCCACACTCAGCCAAGACTATCTTCTATATGGAACTCAAATTGGAGAACTCTTAGCTTTCTAGCTGGTCTCAACATGTATGGACTGCTTCTGAGGAAACATTCCTAATGTTTCAGAGTCATTTGAACTTGCTTCTGCTGAAGTTCCTATATCTAAACTACATACGTATTCCTGTATTTAAACAGGGATTGTTAACATTGTTTAAAACATGAATTGTTGGTCCAGTGAGGTGGCTCAGGCCTGTAATGCCAACACTTTGGGAGGCTGAGGCTGGAGGATTGCTTGAGTCTAGGAGTTTGAGGCAAGGCTGGGCAAACAAGGAGACACTGTCTCTACAAAAAATAAAAAAGATTTGCCAAGTGTGGTGGCATGTGCCTGTGGTTCCAGCTACTTGAGAGGCTGAGGTGGGAAGATCTCTGGAGCCCAGGAGGTTGAGGCTGCAGTGAGCTATGATCGCACCATTGCACTCTGACCTTGGCAGCAGAGTGAGATCCTGTGTCAAACAAAACGAAACAAAACATGAATTGTTTAACTTGTTGAAATCTAATGATTTCAAATAAAAGATGCTACAGTCATTGTAAAGATAAAGAAACAGATCTTTGAGTTATATCAATTCTCTCATTCCACGTACTAACGAGTCTGCGAATTTAGCAGAATTGACTCATTCAGAAAAATTTTTCCGGGTTATTTTCCTGTTTTATCAAAAACATTTGCATGTAACTAAGACATGATACATTTCTCTTTTCTTCTTTTTCACACTGTAATTTTTAAAGGTTTTTTACTGTATGATTAGTTCAATTTAAAAAATTTTTCACGATCGGCATTTTTGTTCTTAATATTATGTTGACTTGTTTCATTTATTGATTTTTTACTGAAAACTATTTTGATATATACAGCAGGGGACTGGTGAGATATGGCTGCTTTGGGTGCCAATATGTGGTATGAACTGAATTGTGTCTCCCCAGTCATATGTCGAAAGCCTAATTCCCAGCGTGACTCTATTTGGAGATTGGGTCTTTGTTTTTTTTTGGACACGAATTCTCACTCTGTTGCCCAGGCTGGAGTGCAATGGCGCAATCTCGGCTCACTGTAACCTCTGTCTCCTGGGTTCAAGCAATTCTCCTGTCTCGGCTTACTGAGTAGCTGGGATTACAGTCATGTGCCACTACGCCTGGCTAATTTTTGTATTTTTAGTAGAGATGGGGTTTCACCATGTTGGCCAGGTTGGTTTCAAACTCCTGACCTCAGGTGATCCACCTGCCTCAGCCTCCCAAAATGCTGGGATTACAGGTGTGAGTCCCTGCACCCAGCCGAGATAGGGTCTTTAAAGAGGTAATTAGGGTTGAATGATGCCCTAATGTAGGACCCTGGTCCAACAGGGCTGATGTCTTTGTAAGGAGAGGAGGAAACACTAGGAGGGGCACATGCACAGAGGAAAGGTCATGCTAGGACATGGTGAGAAGGCAGCCGCCTGCAAGGAGAAGAGCCTCGGGAGAAATGAAACCTGCAGACACCTTGATCTTGAGCTTCCAGTCTCTAGAACTTTGAGAAAATCAATGTCTGTTGTTTAAACCACCCCATCTGTGATATTGTGTTATGGCAGCCTATGCAGACCGGTACAATATCCTAGGGGTCTTTCAAGACAGCTGCAAACCTTGGCAGAGCTGGGTTGCAGGAAGAATGTCAGTCTTCACCCGGGATATTTGGGGGGCATTACCCCAAATGCCAGGTTTGGTGGCTCAGGTCTGTAATCCCAGCACTTTGGGAGGCCGAGGCAGGAGGATTGCTTGAGTCTAGGAGTTGGCTCGGTGTGGTGCCTCAGGCCTCAAGTGGTTCTGCTGGCTCCTGACGGGTCTTAGGGCTTCTTCAGTCTGTTGTAAAAACATCAGACCTGGGTCTAGGTTAGGATTTAAGCGGGTGAATGAAGGAAGGAAGAATCATAGGAGGGAGAACAGTGTGTGAGCCCATGGTGCAGGGAGGAAAGTCAGCCTTATTCAGAGATGCATGCATCGTCTGGTTTAGCCACAGTCCTGGCTCTCAAGGTGACTTCAAGGCCCCCTATAGGCTCCCAAGACCCCTTTGGGGATCCATGAGGGTCTCTCTTTTCCACTTACATATCTGTGCGAGGCTGGATTTTCTATATATAACTTAACCAAAATAACGTTTTGTAGTAGATTGAAGGGAGGAGCAGGTTTGGAAATCCAGCTGTCTTCCATTAAGCCAGACACAAGAGATTTGCAAAAAACATGTAAAACAATGCTGCTCCTCTCGCTCAGTTTTTGTTTGGGAAATATAGTTTGCTTTTAACAAATATGTTATTTATGTTATCGTGCAATGGGCTCATTGTTATTGAGTTAACAATATGTTTAAAATGTTGGTTTTAATCTATAATGCAATATCAATTAAAGTTATAACCCATATTGGTGAAAGCATTTTGGGGGTTCTCAATGGTTTTTAAAAGTGCAAAGCTCTCAAAAAATTTTGAGAAATTCTCAGCTAAAATACGGACTATGTGAAGTTCCGTAATGCAAGCCAGGGACACGTTGCATAAGGCTATGGGGCCAAGGTGATCTCGTACTTCTTTTTGTGGGCAGAAAGGGGCCAAGAAAAGGTTCCATGCAAGGGAGTGATATAAAGGGAGCCGTGTTTCAGGAAAACATGAATCTGTTGGAGATTGTGGGTAGAGAGAAAAGCCAACGTCCTCTTGTAGTAAGAGAGGATGGAGGCAAAGGTGTCCAGTCGGAGAATACAGGGAAGGATGGGGAGGGAATCAGAACCTATGAGGAGACACATTCACTTGGGCAGGCCAGGGGCTGGGAGCTGACCTAACTGCATCCTTTAGCTAGTACATGGCTATAAGCTAAAGTTTAGAGTATTTCTGCAGTAGATCCTGGGAAACTGGTTTCCACGAAGAGTCAGTATCTGGTGAGCGACCCCTGGTTTAAAGACAAATTTTGGGGCCAGGTGCAGTGGCTCATGCCTGTAATCCCAGCACTTTGGGAGGCTGAGGTGGGTGGACCACCTGAGGTCAGGAGTTCAAGAGCAGCCTGGCCAACATGGTGAAACTCCATCTCTACTAAAAATACAAAAATTAGCCGGGTGTGATGGTGGGTGCCTGTAATCCCAGCTACTTGGGAGGTTGAGGCATGAGAACTGCTTGAACCTGGGAGGTGGAGATTCCAGTGAGCTGAGATTGTGCCACTGCACTTCAGCCTGGGCAACAGAGTGAGACTTCATCTCAACAAACAAACACACAAACAAACAAACAAACTTTTGGGAAAGGGAAGCCAATAGGGATCAGGAAGCCTCCAGACCTGGGCATTAATGGAAGAATCCAAAGAACAGGGAAAAGATAGAAGTTCATGTATATTTCATGTCCACTGTGGCCAAACCTGTTGAAACTCCAAAAGAGCTGTCACTTTCACAGAAGACAGCAGAGTGATGGAGTCACACCGTTATCATGTGGCCAAGAGAAGATTCAAACCCCCACCTCTTTGTTGCCAAAGCTGAGATTTCTTGCTCTCTATGAAACCTTTCTGTCTCTTTTAAGGGAAGCTAACAGAATAGGAATGCAGAAACGGGGAACAAAGCTGACGTCTCCCTGAGTCCAGACGTGTACCCAGTTGCCTGCTTGACATTTCATCTGGTGTTGAATATATCTCCAACTCAACACGTCTGAAGGGAGGCTTGGAGCACCCCACATCCCACCTCCATCGCACTCTAGGGACATCCAAGTCCACTGGCCACTCACTCAATCCTCCCATCTCAGCAGTCATCACCACCATCCACCCAATTGCTCAAAGCCCAAACCCTCCTTTCCTCATCACCACACCCAAGTAACTGGCAGGTCCTGCATGTCTGTTTCCATACTGCAATTCCTTTGTGGGTGGTTGTCTCCCACGTGGCTGCCGCCATGCTGGCCGGAATCCCATCACGTTCCAGACAGTCTCCCGCGGTGGCCTCCTAATTGGTTTCTCTGTGTTCAGATCTGTTCCTCTTCCACCTATGACTCACATAGAATGAGGCTCATAGAGTATAAATTAGATCACGTCACTTCTCTGCTTAATACTGTTGGGTGGCTGGGCACAGTGGCTCACGCCTGTAGTCCCAGTACTTTGGGAGGCCAAGGTGGGCAGATCACTTGAGGTCAGGAGTTTGAGACTAGCCTGGCCAACATGATGAAACTGTGTCCTTACTAAAAATACAAAAATTAGCTGGGCATAGTGGTGGATGCCTGTAGTCTCAGCTACTCTGAAGGCTGAGGCAGGAGAATTGTTTGAACCCAGGAGGTGGAGGTTGCAGTAAGCCAAGATTGCACCACTGCACTCCAGCCTGGGTGACAGAGTGAGACTCCATCTCAAAAACAAAAACAAAAACAAACCAAAACAAAACAACCCCCAAAACCCATTGGGTGGCTTCTCGCTGCACTTACAACATGATTTCCCAGTGCTTGCCCAGCCTGTAGACTTGGGAGGTACCCTCAGAGGTCAGTCTCCCTCTTCTTCTGTCTCTAATCACTTGCTCCAGCCACTTGGGCTTCCTTTGTGTGCCTTGAACATGCTGTCCTCTTTTCCATATACACATATTCAAATTTGTGATCTCTCTCTCTCTCTGTTTTTTTTTTTTTTTTTTTTTGAGATGGAGTCTCACTGTGTCACCCAGGCTGGACTGCAGTGGCATGATCTTGGCTCACTGTAACCTCTGCCTCCCAGGTTCAAGCAATTCTCCCACCTTAGCCTCCTGAGTAGCTGGGACTACAGGTGCAGGCTGCCACATCCAGCTGTTTTTTTTGTATTTTAGTAGAGACGGGGTTTCACTGTGTTGGCCAGGCTGGTCTCGAACTCCTGAGCTCAGGCAATCTGCCTGCCTCGGCCTCCCAGAGAGTTAGGATTACAGGTGTGAGCCACTACGCCCGGCCTCTCTCTCTTTTTTAGAGACAAGCTGTGGCTCTGTCATCCAGGCTGGAGTGCAGTGGAGCGATCATATTTTACTGTAGCCTCGAACTCTTGGGCTCAAGTAATCCTTCTGCCTCAGCCCCCTGAGTAGCTGGGACTACAGGTGCACACCACCATGCCAGGCTAATTTTTATTATTTTTGTAGAGATAGGGCCTCACTATGTTGCCCAGGCTAGTCTCTAACTCCTGGTCTTGAGCGATCCTCTTGCCTCGGCCTTCCAAAGCACTGGAATTATGGGTGTGAGCCACTGCACCTAACTGTCATTTTATCTTATTTTATTTTGAGACATAGTCCTTACTCTGTTGCCCAGGCTGGAGTGCTATGGTGCAATCACGGCTCACTGCAGCTTCTGCCTCCCAGGCTCAAGAGATTCTCCCACCTCAGCCTCGCATGTAGCTGGGACCACAGGTGTCTACGACCATGCCTGGCTGATTTTTGTATTTTTTGTAGAAAGGGGTTTAGCTATGCTGCCCAGGCTGGTCTTGAACTCCTGGCCTTAAGCAATCCTCCTGTCTCAGCCTCCCAAAGCAATGGAACTACAGGCATGAACTACTGCGCCAGGCTGCCATTTTATTTTTTAGTGGCTACTTCTTTTCCTCATCTTAGGTCTCAGCTCAGATGTTACTTCCTCTGACCTCCGTCCCTAAAGGAGGCTCACACTCTCTCAGGTGTTCCCTATATCATTCCACCCTATTTATTTCCTTTCTCATCTCTTGCTATCTAGAATTATTTTTTTCTTTTCTTTTCTCTTTTCTCCCTTCCCTTCCCTTCCCTTCCCTTCCCTTCCCTTCCCTTCCCTTCCCTTCCCTTCTTTTCTCTTCTCTTTTCTTTTGAGACGGAGCCTCCCTCTGTTGACCAGGCTGGAGTGCATTGGCATGATCTCAACTCACTGCAACCTCCACCTCCCAGGTTCAAGTGATTCTCCTGCCTCAGCCTCCCAAGTAGCATGTGCCACCACGCCCAGCTAATTTTTGTATTTTTAGTAGAGACAGGGTTTCACCATGTTGGCCAGGCTGGTCTCGAACTCCTGACCTCATGATCCGCCCACCTTGGCCTCCTAAAATGCTGGAATTACAGACGTGAGCCACTGTGCCCCGCTGAATTATTTCTTTATCTATGCATTGTCTGTATCCCACCCCAGGTAGAATGTGCGTTCCCTGAAGGTAAAGACTTTGTCACAGCTCTAGTGCCTTGAATGATGCCTGGCTCATAGCAGGCCCTCAAGAAATATTTGTGGAAGGAATGAAGAAAGGAATAAAGAAAAGGCAACTAGCTAGTCCTGAGTTCCCCAGGGAGACATGGCTAGGTCCTGGCCACAGAAGAGGACACCAAAGGTGTTGGGGGACAACTTGGGAAGCCAGGCTTTGAGGGTCATTCTGCCGGGAGTAGGGGGCCTTGGGCTGCTGGCAGGTTCTCCCTGGGCACTTTTCACTGGGTCTGGGAACTTGGAGAGAGTGGGGTCTGCCGCATGGTCCCCGGTGGCTCAGCTCAGAAACACTGGGAGATAGAAGACAGGCCGCCAAGTGCCATCAGCACCATTTCCTGGAGCTCTTCAGCTCTTGGGCCTGGTGTTCACTCCAGCAGACAGCTTGGCAGCAGTGTTCTTTCTTCCTGCATTCTGTTTGCTCCCCAAGAGGCCCCTCTAATTTTTAGCTCCAGAGCAGAGTGGAGAAAAATACCTCCTGACAAAGATTCCCTGGGATCCGATGTCTGCTCTATCTCCTGCTCCTAGCTGCTGCTTCTCCTTTCTTCCCTCTTCCTCTTCCTCTTCCTCCTCCTCCTCCTCCTCTTCTTCTTCTTCCTCTTCTTCCTCTTCCTTTTCCTCTTCCTCTTCCTCTTCTTCTTCCTCTTCTTGAAGGAGTTTTGCTTCGCTCTTGTTGCCCAGGCTGGAGTGCAGTGGCGTGATATCGGCTCACTGCAACCTCAGCCTTCTGGGTTCAAGTGATTCTCCTGCCTCAGCCTCCTGAGTAGCTGGGATGACAGGTGTGCATCACCATGTCTGTCTAATTTTTGTGTTTTTAGTAGAGATAGGGTTTCCTCCTGTTGGCAGAGCTGGTCTCAAACTCCTGACCTCAAGTGATCCACCCACATCAGCCTCCCACGGTGCTGGGATGACAGGCATAAGCCACCGCGCCCAGCCTCCTGCTCCTAGCTTCTGAAAGAGCTTTCCTCTAAAGCACGTTCAGTCACCCCCAACACAGCAAAGTGCCTGCAAGGAACAACAGGTTGACCAAAGGAAACACTTCCTCAAAGAAAAGCACCATCAAGCAATTCTTCCAAGATCTTTCTTAGAAAAAATTTTAAATTTATAATTTTTATTTTTAGGGACAGGGTCTTGGTCTGTCGCCCAGGCTGGTGTGCAGTGGTGCCATCATAGTTCATTGCAGCCTCGAACTCCTGGGCTCAAGCGATCTTCCCTCCTCGGTCTCCAGAGTAGCTAAGGACTGTACAGGTGTATGATACAGCTCCTGGCTATTTTTTTTTATTTTTTGTTTTTTTATAGAGATGGAGGTCTCACCATGTTGCCCAGGCTGGTCTTGAACTCCTGAGCTCAAGTGGTCCTTCTGCTCTGGCCTCCCAAAGTGCTGGGGTTACAGGTGTGAGCCACCATGCCTGGCCCCGAGATCCTTTGAGGATGGACAGTCATCTTGGGGAGACTGAGATCAATAATCTGGATGTCCTTCTCAATTTGAAAAAGAAAGGATGCTATGAATTATCACACATCTGTGGTCTGGTGACAACTGAATTTAACAAAGATCACAAAAGGATGGTGTGACCTCTAAAAGGGCTCAAGCTATTTCTTGCCCCAGTACCTTCATCCTGCAGAGCTTGTCTGTCCTTCCAGGTGTGAGACCTTTGCCACCGTTCACAGGTAAGTGTGGGGAAGAGTCCTGGTTCCTGGGAAGCACAGGAGAGAGCAACATTTAGGTATTTATGTCTCCTATCCCCGGCTTTGCTCTGGCCCTGTTCTTCCTTGTCCTTCAGTATCTGCAAAGAGCCCAGTTAATGAGCAGCTGAACCTGTCCTTACCAGCCTGAGTGGAAGTTTCCTTCTGCCTAAGGCAATTTCACCTGCTGTGCTCTCTTCACTGCGGCCCAGGTAGAAGCAGGAGCAAGTCGGAAAAGTTTAATTGGGCCCCAAATGTGATTAACCAAGAGTCTCTGGCATATGTTCTGCTCATGTTTAGCATGCCACAAATTCTAGCATTACCCGGTGGGTCCTAAAAACCATTCTGCTTTTAATGTTCCTTGCCTAGTTTACTCAAGTTGGAATTTAAATCAAAGGGTAACATCTACACTGGGGATAACTTGATCGTTTATCTTAATATAACGGCTAATAAATGTCATGTTTTAAAGGAGCTTTTTAAAAACAATGGTTTTAACAACGTTATACACGTTTAAGGGAATCTGGTAGGCAGTTGACTGAATCTGGTACACTGTAATTTTAGGCATGATAAAAAAATAGAACAGGAAGAACAAGAGAGACAAGGCTCAAAGTTATTGAACTTGAGCCAAAACAGATATTGGGATGTTCATGGTGATGAAAATGGAACATCCCACACCCTCCTACTCAGCTCACAATATACCTTGACAGCAAAATCTCCTTACTGGCCTCCTTTATTTTTTTTATTTATTTTTTTTGAGATGGAGTCTTGCTCTGTCACCCAGGCTGGAGTGTAGTGGCACAATCTCGGCTCACTGCAACCTCCACCTCCCAGGTTCAAGTGATTCTCCTGCCTCAGCCTCCCAAGTAGCTAGGACTACAGGCATGTGCCACCACGCCCAGCTAATTTTTGTATTTTTGTAGAGACAGGGTTTTGGTATGTTGGCCAGGCTGGTCTCAAACTCCTGGCCTCAAATGATCCTCCCACTTTGGCCTCCCAAAGCGCTGGGATTACAGGCATGAGCCATCATGCCTGGCCCACAACTGAGATTCTTAATTTCCCTCCCTAAGCTGAACTTGGTACAGAATAAGGTTCGCACTCAGATTTTGCAATACATCTCTGGAGAGTTTATGTTAGGAAGGCCAAGTGGGGCACACCTGGATTTCAGGATTGATTAGCCGCCCTCTCTGTGAGAACAAAGGGTGATCTGACACCCAGTCTCCCTCCTGGTGCACTGAGTCTGACCCCCAGGAGAAAGGGTTTGAGATTCATGCCGGAAATGATCCAACTATTAACAGAGGGAGGAAATGAGTATACTTCTGATGTGCTGTACAATGTTCAATACTGATTTTTGATTCAACAAGACTGATTAAAATGATCTATTCCAATCAGTTGCCAAACGTACCTGATCTCGAATGCCTGACCTCAGTTGATCCTCCCTCCTCAGCCTCCCAAACTGCTGGGATTACAGGCGTAAGCCATCGCACTTGGCCTGCTGGCCTCCTTTAAATCTGAAAAAAATCTAAGGCAGGCTCAGGGGACTTTTATAGAATCAACATTTCTGGTGTAGTGCTTGGGACAAAACCCTTTTGGATTCTGTTCTTGATCTTTCGTGAGACTTCAGCAGCCAGTTTAGGGGAAGTGGCCCATGAAGGGAGCCTGTGGTGTTAGTGGCTTTCCCTGCCTGTGCTCTGATGTGATCTGTATGTAACTTTAGATGGTCCCTCAGCCTTATAGGGCTTCATGTTCGCCACCTGTGAAATGAGGGATTCGGACAAGAGAGTCTCTGCAATAATTTCTGGCTCTGTGATTTGATTCCAAATGTTTTGTATCACTTTGAATCCATGGATGGATTTGTTGAGTGTCTACTATGCGCTTAGCTCCACGCTGGATTCTACAATGCATTCTAGTCCACAGATATTGATTGACAGGCATTAGGCTAGGTGCTGTGAATCCAAAGAGATAAAATAGGGTCCCTTCCCTCTAAAAGTACACTGTCCTATTTGAAAGAGTTAAAGAAAAAGGAAGACAAAAAAGAAGAAAGAGGAGGAAGAGAAGAAAGGAGGAGAAGGAAGAAAAAGAAGAGGAAGGGGGCTGGGCAAGGTGGCTCACGCCTGTAATCCCAGCACTTTGGGAGGCCGAGGTGTGCAGATCACTTGAGATCAGGAGTTCAAGACCAGCCTGGCCAACATAGTGAAACCGTCTCTATTACAAACAAAAATTAGCCTGGTGTGGTGGTGCATGCCTGTAATCCCAGCTACTCAGGAGGCTGAGGCAGGAGAATCACTTGAACCCGGGAGGTGGAGGTTGCAGTGAGCCGAGATAGCACCACTGCACTCCAGCCTGGGTGACAGAGTGAGACTCCATCTCAAAGAAAAAAGAGGAAGAGGAAGAAGACGACGTGGAGATCAGAACTTCTACTTCTAGGTGGAATAGAATAGCTGGTGACAAAACATAGTCCTGCCTGGAACAACTAGAAATCCAGATAAGATATGGAAACCATCTGTTTGAAGGCAGCAGAGATCTGTCTAGCTAAGGAGAACGAGACAGGTCAGGACAAGAAGAGAGAAGAATAATGGAGTTGAAGAGCTGAACAGGCTTTTGCAAATGCTACTTCCTGAGTGCTTGCACTTTTGCATGGGCCGAGGGTGTAACCCTGTGCAAAACCCATACCATGTTATTCTGCCCTGGCTTCCACAGCACAGCACAGCAGGCTGGATGGCTTAAGCAACAGAAATGTATTTTCTCAATTCTGGAGGCTGGAAGTCCAAGATCCAGGTTTCAGCAGGGTTTGTTATGAGATGACCAATGGCTTGTAGATAACCATCCTCTCCCTGTGACCTTATATGGTCTCCCTTCTGTGTGTGTCTGTGTCCTAATCTCCTCTTCTTCTTCTTCTTCTTCTTTTTTTTTTTTTTTTTGAGACAGAGTCTTGCTCTGTTGCCCAGGCAGGAGTACAGTGATGCAATCTCAGCTCACTGCAACTTCCATCTCCCGGGTTCAAGCAATTCTCCTGCCTCAGCCTCCCAAGTAGCTGAAATTACAGGCATTCACCACTGTGCCTGGCTAATGTTTGTATTTTTAGTAGAGATGGGGTTTCACCACGTTGACCAGGCTGGTCTCAAACTCCTGACCTCAAATGGTCCACCCGCTTTGGCCTCCCAAAGTGCTGGGATTACAGGCGTGAGCCACTGCCCTTGGCCCCCTAATCTCCTCTTCTTATAAGGGCACCAGTCATATTGGATTAGGGCCCACTCTAATGACCTCAGTTTAACTTAATTAATTATCTCTTTACAGGTCCTATCTTCAAATACCGTCCTATTATAAGGTACCAGTGGTTAGGACTTCAACATATGAGTTTTGGTAGACCCCATTCAGCCCATAACACACACAGAGTCTAGCAGAGAACCCTTTTTTGGGGGGTGGGAAAGGGGTGGACCGAGGTAGCTGAGCTTTGAAAAGGAATTGGGGGCCTCAAATACTCATCCAGTTTTCGTCTCAGGAAATTTACCAAATATTGGGACTTTGCAGGGTGGGAGACTAAAATCCCAAGCAGAAAGCCTCTGAAAATCACATTGGAGTTTTTGGCAGACTTGGGAGACAAAGATTAGTTTGGCACCAGCTGAGAGTTGGGGTCTGTCTTAGTCTGCTTGGGCTACTTACTGACTGGGTGGCTTAAACAACAGGAATATATTTTCTCACAGTTCTGAAGGCTGGAAGTTCAAGATCAAGGTGATGGCAGGGTTGATTTCTGGTGAAGTCTCTCTCTTCGGCTAGCAGAGGGCCATCTTCTCTCTGTATCCTCATGTGGCCTTTTCTCTGTGCATGCATCCTTCTGGTATCTTCTAGGAGGTCTTCTTCTCATCTTCCCAATTGTTCAACCAACAATGGCCTCCCGCCTCTTCACATATTCTGCCTTAGCTACTGTGCCCACTTCTCTCTAATTGGTCACATAATTGGTGCCAAATGAGCTCACCTCAGCTCTGCTCAGTACTGGCCAGTGCTTTGAGGATTGTTTTAACCACCTTCTGGCTCTCCTTGGATCCTGGATCCAGATGGTCTTGGCTTGGATCTCTAGACAGTGCCCTGGTCCAACTCTGTTGGTCTCTGTAGTGGGGTTAGCTTCTTATCTAGGGCCTGATGGGCATCTGAAGGTAAGATTTTCACAGCTTCTTATGAGGACACCAGTCCTATTGGGTGAGGGCCCCACTCTTATGGCCTCATTTTTTTTTTTTCTTTTGAGACAGAGTGTCATTCTGTTACCCAGGCTGGAGTGCAGTGGCACCATCTCAGCTCACTGCAAACTCCGCCTCCTGGGTTCAAGTGATTCTCCTGCCTCAGCCTCTCGAGTAGCTGGGATTACAGGGGCCTGCCATCACTCCTGGCTAATTTTTATGTTTTTTTGGTAGCGACGGGGTTTTGCCATGTTGGCCAGGCAGGTCTTGAACTCCTGATCTCAAGTGATCCTCCTGCCTCGGCCTCCCAAAGTGGTGGGATTACAGGCATGAGCCACCATGCCCAGCCTCATTTAACCTTAATCCCCTCCTTCCAAGGCCCTGTCTCCAAATGTAGTTGCACGAGGGGTTAGGGCTTCAATATATGAATTGGGAGGGGGCTACAATGCTGTCTGTAATAGGTCCCCACAGAATAAACCAGTCTCTTATTAGAGAACTCAGTGTTGAGCTACAAACACACAGAATGTTACCAGGGCTGCAACCCATCCTTGCACGATGCAATGGAGATGTTCAGCTAGCGGGGATAAGGATGTTCAGGAGGCATGTATGATGAGTGACAGGCCCAAACTTCTTTGGGGAGTGCCTGTTTACTTGGAGCATTTTGCAGGAGAAATCTTCCAGGTTGCACTTTTCATAATAATAGGGCTAAGACATTTCTGCACAATTTTCCAGAACCTCTCCTACCACTTCAGGCTCATTGTGGGCACTTAACCCATGTACATGTCCTTTGTTCCAAGCAGATCTTGGCTATTCACAGGGAGGGGATGCCTTCTCATCTTTCCACCTTGTGAACTCCAGCTCACAACTCATTTGCTCACGACTCATCCAGCCCCAACTCAATTACCATCACTTCTCTGTAGAATTTTCTGGTACTCCAACCTTAATTTATTTACTTTTTCCTGTACTTACCCCTTACCTTTTGTACTTTTCTTTTCCCTCCCTTTCCCTCCTCCTTCCCTTTCCTTTCCCTTCCCTCTCCCTTCCCTCCCCTCCCCTTTCTTCTCCCTCCACTTCCCTCCCTTCCCCTCCCCTCCCCTCCCTTCCCTTCCCCTTCCCTCCCCTCCATTCCTTTCCCCTCCCCTCCCTCTCCTCCCTTCCCTTCCTCTTCCCTCCCCTACCTTCCTTTCCCCTCCCCTCCATTCCCCTCCCCTCCTTTACCCTCCCCTCCCTTCTCCTCCCCTCCTCTCCTTTCCTTTCCTTTTAGTAGGGATAGGTTCTTGCTCATTTGCCCATGCTAGAGTACAGTGGCGCCATCATAGCTCACTGCAGCCACGAACTTCTGGGCTCAAGTGATCCTCCCACCTAAGCCTCCCGAAGCACTGGGATTAGAGGTGTGAGCCACCGTACCCAGCCTATATGTGGTATTTTTTTGTCTCCAGACTGCATGACTTCATTTTATCTCGATTACTTCTGTAAAATCCTACCTCAAAATAAGGTCATATATTCATAGGTACTGGGAGCTCGTCATCAGTAACAGAGATCCAGCTGAAGCATTTATTTGTAGAGAAAACAGGATAACCATCATTTTGCTCACAACTCATGAGGGATAGGACAAAAGGGACATGCCTTTGTTTTTTTTTTTTTTTTTTTTTTTTTTGCAAGGCAGAGAAGTGAATAAAGGAGTACAGAAAACTTAGAGTCAATTTTCTTGGCATTGCCCCATAATACCATCCAAGCAGTATTTCCTTCTGAGCACACTCCAGGTTTGGTAGCATTTTTCATGAAGCCCAGACATCATGATTTAAATTTTCTTAACATCCTGATATGGCCTCATCTGTGCTTCCTTCATTCCTTGCTTTATGGTATCAACTCGACTGTAGATCTCACTGGTCACTTAGGAATAAACAAACCTTCACCTAATCCCTTCAGCTCAGGGGGTTCATTTTCAAATTTGGTGGGAGTTGGGATCTCAATAAAACAGTTCATTTTCAAATTTGGTGGGAGTTGGGATCTCAATACAACAGTTTTTTTGGGGGGGCACAATTCAAACATCAATATTCCCTCACCTCTTGACACATTCTGCTTTAGCTCTTGTGCCCACTTTCCTGTCATTAGTCACATAATTGGTGCCAAACAAGCTCACCTCCTTGTCTTTGCTCATCTCTGGCCGATGCTTTGAGGATGGTTTTAACCACCTTCTGGTTTCCCTTGGATACTGGATCCAGATGGTCTACGCATGGTTCTGTAGATAGTCCCCTGGTCCAACTTTGTTGGTCCCTGTAGTAAGGCTGGCTTCTTATCTAGGGCCTGAAGGGAGTCCTAAATGTGAGATTTTCAAACTACTTATTAGCACCTGCAATGTTTCATGCATCCGGTCCAAGCACGCAGCTTCATCTCAGTTGTTGCATAAAATTGTTCTTCCCTGCAACTGAGGGTGCATATCATTTCTACTCTCTCTGGAGTCAAATGTTGAGAAGTGCAGGCATGGTGGGGTGGGGTGGGGTGCAATCTACCAGGTATAGGAAGACCAATGCCCAGAAATGTCAACTATGGGGACAACATACAAGGGATGACGACTTTTTCTCAATCACACAGTGCTGGAAGTGGACAAATGAAAGATATGATAACTTTTGAAACATTATCCCCCCAAAACTTGTTTACTTTTAAAAACTAGTATATACCTTCTCATTTTTTCAATTATGCTTCCGTAATCTCTAGCATTCAGGAAGGTATTTGAAACACTTAATCTTGAAAAAATTAGGATCTACTTCTTTTTTTGTTTTGTGAGATGGAGTCTCACTCTGTTGCCCAGGCTGGAGTTCAGTGGCATGATCTATGCTCACTGCAACCTCTGCCTCCCAGGTTCAAGCGATTCTCCTGCCTCAGCCTCCGGAGTAACTGGGATTACAGGCGCCCGTCAGCAAGCCTGGCTAATTTTTGTATTTTTAGTTGAGTGGGGTTTTACCATGTTGGCCAGGCTGGTTTCAAACTCCTGACCTCAAGTGATCCACCCACCTCAGCCTCCCAAGGATCTACTGCAACCAGGAGTTGATCATTATGCTCTTGGTTTCTGGATTGCTTTTTTAGAGTTGGGGGTTTCAGCCTGGGGTTTCTGTCCCCCAGGCTGGAGCATAGTGGCACAGTCATAGCTCATTTCAGCCTGGAACTCCTGGGCTACAGTGATCCTCCTGCCTTAGCCTCCCAAGTAGCTGGGACTACAGGCACGCACCACTATACCCAGCTAAATTTTAATAATTTTTTTTGCAGAGTTGGGGTCTTACTATGTTCCCCAGGCTGGGCCCAAACTCCTGGCCTCAAGCCATCTCCTGCCTCTGCCTCCCGAAGTGCTGGGACTACAGCATGGGCCACGGCTCCCAGCGCGGTTTCTGTTTTTAAAGGCTGAGAGTGACTGCTTAAGGAGGCAGGTGGGAACTGTGGGGGATGGGGTTGGAGCCAAGAAGAAGGACTTTGGGGCTTTTTAAAAGCCAGTGTCTATTTTCAGAAGGGAACAAAACACTCACCAAAAAAGCATGTGTCATCCGGCTGATTCTACACAACATCCTGGGTGAGTCAAACATGTTCCAGCATCTCTGCTAAACACCATTTCAGAAGAGGGGCACATCTGAGGGGCTGACGGATGCATCCTCTCTGTCGGTACAGCCTAGACAAGCCTAGACAATCTTAGTAACTTTTTATTTTTTTAAGTCACAAAGAGAAGTCACAAAGTTGGTTAGGACTTCTTTCCTGCATATCCTTTTTTTTTTTTTTTTTTTTTTTTTGAGATGGAGTCTCACTCTGTCACCCAGCCTGGAGTTCAGTGGTGTAATCTTGGCCCACTGCAGCTTCCACCTCCCGGGTTCAAGCGATTCTTCGGCCTCAGCCTCCCGAGTAGCTGGGACTACAGGAGCCCACCACCATGCCCAACTGATTTTTTTTTTTTTTTTTTTTTTAGTAGAGACAGGGTTTCACCATGTTGGCCAAGCTGGTCTTGAACTCCTAACCTCAAGTGATGTGCCTGCCTTGGCCTCCCAAAGTGCTGGGGTTACAGGTGTGAGCCACTGCATACCTAAGTGGGTCAAAAGATGTCAAATTTTCATCCTGTCTAGAGACAAGTGCCCATATTCCTATGCCCAGGAATAGGACATAAATGCAGAATTTGAGAGCTCAGTAAACCAAGAGGAGAGACACAATGTAGACAAGACGCAGATGAGTCCAGCTTTTGGCAAAGGATACAGCTGGATGCTTTGCTCACTGGACGCTGACTGCGTGGTGGAGGAGACAAGAGACTGGAGACCTTTGTGGCTCACTTGCTTCTGACGTGAGAAGCCTGTCGTCATTAAGAGAGATCCAGCTGAAGCATCTATTTGTAGAGAAAACAGGGTAGCCATTATTTTGCTCACAATTCATCAGGGGTAGGACAAAAGGACATGGCATTTTTGTTTTTTTTTTTCAAGACAGAGAAACAAATAAAGAACTACCAAAAAATTAGAGTCAATTTCCCTGGCATTGCCCCACGACACCAGCCAAGCAGTATTTCATTCTCTTAAGCACCCTCCAGGTTTGGTAGCAACTTTTCCTGAAGCCCAGAAATCATGATTTAAATTTCCTTAACATCCTGATAAGGCCTCACCTGTGCTTCCTTTATTCCTCACTTGATGGTATTAACTTGGCTGTAGACCTCACTGGCCTGTAGGGATAAACAGACCTTTACCTGATACCTTTAGATCAGGGGGTTCATTTTCAAATTTGGCTTCCATCTGGGTAAGGCTTTCATCGCTAACCCTTGGACTGCAGCTTTCAAAAACTCTCAGGGGTTCACTGCTGCCCAGACCTGGGATGGGGCTTCATGTATGCAGCCCCCATGGGAAGGCTCCACCCCATTCCACCCCACCCCACCCAGTCTGTCCTGCCTGGCCTTAGAAAGATGTGAACACCGGCTGGGGGCAATGGCTCACACCTGTAATCCTAGCACTTTGGGAGGTCAAGGCGGGTGGATCACCTGAGGTCAGGAGTTTGAGACCAGCCTGACCAACATGGGGAAACCCCATCTCTACTAAATACCAAAAAAATTAGCCAGGTGTGGTGGCATATGCCTGCAATCCCAGCTACTTTGGAGGCTGAGGCAGGAGAATGGCTCGAACCTGAGAGGCAGAGGTTGCAGTGAGCAGAGATTGAGCCATTGCACTCCAGCCTGGGCAACAAGAGTGAAACTCTGTCTCAAAAAAACAAACAAACAAACAAACAAACAAACAAAAAAAACAAGGAAGATGTGAATACTGAAGACAGCAGAGAGAAGAGATGGAAGGGACCTGCGTTCTTCATTACATTATTAAGCCACTGGTCATACCTTTAAATTTACTTTTGACTGTGATAATGCATTTCCTCATTTATGTGTATATGTATATTTTTTGAGGCTGAGTCTTGCTCTGTCACCCAGACTGGAGTACAGTAGTGTGATCATAGCTGACTGCAGCCTCAAACTCCTGGGTTCAAGTGATCCTCCCATCTCAGCCTCCTGAGTAGCTGGGACTACAGGCATGCACGACCATGTCCAGCTAATATTTTATTTTATTTTATTTTTGTAGCGATGGGGTCTTGCTGTGTTGCCTGGGCTGGTCTTGAATTCCTGGCCTCAAGCCCTCTGCCTGCCTTGGCCTCCCAAAGTGCTGGGATTACAGGCACGAGCCATGGCACCCAGCCAATTTCCTTGTTGTTTAAGGCAGCTTGAGTCAGCCTTATCTGTTATGTTCTGCCAAAGACATCATAACTGATTCACAGAGATGAGGGGTGGATCATGCAAATATATACATGCTGGTTTATCAGCTCTTACGGCCCCACTACCCATCTGACAGTGTGCTGCCCTTTGCAGACCTGTTTGGGAAGGTCCTGTGGAGGGCAGGGAAGACAAAAGGGGAGGGGAAGTTCAGGGATATCAGCCTTACAGCTTCTCTTCTTGGAGACTTGTCAGTGAGGTCCTAGTCCAGTAATCTAGGACATGCTAGTTAGAAGACACACTCACAGCACATTGGGATGAGCAGAAGAAGACAATAATGAAGCAAGGGAAATGTGAACTGCATTTTGCCACAATCAGATCACCTTATCATCATCTTTAAGACCTTGTCCCCTACCTGAGCATTCATTTACTCCAGGTAAAGGCAGGGTCTCCTCTTTCTCTCATATCCCACGTACCTTTTTCTCTAGCTGCTATGGTTTGGCTGTGTCCCCACCCACATCTCACCTTGAATTGTAATGATTGCCATATGTCAAGGATGGGGCCAGGTGGAGATAATTAAATCATGGGAGTGGTTTCCCCCATACTGTTCTCGTGATAGTGAATAAGTCTCATGAGATCTGATGGTTTTATCAATGGGAGTTCCCCTGCACACACTCTCTTGCCTGCTGCCATGTAAGATGTGCCTTTGCTTCTCCTTTGCTTTCCACCATGATTGTGAGGCCTCCCCAGCCAGGCAGAACTGTGAGCCCATTAAACCTCTTTCCTTTATGAATTACCCAGTCTCGGGTATGCTTTTATTAGCAGTGTGAGAACAGACTAATACACTAGCATAATAACCATCCATCATCCTTGTTGACTACAAAATAAAATAAAAAACATTGACTTGGAATTATGCACTTTGCAGGCACCTATATGTATTGATTGTAATCTTTTTTTTTCTTTTTTTGAGATGGAGTCTTGCTCGGTCTCCAGGCTGGAGTGCAGTGGAGTGATCTCGGCTCACTGCAACCTCCACCTTCCAGGTTCAAGTGATTCTCCTGCCTCAGCCTCCCGAGTAGCTGGGACTACAGGCATGCACCACCAGGCCCAGTTGATTTTTGTATTTTTAGTAGAGACGGGGTTTCACCATGTTGGCCAGGATGGTCTCAATCTCTTGACCTAGTGATCCGCCTGCCTTGGCCTCCTAAAGTGCTGGGATTACAGGCGTGAGCCACTGTGCCCAGCAGATGGTAGTCCTTTCTAAACCACCTTACAGTTGTGACCCTAGAACTGGGAGAAACTGCTTTTCCCCTTGCCTTTAGCTGTCTACCCACCTTGGAGATGCTCACTGTTGATGTTTGAGATTGAAGAAAAGGTTTCTTGATTGTGTCTCATTGTTTCTTGAAAAGAAGACTCATAAGTCTTCTTTTGAGCTAGAGCCACGCTTTGCGCCTCCTTTTTGTCCTTGTCCACAGGTCTCAGTCTTAGTGGTCGCTGTACTGTTCACTCCCAGAGCTTCCTTTTCCTCCATGTCTGGTGAAAAGGAAGCTCCTAAGCTCCCCACATCCTTGACGTCACTGAAGACAGAATAAAAGCCCTTCTGTTAATGTCAATGTTTTAAGACTGATTATCATGGAAAAACACTCAAGAATTACAAAAGTAACTTTACAAGGAGATTTTACAATGCTGACAAAATTCTTACAACAGAGTTCCTGGGTTTACAGTTTATGACTGTGGAGCGGAGCCCATATGAGACTTTACGTGGGGCACCACTGGGCTTTTCCTTCCACCTTCTGGGAAATGCCAGTTAGATCTATGCTTCCAGCAGAGTCACTTTTTCTTTCTAAAAGGGCACTCAAGGCTGAACAACATTGAATTTGTTACTTTTCAAAGGGTATAAAATGTGCATCTCCATTGCTTGCCATATTTGATAGTCCACAGCTCACTAGACCTGCTCTTTGCAGGATATTTTAGCCTATGGCGTTGTTCCATTGAACACAAAATTTGGCAGGATGTTCTTTTTATGGGCATATGTGCTACACTAACAAAACAAAACAAGCTAGCAAAGAACCATATGGAGGGATAGTGTATTAATTTCCTGTGGCTGCTGTTATTAAAGAAAAAAGTTGCTCTGATACTTGTGAAAATGGGAAGGAAGACTTTATTCAAGACTATTGCAGTAGGGATTAGGCATATCTCTGAATACAACAAAGAGAGGTGGGGATTTTGAGCCAAGGAGCAGAGTGACAGTGTTCGTGGTTGGAAAACTACTAAGAGGATTCACAAGGGTAGGGGATTTTTGTTAAACTGACTGACAGGATTTGTGTTTTAGTAGAGATGGGGTTTCACCATGTTGGCCACGATGGCCTCTATCTCTTGACCTCATGATCTGCCTGCCTCGGCCTCCCAAAGTGCTGGGATTACAGGAGTGAGCCATCACACCGGACCGATTGTAGTCCTTTTAAAACCACCTTACAGCTGTGACCCTAGAACTGGAAGACAGTGCTTTTCCCCTTGGCTTTAGCTGTCTACCCACCTTGGAGATGCTCATTATTGATGAGGACTCACATGTCAAAGGTGGAGGATGGGCAACTTGATGAGATATGAAGGGTGATTAGATATAAAGGGTGGGGAGATTCCTGTTAACCTGACTTAGCAGCATTCTTTTTACAGTACATAGCCAGACAGACATGAGCAGGGCAGAAGAGGGCACCCCTGACCCCAACCAGGAATGTCAGGTGACCACCAGGTAATGGGCAGGTAGTTGTTAAGCTGTCTCTCTAAAATAATTAGTGGTCATAGCCAGTGCCAGAGAAAGGCAGTGCTCCTTGGCTACAAATCCCCACTTGTCCTTATTGTATTCAAAGATGAGCCTGATCCCTATTGCAATAGTCTTGAATAAAGGAAGTATCAGAGTAATTTTTTCCTTAATAACAGCAGCCACAAGAAATTAATACTCTACCCTTCCACATGGTTTTTTGTTTGCTTGTTTTGTTTTGTTAGTGTGGCACATATGCCCATAAAATGAACATCCTGCCAAAATTAGTGTTCAATGGAAAAATGCCAAAGCTAAAATACCCTGCAAAGAGCAGGTCTAGTGACCTGTGGACTACCCAATATGGCAGAAAAACCTGAAACTGGTGATCAGCACTTCCCAGTAAGATCTCAGGAATTGGGCAACTTGGCTCAAGCATGTGCACTCAGAGGCAAAATGGCGGAGTTTAACTGGTCTATGGCCATCCTCTAAGACCACCTAAAGTGAGCATGTGTGCAACCCCAGTAAACACACTGTGCATGCTCACCTCCCAAGCGCTAACAGGCAATTGCACATGCACACAGCTCACTCAAAGGAAGGAATCAGGGGAGAAGGGATGCGAGACTCTGGAAGTATGCCAACATATAAAATCCCAAGTCAAAAGGTCCAACTGCACCCTTGTCTTTCAAGTTGTCCGCTTGACCTTCTTCCAAGTGCACTTTTCATCCTTTCATTCCTGTTCTACAGTTTTTTTTTTTTTTTTTTTTTTTTTTTTTTTTTTTTGAGATGGAGTTTCACTCTTGTTGCCCAGGCTGGAGTGCAATGGCATGATCTTGGCTCACTGCAACCTCTGCCTCCCAGGTTCAAGTGATTCTCCTGCCTCAGCCTCCCAAGTAGCTGGGATTACAGGCATACACCACCACGCTTGGGTAATTTTGTATTTTTAGTAGAGACGGGGTTTCTCCAAGTTGGTCAGGCTGGTCTCGGACTCCCGACCTCAGGTGATCTGCCCCCCTCAGCCTCCCAAAGTGCTGGGATCACAGGTGTGAGCCACTGCGCCTGGTCCTAAAGTTTTTAATACACTTTCACTCCTGTTTTAAAACTTGCCTCTGTCTCTCCTTCTGCCTTGTGGCCCCTCAGTCGAATTCTTTCTCCTGAGGAGGCAGGAATTGAGGTTGCTACAGACCCCTGTGGATTCACTGCCGGCAATATACTTGCTAAGACCGGGTGATGACGGCCCTTCAAGGTGAGACAGACATGGAAGCCCAAGGTCAAGGTCAAGGTCAAGTTGAAGGGTAAGACAAGTGTTCAGAGGAGCCTAAATAAAGTCTGGTCAAGCAGAGGGTCTTTATTGGTCCTTTTTCTTCTTAAGATCATTTCTTCTTGGGTCATCTTTTATTCCTTATGGACAAGCTGAATGATCTGTTGGGAACTGGTAGTGGAGGATATTTCCTGGATGGTGTGAACCATCAGTTTTCACATGACAGGGACTTTTTGTTAAGATTCTCCACAGTCATTGTTATTTCTCAGAGCAAAGCATGGAAGATGCAGGAGTTCAGGGTGTTTCCTGAGAAGCCAACACATCAGTAACTCCAGGCACAGAGTTTGTCCATGAATGACCTGTTGTAGTGATTGGTCCTTCAAAGTTTATTTCAAGGCATCCATCTTCAGCTCTTGGATCTTGGGGAAAAGTCAACTACAAGACAACCTAGAGTCCCAGTAAGGATCTGGGCAGTTAGATTTTTTTTTTTTTTTTTTTGACAGAGTCTTGCTCTGTTGCCCAGGTTGGAGTGCAGTGGTGCGATCTTGGCTCACTGCAACCTCTGCCTCCTGGGTTTAAGTGATTATCCTGCCATCAGCCTCCTGAGTAGCTGGGACTACAGGCGTATGCCACCACACCCGACCAATTTTTTGTGTTTTTAGTAGAGAGAGGGTTTCACCACATTAGCCAGGATGGTTTCAATCTTCTGACCTCGTGATCTGCCCGCTTCGGCCTCCGAAAGTGCTGGGATTACAGGCCTGAGCCACCGTGCCCGGCCTCTACACAGTTAGATTTTAATGATCGGTGATGCCAAGTCAGGAGAATGAAAGAAAAAGTGGAAACATTAATTTGGAAACTTGTAGCCAGATATTGAAGGAAACTGGAAGAATTCACAATTTGGTAAGGATGAATGAAATATGCAAGATGGCAGGATATAGTTCTACTTTTAGATAGATGAGAAAACTTCTAATGGACAGTACCAGAACCTGATAACCCACAAAGATGTGCTATAGTTTTCCACTGAAACATAAAACTTCCCTCTACAATTACTCTCTTCCTGCTGGTTTTTTGATCAAAGATAACCAAAGTGAAGTTATCTTGGTTATGAATTCTGGTCTTGTTAGATTTGGTCTGATTATTTACATAAGGGCAGCAAGAATGGTAATTGACCACATAAACTTTTTAAGTTTGCTTTGCTAAAAGTTTTTTCAGCCGGGTATGATGGCTCACTCCTGTAATCCCAGCACTTTGGGAGGCTGAGACCGGTGAATCACGAGGTCAGGAGCTCGAGACCATCCTGGCCAACATGGTGAAACCCTGTCTCTACTAAAAATACAAAAAATTAGCTGAGTGTAATGGCGGCTGCCTATAATCCCAGCTACATGGGAGGCTGAGGCAGGAGAATTGCTTGAACCTGGGAGGTGGAGGTTGCAGTGAGCCGAGATCATGCCACTGTACTCCAGCTCCAGTGACAGAGTGAGACTCTGTCTCAAAAAAAAAAAATTATTTTAAATAAGAAATCTCAGACTAGACTTTTAAAAGCCTTGACACAATGGCTCATGCCTGTAATCCCAGAACTTTGGGAGGCCAAGGCAGGTAGGTCACTTGAGCCTAGGAGATCGAGACCAGTCTGGGGAACATAGTGAGACCCTGTTTCTACAAAACAGTTTAAAAATTAGCTGGGTGTAGTGATGCATATCTGTAATCTCCCAGGACTTTGGGAGGCCAAGGTGGGAGAATTACTTGAGCCCAGGAGTTTAAGACCAGCTTGGGCCACATAGTGAGACCCCATCTCTACAAAAAAAAGAAAAAAATTAGCTGGGCGTAGTGGCATACACCTTTAGTCCCTGCTACCTGGGAGGCTGAGGTAGGAGAATCACTTGAGCCCAGAAGTTTGAGGCTGCAGTGAGCCATGATTGTGCCATTCCACTCCAGCCTGTGCAACAGTGTAAGACCCTGTCTCTCAATAAATAAATAAATACACAAATAAAAATAAAAGCCCCTTGGCCGTAGGAAGCCAAGCCAAGAATTGACCACCAGACTTCTTCTGCAGTACCTATAAATCTGGGTAGATTCTTCTCTTTGTCAGGTTCCCCAAATATCCTAAGTTCCCTGGGCCTGCCAGGAGGTGATCTTCATTACTCACCTACAGGGCAAGGTTGGGAATCCTGTAAGCCAAGTACCAGGCTTGTTTTCCTAAGAGGGCTTTGTAAAGTTTGGCTTTATAAAGTCAATTTTCATTCCTTAAAATGGTCTGATCGTGTCTGATGCCATGCACAGCATTCTCAAATATAATAGTCCAGTCAAAGTCTTGGTTATATAACCAATGTTTCCATTTTTGCTTATACAAGGACAGATTCTTATTGAACTCATGTAAACAATTATATTGCCAATAAAATAAGATGATTCAGTAAGAGTTTCTGAATTTTGGAAGGATCACACAGGGAGAAAATTGTTTCATTTATCTGTCTCAAAAGTATAATCTACTACGTTTTTGTGTGTTTTAGAGGGCTTTAAGAGAAAAGAAAAAGAATTTTCAATATATACACATATTAAACAACTAGCCATGTTCCAACCAAAAGCTATTAAAAAATCATCATCATTAGCCGGGCGTGGTGGTGTGCACCTGTAGTCCCAGATACTCAGGAGGCTGAGGCAGGAGAACTGCTTGAACCCGGGAGATGGAGGTTGCAGTGAGCTGAGGTCGCAACACTGCACTCTAGCCTAGGTGACAGAGCGAGACCTTGTCTCAAAAAAAAAGAAAAAAATGTCATCATTCTTCATCAGTTCTTTTAGTTCCATATAATTAATTTTTTTTCTGCCTGATCTAGGTTAGCCATTTTATGAACTCATTAGCTTCTCAACTAGAGTTCTAGAAATTCTTAGTCCAATGGTATTGTCTCAAAGTTGTTTAAACAAAGCCATAAAAAGCCAGAGTACCTTATATAGCCCTTTCCACAGGTCTCTGAGAAAGTCACTTTTTGTTGAAGAGGAGGTACTCTGGCCTGTAGTTGATTTAAAATGCTTTTGGTGAAGAATCAGAGCTAAAAAAAAAAAAATAACAAAAGACTTAACATGGCCACTGTTAAAGATCTGGTAAGGGTTCATTATAAAAATGATACAGGGCCGGGCATGGTGGCTCATGCCTGTAATCCCAGCACTTTGGGAGGCCGAGGCGGGCGGATCACGAGGTCAGGAGATCGAGACCATCCTGGCTAACACGGTGAAACCCTGTCTCTACTAAAAATATAAAAAATTATCTGGGTGTGGTGGTGGGCGGCTGTAGTCCCAGCTACTTGGGTGGCTGAGCAGGAGAATGGTGTGAACCCGGGAGGTGGAGCTTGCAGTGAGCCGAGATAGCACCACTGCACTCCAGCCTGGGCGACAGAGGGAGACTCTGTCTCAAAAAAAAAAAAAAAAAAAAAAGATACAGAAAGACAAAGAAATTTGGTTGTTTCTGTGACATGCAGTGTTTTAAAATAATAGCAGGATTCATGACTGATAACATTATATTGTTGCATAATATCAGGCAAAGTGGCATTAGGACATATGGAAAATGAAGGCATTGACAAATTTCTACAGTTCTGAAATACTGATACTAATAATATTTACACACATAAATATAACACAGGGAAGATTAAATGTCTCTTTTTTTTTTTTTTTTTTTGAGACAAAGTCTCGCTCTTGTTGCCCATGCTGGAGTGCAATGGGGCGATCTCGGCTCACTGCAAACTTTGCCTCCCGGATTCAAGCGATTCTTCTGCCACAGCCTCCCGAGTAGCTGGGATTATAAGCATGTGCCACCCTGAACGGCTAATTTTGTATTTTTAGTAGAGACAGGGTTTCTCTATGTTGGTCAGGCTGGTCTTGAACTCCCGACCTCAGGTGATCTGCCGGCCTTGGCCTCCCAAAGTGCTGGGATGACAGGCGTGAGCCACCGTGCCCAGCCTAATGTCTCTTCTTAATTGACAATGCTGTTCATGCAATGGAGCAACCAAATGAACCAAATTAATTTTTAGCACTTATCTTTTTACAAGAACTAAAAAAAAAAGGAACAACAACAAAAAAACCCTTTGAGATTTTCCAGGGTCTTCCAGAAAATCTCAAAGTCAGTTCATAATCAAGAATACTTCATTCAGGAGTTGATTTGGGCTGGGTGTGGTGGCTCACACCAGTAATCCTAGCACTTTTGGAGGCTGAAGTGAGTGGATCACCTGAGGTCAGGAGTTCAAGACCAGCCTGGCCAACAAGGTGAAACTCTGTCTCTACTAAAAATACAAAAATTAACCTGGTGTGGTGGCGTGCCTATAATCCCAGCTACTCAGGAGGCTGAGGCAGGAGAATTGCTTGAACTAGAGAGGCGGAGGTTGCAGAGAGCCAAGATCATGCCACTGCACTCCAGCCTGGGTGACAGAGGGAGACGCTGTCAAAAAAAAAAAAAAAAAAAAAAAAAAAGGAGTTTAGTTGGGGAAAGCAAAATTGATAAAAATGTCAAAAAGTTTGAACAATTGACTAAATAGGGTTGTAGGTCACCGTAAAGCAGTCCTTAGCCACCTATTTAACCAAAGTAACAATAAAAGATTTCAAAAGTAACTACAGGAGGTAGCATGGTTGTGAAAAATCTTAGCTCATTTTTTATAGGTGTGAGCCACGCACCAGGGGAAAAAATCATAGCTCTTTTTTTACAGGCATGAGCCACCACGCCAGGGGAAAAATCTTAGCTCTTTTTTTATAGGCGTGAGCCACCACGCCAGGGGAAAAATTTTAGCTCTTTTAAAAGTGAAAAGACAAAATTCTCTTAAGAACATGGTAAACTTAACATAAAGCACAGAAAATTATTTTGGTAAGACAGAATCTTTATTCTGAATTCTGGATGTTAAGAATCCATCTAGGTGAATTAATCAAAAGGTAAAGAAAAACTCAGAATTTGTTATTAACAGCAGACCAATGGTCGAAGAAAATGGTGTCATTTTAACCAAGAGAAAATTGAAATCTTGTATTGTGTCAGTATTGATATTAAAGCTGATTTCTTCTTTTTTTTGAGATGGAGTTTCGCTCTTGTTGCCCAGGCTGGAGAACAATGGCGTGATCTCAGCTCACTTCAATATCAGCCTCCCCAGTTCAAGCAATTCTCCTGCCTCAGCCTCCCGAGTAGTTGGGATTACAGGCTCACGCCACCACACCTGGCTAATTTTGTATTTTTAGTAGAGAAGGGGTTTCGCCATGTTGGTCAGGCTGGTCTGGAACTCTCGACCTCAGATGACCCACCCACCTTGGCCTCCCAAAGTGCTGGGATTATATGCGTGAGCCACTGTGCCCTAAAGCTGATTTCTTAAAAAAAAAAAAAAAAAAGTAATAAATTCATCCAGTCTTGGCCAGCTTTGACCACACGAGATAAGATTCTCTTTACAAGATTTTATGCACATCTTCTACAACTTTGTATATCCTTAAGGTTGAAAGTTAGCAAAAGATTTGGAAACTATTTTTAGGCAGATATGTTAAAATATAATTATTATGGAAAAGTCCATACCTAAAACTTTTATTCCACTTATATCACCCTAATACACATAACACAGAAGACAAATTTGTTTTACTAAACTAATGATGTTAAACCAGTCTTATTTATCAAAGATCTATCTAAATTACATGAACTTGAAAATAATTTGGGTCAGTTTCTCTATATCTAAGAGTTTTAGAAATGTTTAATGTATGTTAGTACTTATTTAGCTCTAATTCAATATAACAGGTGTCCTTGTGAAAATAAGCTGACTGGGTGAGGTGGCTCATGCCTGTAATCCCAGGAATTTGGGAGGCTGAGTCAGGAGGATCGCTTGAGGCCAGGAGTTCGAGGCCAGCCTGGACAGCATAGTGAGACCCCCCACCTCTACTAAAAATTTCTTAAAAATAAAAATCTGACATGAAGACACAGGGAGAAGCCAGTCATATGTCTGGAATGATGCAAGCAAAGAATGATAATGATTGCTGGAAAACACCAGAATCTAGAAGGAGGCAAGAAAATATGTTTTCCCTAGAACCATCAGAGGGAGTACTGCCCTGGCAATTTTTTTTTTTTCCTTTTTGAGACGGAGTCTTGCTCTGTCACCCAGGCTGGAGTGCAATGGCACGATCTCAGCTCACTGCAACTTCCACCTCCCGGGTTCAAGCATTTCTCATGCCTCAGCCTCCCGGGTAGCTGGGACTACAGGTGCCTGCCAACCCACCCAGCTACATTTTGTATTTTTAGTAGAGATGGGGTTTCACCATGTTGGCCAGGCTGGTCTTCTTGAACTCCTGACCTCAAGCGATTTGCCTGCCTCGGCCTCCCAAAGTGTTGGGGTTACAGGTGTGAGCCACCACACCTGGCCCCAAAACTTTAATTTTAAACTACCAGCCTCCAGAACTGTGAGACAACACATGTCTGTTGCTTTAAGTCACCTGGTTCATGGTACTTTTTTGTTCCAGCAGCCCTAGAAAACTATTGCAGGTGCCAAGCCAAGGAGAGGAGTGTGGAATCAATGCACAGAGGAGTTGGTGGAGAAGGCTGAGAAGCAGTAACTGAGGCAATTGCCAGAAAACCTGGGTTGATTAATCTCAGAGAAGCCAAGCAAAGGAAATGTGGTAAAAAAACAACGGAGATTGGGAGGCCGAGGTGGGCGGGTCACCTGAGGTAGGGAGTTCGAGACCAGCCTGAACAACATGGAGAAACCCTGACTCTACTAAAAATACAAAATTAGCTGGACTTGGTGGCGCATGCCTGTAATCCCATCTACTCAGGAGGCTGAGGCAGGAAAGTCACTAGAACTAGGGAAGTGGAGGTTGCAGTGAGCCGAGATCCTGCCATTGCACTCCAGCTGGGCAAAAAGCGTGAAACTCTGTTTCAAAAAAAAAAAAAAAAAAAAAAAAAGGAGGGGGCCAGGAATGGTGGCTCATACCTGGGATGCCAGCACTTTGGTAGGCTGAGGAGAGAGGATTGCTTGAGCCTCGGAGTTTGAGACCAGCCTGGGCAACATAGTGAGACCCCCAACTCTACCAAAAAAACACTTTTTTTAAAAAGTAACCAGGCATGGTGGTGCAAACCTGTAGTCCCAGCTACTTGGGAGGCCGAGGCAGGAAAATCACTTGAGCCCAGGAGTTTGAGACTGCAGTGAGCTATGATCATGTCATTGCACTCCAGCCTGAGTGATAAAGTGAGATCCTTTCTATCTTGATTTAAGAAAAAATGCAGAAATTTCTGCAGAAGGGTGAAAGAAGTTAGGAAGAGAAGTTGGAATTTGACAATTACAAGGTCACTAGGTATTTGTGGAAGAGCAATTTTTTTTTTTCTTGAGACAGAGTCTTGCTCTGTTTCCCAGACTGGAGTGCAGTGGTGCCATCTTGGTTCACTGCAACCTCCACCTTGTGGGTTCAAGGGATTCTTGTGCCTCAGCCTCCTGAGTAGCTGGGATCACAGGCATGCGCCACCACATCTGGCTAAGTTTTGTATTTTTAATAGAGGTGGCGTTTCACCATGTTGGCCAGGCTGATCTTGAACTCCTGACCTGAGGAGATCCACCCTTCTCGGCCTCCCAAAGTGCTAGGATTACAGGCGTGAGCTACCGCGCCCGGCCTCTGAGGGAACATGTGGAAGCCAGGTTTGCTTGAGATGGAACCTTAGTGCTAGCCCTTCTTCCTGTAGGCTACATCAGATATTTACCATCTAATTCTTATAAAGTGAAAATGCACATCATGAGTGCAGTTTGCCCGTAAGGACCAAACTGATTTGTATCTTGCTTCTGAACCCTCTTCTTTAATTAAGAATATGAAAATAAAACTTTTCTTACAAGGAAAAAGTAAAGTATTTTATAGCAGCTTAGGGAATTGAACTGTTTATTAAAAAGGAGGATAATGCAAAATAGAGAATAAATGTAACAAAATTACTCTTAACAAAACAAAACTCTGAAATAAACATAAGAAAAAAAAATGTTCCCCTTACTGGTAATCAAAAGAATGCAAAATAAGGTAGTGATATGCTTTTTTCTTCTATTGATTTGGGAAAGATTTTTAAATATACATGGTAATACCCATGATGGCGAGGTATCCATGTGACTGTACAGTCTAATACAATGGTGGGAGTACATATTATCCCAGCTTTTCTGGATGATGATTTGATAGTTATATTTTAAAAGTCTTAAGAATATACATAAATGTTGGTTAGGCATGGGGGCTTATGACTATAATCCTTGCAGTTTTGGAGGCTGGTGGGAGAATCACTTGAGGCTAGGAGTTTGCGACCAGCCTGGGAAACATAGTGAGACCCCATTTCTAAAAAAAAATTTAAAAATTAGTTGGGTGTGGTGATGCATACCTGTAGTCCCAGCTCACAGAACTTCAGCTTGTGTGATAGAAAGATACCTTAACTCGAAATAATAATAATAAATATATCTATGCATAAATGTTGATCCAGAATTGTATTTCTAAGTTTTTTCCTAAGGAAATAATTAAAGCAATATGCAAAAACTTTATTATAAGACTATGCATTACAGCATTATTAATACTACCCAAAAATGAAAACCAATGAATATCCACTAATACAGAACTGATTAAATAAGTTATAATATTACATGGTTAGACAATGTAAAGTCATTAAAATAATGATTTAGGGAACATTTATAGACAATGAAGATATTCACAATATATTAATTTGAAATTTAAAAGTATCAAAATAATTTTTATAGAGGGAACCAATAAAAAAGGTTTGTTTTTTAAATTTTTATTTCTATAATTTTTTTTAGAGACAAGTTCTCTCTCTGTCACCAAGGCTGGAGTGCAGTGGCGTGATGATGGCTCACTGCAGCCTTGACCTCCTGGGCTCAAAGGATCCTCCAACCTTAGCCTCCTGAGTAGCTGGGACTACAGGCATGTGTCACCATGGCCAGCTAATGTTTTTAGTTTTCGTAGAAATGGGGTCTTTTCCTATTGCCCAGGCTGGTCTTGAACTCCTGGACTCAAGCAATCCACCCACCTTGGCCTCTTGAAGTGCTGGGATTACAGGTCTGAGCCACTGTGCGTGGCCTAAAGAAGTTTTAAGTACCTGAAAGAAAATTACATAAAATAATTAAAAGTAGTTAATTTGGTATAGGGGGATAAAGGATGATTTTAAAATTTTGTTTATTTTGCTGCTTTGATGTTTTCTTTTTCCTAAAATGAGGAAGTTTGTATTATTATATACTTGAGATGAATCAATACTGTAAATAAGAATTGAGTCTATTCAAGAATGGGTTTGAGGGAGAAATGTGTAATTCACTGAAATTTGATCAAAAGATGAGCAGGGAGAAATCCTCTTCTTCAGTCACTTCAATGAGAAAGAAATTCATCTACATAAAGAAACTGAGGCCCAGCCAAGGAAGATACTTATTGACGTGGATTTTTAAAAACTCCCTTTTCCAGAAAACAGGGCAACTCCATGAGAAGATCTGAAGATGGCCAATTAAGTGGTTTCATGATGTTGTTGGACAGAATTGAAAATCAAGTACCCAGCTGGGCGCGGTGGCTCATGCCTGTAATCCCAGCACTTTGGGAGGCCGAGGCGGGCGGATCACAAGGTCAGGAGATCAAGACCATCCTGGCTAACACGGTGAAACCCCGTCTCTATTAAAAATACAAAAAAAATTAGCCGGGCCTGGTGGCGGGCACCTGTAGTCCCAGCTACTTGGGAGGCTGAGGCAGGAGAATGGCGTGAACCCAGGAGGTGGAGCTTGCAGTGAGCTGAGATGGTGCACTGCACTCCAGCCTAGGCGACAGAGCGAGACTCCGTCTCAAAAAAAAAAAAAAAAAAAAAAGAAAAAAGAAAATAAAGTGCCCAGCTGGGCATGGTGGCTCACACTTGTAATCCCACCACTTTATGAGGCTGAGATGGGAGGATCAATTGAGGTCAGGAGTTCAAGACCAACATGGCCAACATGGTGAAACCCCGTCTCTACCAAAAATACAAAATTAGCTGGGCGTGATGGTGCATGCGTGTAATCCCAGCTACTAGGGAGGCTGAGGCAGGAGAATCTCTTGAACCCGGGAGGTGGAGGCTGCGGTGAGCCGAGGTCATGCCATTGCACTCCAGCCTGGGCAACAAGAGTGAAACTCCATCTCCAAAAAAAAAAAAAAAAAGAAAAAAGAAAGAAAGAAAGAAAGAAAAGGTGTCCATCATCTGCAGTTAGTCCTATGCCAATGCAACCAGATGACCACTGTGAGTTGGCAAGGTGCTCTGAGCCCTCTTAGCAGAAACTATGAATGAGTGTTGACATGCATTTAGAACTCTCTTACCCAGAGCTGTCATATACACGTGTCCTTGTGTATTCTACATAAGGGCACTGGGATGAGGGGGTGAGTGGAAGCTGAAATCCAAGCTGTGCTCAGCCATCACCTGGAGGAAGAGATACCATTTGCTAATTTGCACAGAGGGACTGCTCTTACTCATAGCTAAGCCACATGCCCACTGGGTTGCATCTTCCTGTGGAGAAGCTCTTTTGTCTAATGCATGCAAAAGCAACAAATGAGATAGTAGTGGCCTTGTCTTTATCCCATGTTGAATCTGTTTTATTTTTGTATTTTTTTTAAAAGTCAGGTTAAAATTTATGTAGAGTGAAATACACAAATATTAAGCTTACAATTTAATGAATTTTGCCATTGTATAAGCAGGTTTAACTAATACTCAAGATATAAGATATAAGGATAGTAACATCACTCCAGCAAATTCCTTTATGTCATCCTTGAAGTCAATTTCCAACCCTCAGAAGCAACCCTTGCTGTGACTCTCATCATCATAGACTAGTTTTGCCAATTCTCAAACCTCCTATACACATACCATCATGCGGAATACAATTTTCTGTCTGCAGCTTCCATTTTTCAACATAATGTTAATATTTCTCTATGTAGTTATATGTAGCAGTCATTTGTTCTTTTTTATTGCTACATAATATATGAATAAGCACAATTTTCATAATAATTTTCCTATTAATGAACATTTGTATTGACTATCCTGGAAGGAAAGGATATATTCCAGGTGGGCAGATACCTGAGGTCAGGAGTTTGAGACCAGTCTGACCAACATGGAGAAACCCCATCTCTACTAAAAATACAAAATTAGCCAGGTGTGGTGGCGCATGCCTGTAATCCCAGCTACTTGGGAGGCTGAGGTGTAGTGGCATGATCTCAGCTCATGCTCGTGAGATTTATATGTAGCAGTCATTTGTTCTTTTTTATTGCTAAATAATATCTGAATAAGCACAATTTTCATAATAATTTTCCTACTAATGAAAATTTGTGTTGACTCTCCTGAAAGGAAAGGGAATTGACAGACCCTACATTTGTTTCTTCTTGCCACAATAACCTGTGTTGTCCTCAATTTTGATTATTATATTTAAAAACCGCTATGAGCATTCTTGTAAAGAGCTTTTAGTGGTCTTATACTTTTATTTCTTTGGGGTAAATATGTAAGAGAGGGATTACTGGGTCTTGGGATATATGCTTTTTTTTTATTGAGATGGAGTCTCTCTTGTCACCCAGGCTGGAGTGCAGTGGTGTGATCTCGGCTCACTGCAAGCTCCGCCTCCTGGGTTCACATCATTCTCCTACCTCAGCCTCCCGAGTAGCTGGGACTACAGGCACCCGCCACCACGCCTGGCTAATTTTTTGTATTTTTAGTAGAGATGGGGTTTCACCATGTTAGCCCGGATGGTCTCGATCTCCTGACCTCGTGATCCGCCTGCCTCGGCCTCCCAAAGTGCTGGGATTACAGGCTTGAGCCACTGCGCCCAGCCTGGATATATGCATTTTTAACTTTACAAAAAAATACCCATTTTCCAAACTGGTTGCACCATTTTACACCCTCATCAGCAGGGTCTAGTTTCTCCACATTCTTGCCAATATTTACTGTTGCTAGTCTCTATAATTTTAGCCATTCTAATGGGTGTATAAATGATATCTTAATGTGGTTTTAAAAAATGTTGAACAGGCCAGGCGTGGTGGCTCGCTCATGCCTGTAAACCCAGCACATTGAGAGGCCAAGACGAGTGGTTCACTTGAGGTCAGGAGTTCGAAACCAGCCTATCCACCATGGTGAAAACCTGTCTCTACTAAAAATACAAAAATTAGTCAGGCATGGTGGCAGGCGCCTGTAATCCCAGCTACCCAGGAGGCTGAGGCACAAGAATCGCTTGAACGCAGGAGGCGAAGATTGCATGAGCTGAGGTCACACCACTGCACTGCAGCCTGGGTGACAGAGCAAGACTGGGTCTCAAAAAACAAAACAAAACAAAACAAAAACAAAAAAACCACAATGTTGAACACTTTTCCCTGAACTTATTGGTCACTAATATCATCTTCTTTTGCGAAATGTCTGCAGACGTTTTTTGCCTATTTTATATTGGGTTGGTTTCCTTTTTGTTATTAAGTTCAAGTTCATGAAGTGGGAAAGTACAATTTGTCCACTACTAGTCACAACAAGGGAGTGGTTATGAAATTCTGTGCAAAGGGAGTGAATAACTGGGGCTAATAATTTAATGTAATTTATTTCGTTATTTTGATATTTCAATATAAACTGGACTTAGTCACTGGAGAATTCCCACATTGGTTTTCTGACCCATGGAGTGGAAATTCTTATGACAGAAAGAAACAAGTGACGATCCTTAGCACTCCCCCTCCTTCCTGGGTAGTAACTCAAAGAAATGTTGTAATCCTGGGGGAAGAGCGGAGATTAATGCCACCCTAAAAGACTTGAAAGCTCCAGGATGATGATTCTAGCACATTCCCATTGAATTCTTCTGTTTGGTCCATGCAGAAGGTAGACAGATCTTGGAGAATGACTGTGGCTTATCACAAATGTAACAAAATGGAAATTCCAATTTAAGATAGTCTTTCAGATATAGTGGCTTTTCTAGAACACATTCATAAATAACCCCTGTACCTGTTATACAGATGTGGATCTACAAAACTTTTTTTTCTATCCTTATCAGTGAAAATTAAAATAAGTTGATTGCTTTCGCATGACAAGGGCAGCAGTATAGCCTCACGGTTTTATCTCAGATGTGTATTGACTTTTCTGATCACTGATGTAACAGTCTAAAGAGATCCTGATCATCTTGAGGTACCACAGAACTTTATTTATTTATTTATTTTTATTTATTTATTTTTTGAGAAGGAGACTCACTCTTGTGGTCCAGGCTTTAGGGCAGTGATGCAATCTCAGCTCACTACAACTTCCGCCCCCTGGGTTCAAGTGATTTTCCTCCCTCAACCTCCTGATAGCTGGGATTACAAGCAGGCACCACCACACATAGCTAATTTTTGTATTTTTAGTAGAGACGAGGTTTTGCCATGTTGGCCAGGCTGGTCTCGAACTTCTGACTCCAGGTAATCCACCCACCTTGGCCTCCCAAAGTGCTGGGATTACAGGCGTGAGCCACCGTGGCTGGCCACAGAACTTTATATTAATCCTTTACATTGATGAGCTTGTGCTAATTGGATCTCATAAGGAAGACTCAAAGGCACCTTAGATGAGTCAGTGCAGTCAATTTCCAATTTTTTTTCCTGGCCAGTAGCATTAGCATCACCTGGGAACTTGTTAGAAACAGAAATTATCAGACTCTATCTCAGACCTATTGCATCAAAAACTCTTGGAGTGACCAGGCGTGGTGGCTTACACCTGTAATCCCATCACTTTGGGAGGCTGAGGTGAGAGGGCTGCTTGATGCCAGGAGTTTGAGACCAGCCTAGGCAACATAGTGAGACCTACCCCCGACCTCCATCAACTCCTACCCCTGTCTCTACAAAAACTAACTGATCATTAGAGAAACACAAATTAAAACCACAACGAGATAACCATCTCACACCAGTCAGAATGGCTACGATTATTATTATTTTGAGACACAGTCTAGCTCTGTTACCCAGGCTGGAGTGCAGTGGTGAGATCTCGGCTCACTGCAACCTCCATCTCCTGGGTTCAAGCGATTCTCCTGCCTCAGCCTCCCGAGTAGTTGGGGTTACAGGCGCCTGCCATCACGTAAGCCTGGCTAATTTTTGTATTTTGTAGAGATGGGTTTTCACCATGTTGGCCAGGCTGGTCTCGAACTCCTGACCTCAAGTAATCCACCCTCCTTGGCCTCCCAAAGTGCTGGGATTACAGGCATGAACCACCACGCCTGGCCCCAGAATGGCTGTTATTAAAAAGCCAAAAAGTAACAAATGCTGGCCAGGTTGTGGAGAAAAGGGAATGCTTATATGCTGTTAGCGAAAGTGTAAATTGGTTCAACGATTGTGGAAAGCAGTGTGGCAATTCCTCAAATAGCTGAAAACAAAACTACTATTCGACCCAGCAATCCCGTTGGTGGGTATAGAGCCAAAGGAATATAAGTCATTCTATCTTAAAGACACATGTACACGTATGTTCATTGCAGTACTATTCAGAATAACCAAGACATGGAAGCAACCTAAATGCCCATCAAAGGTAGACTGAATAAAGAAAATGTGGTACCTATACACAGTGGAATACTATGCAGTCATGAAAAAGAACAAGATTATGCCCTTTGCCTAAACATGGATGGAGCTGGAGGCCATTATCCTTAGCAAACTAATGCAGGACCAGAAAACCAAATACCACATGTTTTCACTTACAGATGGGAGCTTAAAGATGAGAACACATGGACACAAAGAGGGGTACGACAGACACTGGGGCCTATGTGAGGGTGGAAGGTAGAGGGTAAGAGGAAGGAAAGGAGCAGAAAAAATAACAAATGGGTGCTAGGCTCAGTATCTGGGTCATGAAACAATCTGTACAACAAACCCCCATGACACGAGTTTATTTGTATAACAAATCTGCCCACGTGCCCCTGAAACTAAAATAAATGTTAAAAAAAAATCCACAAATACAAGAAATTTAGGCTTTTGAGTTGACCTAGTAATCTCACAGAAGAAACTCTGTCAGTGTGCATATCTCTGGATTTATCCCATGTCTTTCCTTTGCTGATATCATATTCCTATCAGCATGATTAACCTAGAAAGAAAGGAGGGACAGAGGGGTGTCAGAGATGGGAGGGAACTTAGGTCTGGTGAGGGAATGACATGTCCCTTGTTACAAGCTAGACAGTGGCCAACCTTGGGATGAAACTGGTTCTCTATCTGTTGCCTGCATTCTCTCTCTCTGTCAACATGTGACCATCTGCTTTCAGATGGTCAGACCATGAGTGTGCGTCTGACAACAGCCTTGATCTCAGTATGGGAAACAGCACTTCTTGGAAAACAGACCATATACGTGGCAAATTTCGCCTTCTCCTCTGTCCAGAGACTCCTCACATTTCCTCTGCTCAATAATGCAGTGGCTGAGGACCATTTGTGATTCAGTTCATTCGTTGGTGGTGGCTCAAAACTGTAACTGATGTCTCCAAAGGGATCCTCCTCATCTCTGCTTTATTAAAATGAAACTTTCCCTTGGCATTTGTTGGAGGCATTTCTCCGGTTATGAATGAGAAGGACAAAGGAGAAGGAGAGAGGGCTTGGGGCTTAAATGCCAGCAATCCAATTAAAGCCATGTTTAACCTTTGTAAATAAAGCTCCTGCTTGGCCTCCTTCTCAGACAGGGGGAGGAAAATTAACCGATTTAGTAGGAAGCCCCATACTGGGAGGAGAGGACTGGTGTTTATAACATGCTTCCTGGCAGAGGGAGTGCAGCCTGGTGTTAAAAATTATTCTCTCTAGAAGGCCAACTGGCAGCAGATATAGGAAAATGTGCGGTGCAACAAGTCACCTCCTTAGGTGTCTTCCCTGGTGATGGGGACTGTTTACCCAGGCATTTGGTTCTAAAGAGCCATTGGTGGGTCCCGTCCAGCTGCTTTGGCTTCCATTAAGAACACAAGAAATAAAATGTCGCATAGAACAGCAAACAGTGGGAAAACAGGCAGAAAATAGAACTGCATATTTAACAACCCCTTGGATGCGGAAGACCTCCATGGTTTCTAAGCAGTGTAAGAAACTGCAAGAAAGATTCCGAAGAGTCTACGTCTGTATCTTTAAAAATATTCAAAGGCAAATGAACTGACACAGACTTGCCACAAGCATGACATCCAAAAGCTGCTGTGATCACTCATCATTCATTCATTCATTTAACATTTATTGGGCTGGCTGCTAGAGAGACAGAATCAAAGGCTCCGTGCCCTAGGGGCCTCCCTGCTGTGGGAGATAAAATTCACTGGTCTTCTGTTCTCCTATGATTGTGGTAGAGCAAAGGGGCTTCTCTATCTATATTTGTACACACCGATAAGAAAAGCACTAGGACATCATTAGGTTAAGTGGAGAAAAGGCAAGAGCTGACAACATACAAGAGAGGAAACACAGGTCAGGCATGGTGGCACGGTGGCTCGTGCCTGTAATCCCAGCACTTTGGGAGGCCAAGGTGGGTAGACCACTCAAGGTCAGGAATTCAAGACCAGCCTGGCCGGCATGGTGAAACCCTGTCTCTACTAAAACTACAAAAATTAGCCAGGCATGGTGGTGGGGGCCTGTAATCCCAGCTACTCAGGAGGCTGAGGCATGAGAATTGGTTGAACCTAGGAGGCAGATGTTGCAGTGAGCTGAGATCACGCCACTGCACGCCAGCCTGGGTGACAGAGTAAGACTCTGTCTCAAAAAAAAAAAAAAAAAAAAAAGAGGAAACATAGGAAATAGTATGCCAAAATTCTCAATCTTCTTAATAACTGAAGTGTAGATGTAGGTTAAAATGAGGTATTTTTTTGTTAGCAAACTTTTAAAAAATTTTTATTTTTTATTTATTTACTTTTTAGACAACACCTCACTCACTCTGTCACCCAGGCTGGAGTGCAGTGGCATGATTATGGCTCACTGCAACCTTGACCTCCCAGGCTCAGACAATCCTCCCATCTCAGCCTCCCTCCCAAGTAGCTGGGATTGCAGATGCATGCCACCACACCTGGCTAATTTTTTTTGTATGTTTTGTAGAGATGAAGTTTCGCCATGTTGCCCAGGCTGACCTCAAACTCTGACTCAAGCTATCCATCTGCCTCTGCCTCCCAAAGTGGTGTGGTTATAGGTGTGAGCCCCTGCACCTGGCGATGAACTTATTTTTTTTTATGACAATACCTAAAGCTAGCATAGTTGTAGAGAAATAAGAATGTAATGTTATGTTCTTACAAATAAATAGAAGGTCTTTGGACAGTATTTTGGCAATACCAACCAATAGTCTTTAAAATGTTCATAATTTGACAGGAATTGCACTTCTAGGAACTTACGTAAAGTAAATAATCAAAGATACAGATGAAGATTTGTATATAAGAATACTCATAGCATTTATATTTTCTTGGGAAAAAAGCAATTTTAAAGTCCAACAAGAGAAAAGTGGGTAATTAAATTAAGCCATATCTATATAATAGTATGTTTATTTTGATCAATACCTTTGCCATAATGACTTTGAAGAATATTTAATGATAATGTATGCTTATGATATAACAGTGAAAAAATGTGATATAAGCTATATCTGGGCAGGAGAATCTCAATTTAGTGAGAAAAACAAATAAAGAAACATTTAATTTACCAACTCAAAAGTATTTACTGGATGCTTTGAGGCTTGAGAAGTTCCTCTAACTATAATAATACATTGATTTAAAACATTATGATATATATCATTAGTAGCATAGTTATTTTAAAATATAATAATTTTAAAGAATGTATGGACCAATTAAGCACATATCTGAATTTTAGAAATGTTAGCAAGTTATAAAAACAGAAAAAATGTGGCCAGGTGTGGTGGCTCTTGCCTGTAATCCCAGCACTTTGGGAGGCTGAGGTGGGCAGATCACCTGAGGTCACGAGTTCGAGACCAGCCTGTCCAACATGGTGAAACCCCGTTTCTACTAAAAATACCAAAAAAATTATCTGGGCATGGTGGTGGGTGCCTGTAATCCCAGCTACTCAGGAGGCTGAGGCAGGAGAATCACTTGAACCTGGAATGTGGAGGTTGTAGTGAGCTGAGATTACACCACTGCACTCCAGCCTGGGTGACAAAAGTGAGACTCTATCTCAAAAAAAAAAAAAAAGAAGAAAAGAAAAATGTATATTTGGGGGTAGGAGAAATAGGATATTGGAAGACAGCCCTACATATGGGGTTTAGGAAAGAGAAGGAGGACATTAAGAGAATATTGGTTATTCTTTGGTGGGGTCAGGTATACTCTGATCAACAGAGATGAAATTTGTGGTTTTTTCCCCTGTTTTCTAGAGCGAGATGTCAGCAAATTGCCTTCCTTCTTCTTGCTGCAAAGAATGCTGTGAGCATCTTAGCTTCATTCTAGGATTTTCCTTTAGAAAGATTTCCTCTGACTTCTTGAGGGGGGCTTCCTCCCGAAAAGTGGGTGGTGGGAGCCACTGGGGAAAGAGAATTTAATCCAGTACTTCGGTTTTGAGGCTTGAGAAGAAAGAGTTCTAGGACCACCAGCACTGAATCCCTGGGGATAAAGACATACATTGGTCCTGGGTCTGCAGGGTCAGCCTGCACCCAGCACTGTGCAGTCGCAGGCACCCTGAGGACGGCAGCAGGAGGGAGCTGGAGAGATGGGCAGTGGAGCCTGTAACCATGGGCATCCACGTTTAGGGCCCTTTGCCGAGATCTGTCCGAGAGGATAGGATCTGTCTTCCTGGTGAAGCTGCAGCAGTTGGTCAGCAACTTCAGCGGCAAGTAGTGGAGACGAGAGTCTCCCAACCATCACACCATCTTCTTTGTGGAATCTTGCAGGGTACCACCAGCCCTGACATGTGCATGCAAAGAGAGCAGCAGATGAGACAGAGACTCCAGCATCAATTCCTCTTGAGCACAGAAGTCCAATTGTCCCATTTTGCACAGTTTGCGTCCCCGGCATCTTTGGACAATTCAAGGAGAAGAGATTCCTCCAGAGGATGAGGTGAGACATCTTACTAGTCAATGGGAAAAATTAAAGCAATGAGACCCACCTTATGCATTGGATGGTTGTGAATATGTATTCACATATATGGTTGTGAAGCCATCTGATGCATAACGTGGGTCTCATTGCTTTTATTTTTCTGATCAACTAGTGGTAGAATATAACATGTTTTACCTCCATTATCCTACCATGAGCATACAATGTTTTATTTATTATTTATTTTTTTATTTCATAGACAAGGTCTCACTTTGCCACCCAGGCTGGAGTGCAGTGGCACGATTATGGCTCACTGCAGCCTCAACCTCCTGGACTCAAGCTATCCTCCCACCTCAGCCTCTGGAGTAGCTGGGACTACAGGCACGTACTACCATGCCTAGCTAAATTTCTTTTGTATTTTTTTGTAGAAACAGGGTTTCTCCTAATTGCCCAGACTCCTCTTGAACTCCTGGGCTCAAACGATCTGCTCACCTCAGCCTCCCAAAGTGCTGGGATTACATGTTTTACAAAGGTGGAAAAGAATGAACCTTAAACAATGTTCCCTCCTCTCCAAGGTTAAGTAACAAGTGAGTGTGGCTGTGGCATGGGAAATGAGGCACAGAACTGGAATTTGAACGCACCCGGCCACACAGGTAACCTGTGTTGAGTGTGCAGGACCTTCAGAGACACGTACAAGGGCTTCATTCTAAAGTAGGCCCTCCGTCTTTAATTAGCTGAGAGTCAGTGTGACATGTTAGTCCCTCCCCACATGCTCCCTGCAGCTAGACCGCAGGCCTCCTTGGGCACATCAACAGTCTCTGGCTTGCTCGGTGGGCTTGTCAGAAGCCTGCCCTTACCGAGAGATATGGACCGAGAGTGTTTCTGACATCATCAGGCTCTCCCTGAGCTCCTGGGTGGCTTTGAGTGCAAAAATCTTAATCCCAAAGCAACAGACACCCTTCTGTACTCCAGGCACTGAATAAATCAGTGGAGATCTCAAATGCCATAATTCTAACAGAGCCATCTCTGATGCCTCTGGCAATTTGCTCTCCCGTGGGTTAGGGACCAGCTGTAATTGATGAGGAAACTGACAGCTCTTTGTCTTCCTTGACTACATTTGTCATCTGGTAGCTGGTTTATTCGTTATCTATTGCCTGGGATTCTCTCTTTCTCTCCCTCTCTTTCCCTGGGCACTTGTGGAGCAGATGTATCTCCTCATCTCCCTAAAGACAAGATCTATAAAGCCGTAACATGTTTTTAATGCAATTCAGCTTTTTGAAAAATGCATAATTGGAGAGTTCCAAAATAATTAGTTTATTATAGTGGGCCTATAAAAATGAACTTGCATCTCATTTATGAGCCATTAGATCCTATGTTCTACAAGCCTGATTGCTATTAATGCCACCAGCATATAATTTAGCATACTTTATTAACATGCATCACCTCTGAGCTTCTCTTCCTTCCAGCCCCACATCAGACAGGATAGGGTTGAGTTGTGGGGCTGAGAATTCTTCCCATGAACAGGACTCCAGCTTTGGAGACAGTGTCTCCTTCTTCAGCCCAAACCCTCATGAGTCACACTGTGGACCCCTCTTGCATGAGAACATTTGACATTCATTTCATTTCTTTCTGCAGAAGTTAAGCAAAAGAAAAAAACTAAGCCATTAGCATAAGGAAGAAGAAAAAAAAAGGAAAAAAACCCAGAACATTAAAGAAGAGGCAGAATGCATCAGTGCCTGGTTCTCATTCCAGGAGGTAAGAATAGTGAATGCTTTTGCAGGCACAAATGTGGATTGTTTTTTTCAGATAGTATAATGAAAATCAAAATATTTATTGTGTATCTTCTACATGTTGTTTGCATGTACCTATGTAGGGCACAGAGAGGATGAAAGGAGGAACTTGCATCTTTCTCTCTCTGTTTCCCTGGGCACTTGTAGAGCAGATGTATCTCCTCCTCTCCCTCCAGACGATATCTCTAAGGCCATGTTTTTAATGCAATTCAAAAATATTTATTGTGTATGTTCTCTACTACTTCTTCTTGTGCCTGTGTAGGGCACAGAGGAGATGAAAAAACTACGAGCTCATCTATTTCTCTTACTTGAAGAACTGATGTTCTGATGGGGAAAAAGAGCAAACATTGGTTGGGCATGGTGGCTCCCATCCGTAATCCCAGCACTTTTGGAGACCGAGGCAGGAGGATCGTGTGAGACCAGGAGTCAGAGAGCAGCCTGGGCAACATAGCAAGATCCTGTCTCTACAAAAAATAGAATAAATTATCTGAGTGTGGTGGTATGTACCTGTAGTCCCAGATACTCAGGAGGCTGAGCAGGGGTTTGAGACTGCAGTGAGCTACGATTGCACCACTGCACTCCAGCCTGGGTGACAGAATGAGACCCTGTTCTTAAAAAATAATCATGGTCAGGCACGGTGGCTCACACCTGTAATCCCAGCTACTCGGGAGGCTGAGGCAGGAGAATCGCTTGAACCCGGGAGGCAAAGGTTGCAGTGAGCCGAGATCGCACCACTGCACTCCAGCCTGGGTGAGAGAGTGAGACTCTATCTCATTAAAAACAAAACAAAACAAAACAAAACAAAACAAAACAAAAAACAAAAAAAACCTAAGAAGGAAATTGAATTTGGAATCTGCAGGCCTGGAACACTGGGGGGACAGGATCAGGAGAAGGCAACAATTCTGAGTCGGGGGTGCAGACGAGAACATCTCTTCAGCCTCCCCTTTGCCCCACAGATGGGTGCCCTGGGTGAGGAGTGAAGGGAACGTCTGTCCCCAGGTAGATGCTAGAAGGGGCTAGAGCAGGACCTGCATGCCAGAGCCCAGCATGTGGTCTGCATGCCCCCAGCTGTGTCTTCGAGATGCTGCTCATGAAGCCATTTCCTTTTCTTCTTGCAGGGATAGCAGGAAGGTGGCAGGGGGTCTCAGGCAGAAGCCCTGGAGCCTGGCACACAGAATGAGATGGTAACTCTGTCTTCTTTCCTTGTAGGTTTATCACTGAAGAACAAGAGGGTCTCATCCCCTTTTTCCTCTTTTTATTTTTATTTTTGAGAGAGTGTCTCGCTCTGTCACCCGGGCTGGTGTGCAGTGGTGCCATCTTGGCTCACTGCAACCTCCACCTTGCTCAAGCAATTCTCCTGCTTCGGCCTCCTGAGTAGCTGGGATTACAGGCATGCAACACCATACCTGGCTAATTTTTGTATATATATATATATATATGTGTGTGTGTGTGTGTGTATATATATATATATGTATATATATATGTGTGTATATATATGTATATATATGTGTATATATATGTATATATATGTGTATATATATGTATATGTATATATATGTGTATATATATGTATATGTATATATATACGTATGTATATGTATATATATATACGTGTATATATACGTATATATATACGTGTATATATATACATATATATACGTATATATATATATACATATATATATGTGTATATATATATATGTTTTTTTTTTTTTTTTTAGTACAGATGGGGTTTCACCATGTCGGCCAGGCTGGTCTTGAACTCCTGACCTCAGGTGATGCAACCGCCTTGGCCTCCCAAAGTGTTGGGATTATAGGCATGTGAGCCACAGTGCCCAGCCCCCTTTTTCCTTTCAAGAGGGCACACTGGGCTTTGTAATTTGTTGGCCAGGGCTTACTCTCAGAGGCAAAACAAAATGCTTCCATTTTTTTTTCTCTTTTTATTTATAAACTTTGTAGAGACAAGATCTCTTTTTTTTTTTAAATTTTATTATTATTATACTTTAAGTTTTAGGGTACATGTGCACAACGTGCAGGTTTGTTACATATGTATATATGTGCCATGTTGGTGTGCTGCACCCATTAACTCGTCATTTAGCATTAAGTGTATCTCCTAATGCTATCCCTCCCCTTCCCCCCACCCCACAAGAGTCCCTGGTGTGTGATGTTCCCCTTCCTGTGTCCATGTGTTCTCATTGTTCAATTCCCACCTATGAGTGAGAACATGCAGTGTTTGGTTTTTTGTCCTTGCAATAGTTTGCTGAGAATGATGGTTTCCAGCTTCATCCATGTCCCTACAAAGGACATGAACTCATCATTTTTTACGGCTGCATAGTATTCCATGGTGTATATGTGCCACATTTTCTTAATCCAGTCTATCATTGTTGGACATTTGGGTTGGTTCCAAGTCTTTGCTATCTCAAGATGTTGCCCAGGCTTGTCTCAAACTCCTGGCCTCAAGTGATCCTCCCACCTCGGCCTCCCAAAGGGCAGAGATTACAGGTGTGAGCCACTGCGCCTGGCTGGCTTCCACTTTTTGAGAAACAAGGATTATAGAAGAAAACAGTTGGATTGCCAAAGAGAAAGTCAAAACAGTGAGGCCCCTGAACTTGGCAGCAGGGTGATTTCTGAGAACAGCAGAGGATATGGAGGTTGTGGCTTCACACTTTCAGTAACCCTGGGGTTTGCTCCCCTGTGACACCCCAAGATGGGCAAAAGTGGCACAAGGGCTCTTGGGGACTGAATTCTAAAATCCTTTATGGGAGCTTCCAAGAAGGACCTATGAAGGTCAACATGGTAGGTCCTTCCCAGAGCATATGGATGGCTTGAACCTCCTCCTGTCCCATGATTCTTGTTTGGAAGGTGTATTAGTCTGTCCTCACGCTGCCAATAAAGGTATACCCGAGGCTGGGTAATTTACAAAGGAAAGAGGTTTAATGGATCCACAGTTCCACATGGCTGGGGAGGCCTCATTGGCATGGTGGAAGGTGAGGGAGGAGCAAAGTCATGTCTTACATGGCGGCAGGCAAGAGAGCATGTTCAAGGGAACTCCTCCTTATAAAACCGTCAGATCTCATGAGACTTACCTAGTATCACGAGAACAGCATGGGAGACCTGCCCCCAAGATTCAATTACCTCCCACCAGGTCCCTCCCATTATGGGAGCTGCAATTCATGATGAGATTTAGGTGGGGACACAGCCAAACCATATCAGAAGGAAAGAGGCCTGTTCAGAGCTCATATCTGTATCTAAGCAATCTTGTCAAGGGTTCTTCAAGCTTAATTTCATTAGGAAATAAAAATACTAGAACAGCGTTTGCTCTTGAGCATTGTGGAGTAGATTCTCTGATGCAGACAGAGAGATCCTTGGAGGGAAGAATGATGCATGAAAATCCAGGGGGATGAGGCATTTGACAAGACTCAGCAGGGAAAAACTCTACAGCCCTGGACACTATAGGGGAATATCTATTACATTGAATTTCACAGAATTAAACATGTTTAAATTGGCTGGATGTGGTGGCTCATGCCTGTAATCCAATCACTTCTGGAGGCTGAGGTGGGCAGATCACCTGAGGTCAGGAGTTCAAGACCAGCCTGGCCAACATGATGAAACCCCGTCTCTACTAAAAATAAAAAAATTAGCCAGGCATGGTGGTGAGTGCCTGTAGTCCCGGCTACTTGGGAGGCTGAGGCAGAAGGATAGTTTAAACCCAGGAGGTGGAGGTTGCAGTGAGCCGAGATTGCACCACTGCACTCCAGCCTGGGTGATACAGTGAGACTCTGTCTCAAAAAAAAAAAGTTTAAATTTCTCCAAGTGATTTTTGTATAGCTGCCTTGTTTCTAATTAATAACAGCTGTTTCATGAAAATGAAAAAAAGCAGTTTGTTAAGGAGCATGATATTTTGAAAGAATGCCTAAAAGGAGAATAAGAATTAGAATAAGGAAGATGAGGAGGGAAGAGAAAGGAGAAAGAGGAGGGGAAGAGAAGGGGGAGGAGGAGAAGGAGAATGAAGTGAGGAGGAGCAGAAGGATGGGAAGAAAGAAGGGCCAGGCGCCGTGGCTCATGCCTGTAATCCCAGCACTTTGGGAGGCAGCGGCAGGGGGATCACGATGTCAGAGTTCAAGACTAGCCTGGCCAAGATGGTGAAACCCCCGTCTCTACTAAAAATACAAAACTTAGCCAGGCATGTTGGCAGGTGCCTGTAATCCCACCTACTGGGGAGGCTGAGGCAGAGAATTGCTTGAACCTGGGAAGCAGAAGTTGCAGTGAGCTGAGATTGCGCCACTGCACTCCAGCCTGAGGGACAGAGTGAGACTCCATCTCAAAAAAAAAAAAGAAAGAAAGAAAGAAAAGAAAGAGGGATAAGTTGAGGAGGATGGGGAGGAGAAAGAGAAGGAGGGAGAAAAGGAGGAGGGGGAGGAGGAGAAGAAAAAAGGGGGCAAGAAAAGAAGGAAGAAGAGCGTGAAGGAGAGGAGAGAAAGGAGGAGGAGAGAAGAAGGAGAAGAAGGAGGACTGGGAGGAGGAGAAGAAAATAGGCGGCAGGAAAAGAAGGAAGAAGAGGGGGAGGGAGAGGAGAGAAAGGAGGAGGAGGAGGGGAAGGGGGACTGGGAGGAGGAGAAAAAGAAGAGAAAGGGGAAAGAGAAGAACAAGGAGATAGAGGGGGGAAGTCAGGAGAAGGAAGAGGAAGAGAAGGAGGAGGAGGGGATGCTGGAGGGAGAAGGGGATGAGGGAGGAGAAGCAGGAGGATGAGGAGGAGAAGGAGAAGAGGTAGAAAAAGGAGGAGAAGAAGAAGAAAGAAGAAGAAGAGGAGGAGGAGGAGGAAGAAGAAGTAGCAAGAAGAAGAAGAGAGGGCAACAGAATATGCCTGGTTGCAGCCCTGGTTATTGCTGTAATTTTGGGTACACTATTTCTGGCCCCCTACTTTCTACATCTGTGATCCAAAATAATGGGATTGTATTAAATATTTACTTCCAATAAAATCTTACACAGAAGCCCAGCACATGCTGCTTAGATGGAGGAGGTATGGATTATGGTGTTTGGAGTGTGTGTGTGCATATGTGTATGCCTGCGTGCCTGTGTGTGCACGCGTGTGTGAGAATGCAAAAATGTTAACTCTATTCTGGGGCAAGTTGGAGCAGCTCTGTGTGCCCATGGTAACTCTCTATTCTGGTACTCTTTGGTAAGCACATGGAAGCTGTCTGGAAGGCATTTGGGAGAGGAAAACAGAGAGAGGAACTTGCTGTTTAGCCCTGGCTAAGCGGGGAGGTGGCAGGAGGGTTAGGACACACTCAATGGGCCCAGCATCAAAATGCGGGAGGAACAGAAACAAAATTCAGACTCCACGCTGACATCAGCTGGGAAGTTCCATCAGACAAAATCCAAAGTCTGACATATTTGGCCGGGTGCGGTGGCTCACACCTGTAATCCCAGCACTTTGGGGGACCAAGGCGGGCAGATAACCTGAGGTCAGGAGTTCGAGAACAGCCTGGCCAACATGGTGAAACCGTGTCTCTACCAAAAATACAAAAACTAGCCGGGCTTGGTGGCGGGCACCTGTAATCCCAGCTACTCAGGAGGCTGAGGCAGGAGAATCACTTGAACTCAGGAGGCGGAGGTTGCAGTGAGCCAAGATCGCACCACTGTACTCCAGCCTGGGCGACAGAGCGAGACTCAGTCTCAAAAGCAAAAAAAAAAAAAAAAATACTTCAGTCTCCTCATATATAAAATGAAGATAATAATCTCCATCAGTGGCTGTCACAGCATGGTTCCCAGACAGCAGCATCCACATCCCCTGACGACTCAGTACAAATGCATATTTTGGGATCCACGCTCGACCTACAGAATCAGGAAATCTGAAGGTGGTGCCCAGGACGCTATGTTAACAGGTCTTCCCGAGCTTCCAATGCCTGCTTGGTTTCGAGAGCCTTGGTCTTTGTCTCCTGGTTATTAGGATGCTGAAACAGGGACTGTGTCGGAAACACTCTCCTTGCATGCTGTAAGCCATCTTGAAACGATTTGCTTTTAGCACGAGTTCAAATATCCTGGCTTAGATGGAATTGCATGGCCAAATCCGGATGAGGCTGCAAATGAGATCACCAAAGTCCTACAGCTGGCACAGCGCTTTCACAAAAGGGAAAGTCGGTCGGATATTTTCTAGTCTAACCAGATGGTGAGGCGGCAGGAGGAGGCTCTCAGGAGCGGTTGGGGTAACCAGAATAGATCTCTTCCTCTCCGATCGTCTTCCCCCGAGCACCTTCCTCCTTTCACTTAGTCAGTGTAATAAATATAATTGGAAGCACACACAGCTCCTACTTGCAGGCAAGCATAAATTATTCCTCTAGCACTAGGAACACTCATTTGTAACATAGATTAAATTTGGCTCTGGACTGGGGAGGGATTACACCTTTAAAATTTGTTTCATCATTTAAGGAAATCACTCACTCTCCACATCAGGATGGATTAGAATGTGTCAGTATTAATACCGGACATTTCCCTGTTGTCACTTGTTGTTAGAGGAACAATTATTTCACGTCTGAGTAAAAATCTTACTCGGAGGGTAAAGTTAATGTAGCATGCAGAGCTGTGTGGAAACAAGGCTTGGACGTCTTATGAACACAGGCAATTGCCCATTACGGTGTTGGTTAACATATTTCTTCCACTTCATCTGTTTTACTGTATATAAGAGCATTATTGTTTTGCTTAGAAGAGGCTTTGGCCGCTCTGAACTCGGATCAACGTGACGCAGACTCACAGTTCAAAGGTTAAAAGAGAATTGATCTGTGAGCTTTCGCCAATCTCTTGCTCTGCTCCCTGCTCTCTAAAGGATAAATCTCTTTTTCAGATAAATCCAGATTGCTTTTTCAATAGATTGGCTTTTGGCCTCTTCTGCAGAACAGTACTTTGACTTAACCTGGACAGCCTCCCTGTAGCTATGAAGAAATCATTTCTAACATCTGAGGTTAATTCGGTAAATGAAGCATTGGATTTTCTTTCATGGAAGCAAGAAAAATTGTTTGGATGAGGTTAGCAAAGGCAAGGCAAGCTCAGGGGACATTCCCTGGGGCTCTACCCCTGGACGAGGTTCTATTGAACCTTTATTGTAAGGCTAAATGAGTAAAAATGGGGCCTGGGGGGAGGGTGGGGGAACCAAGTAGTCATTTCTGCATTGCCTTTTGCGTTTTGAGTGATTTCTGCATTGCATTTTGCATTTTGAGTGATTGCGATTGAGAAATGTGGAATGGGTAGAATTAGTTCCAATTGACAGATGGGTAGACTGAGGCCCAGATAGCTGCACATGGCTTACCACTCATCACACATCGAGTTATGCTTTACAAGGAGGGAACATGGTTTCTTTCCTTGTGCTGTGCCCCCTTCTCATTTGGTAGATCTGTTTTGATTTTTTTCTTTTTCTTTTTTTTTTTTGAGACAGCGTCTTGCTCTGTCACCAAGCCTGGAGTGCAGTGGTGCAATCATAGCTCACTGCAGCCTCCAACTCCTGGGCTCAAGCAATCCTTCTGCCTTGGCCTCCCAAAATCCAGGGATTATAAGCAGGAGCCACCATGCCCAGCCTTCATTCAGTAGGTTTGAATCCAAGTGCTTGCAGAAGGGAAAGAAAAAGGAAAGACATTTGTGATGAGAAATATCACACTAAACTGTACAGAAGTCTCTCAGCCTCTCGAATGAAGTATTCTGCCTGCCTCCTGGTCTCAGGATCCCCTATCTTAACCATGTCCCTTGGCAATACTTTACCTGGGAACAATTCTCTTGAAAGGTCCTCCCAGAAAGCAAGGACTAACTGATTTGATGGAATTTGTTATCCTACATTATGACTTGGTGGGAGATCAGGCCCCCGAGGATTGGGAAAGAGAAAAGCTCTTCCAAGTCTTTCCTGATGAGACTCTTTCAACTCTTACGTACAACTTCCTTGCATACAAATAAAACACCTCTGCAGGTCAGGGACCTTCAGACCCCTGCTGGACCAGGATGTCCACTGCAGCCCTTTAGCCCTGGGACCCTTCCCTATGCCTAACCTTTGACCTTCTCTGGGGAGACATAACAGTGTGTGTGGGGGTGGGCATTGGCATGCAAGGAAGTTGCACAAAAGAGTTGAAAGAGTCTTATCAGGAAATTTCTGGGAATGAGGCTTTCCAAGAGAAGGAGACCTGTGTGATCTGAAAAGGGACCACAGGAAGGGGATAGGTGATGGACTTCAAGAACACAGAAGCTGACCAGGCATGGTGGCTCACGCCTGTAATTCTAGCGCTTTGGGAGGCTGAGGCAGGAAGATCCTTTGAGTCCAAGAGTTCGACACCAGCCTTGGTAACATAGTGAGACCCCCACCTCTAAGAAAAATCAATAAATAAACAAAACCACCTGGGTGTGGTGGTGCACTCGTGTGGTCCCAGCTACTTGGGAGGCTGAGGTGGGAGGATCACTTGAGCCTAGGGAGGTGGAGGCTGTCATTGTGTCACTGCATTCCCAGCCTGGATGACAGAGCAAGACCCTGTCAAAAAAAAAAAAAAAAAAAGAAGAAGAAATATTTGGGCTTCTGATAACAATTCAATGCAAGTTCAAGCAATTAGAGGATGAATATCTACTAGGCTTCTTTGTGCCAGAAATATTTTGAGAGCCCATGTTTATTTCCTATAATCTTTAGTGAAATGATATGTGCTATGTGTAATTGTGCCTCCCTCAAAAATTCATTTGTTAAAGTCCTAACCTCCAATATTTCAGAATATGACTTTATTTGGAGATAAGATCTTTCCTGAGGTTATCAAGTTAAACTGACATCAGTCGGGTGAGCCCTAATCCAGTAAGACTGGTGTCCCTGTGCAAAAATGAAATTTGGACAGATGCATATAGAGTGAAGATATTGAGAAGAGGCGCAGGGAGAAGATAGCTGTCTACAAGCCAAAGAGAGAGGTCTCAGAAGGACCCAACCCTGCTGAAACCTTGATCTCGGACTTCCGGTCTTCAGAACTGTGAGATCATACATTTCTGTTGTTCAAGCCATCCAGTCTGGGTTCCTCTGTTATGGCAGTCTGAGAAAATGAATACAGTAAGTCAAAATAAAAATGACTGCTGTGGCCGGGTGTGGTGGTTCACGCCTGTAATCCCTGCACTTTGGGAGGCCGAGGCAGGTGGATCACGAGGTCAGGAGATCAAGACCATCCTGGCTAACATGGTGAAACCCCATGTCTACTAAAAATACAAAAAAATTAGCCTGGCATGTTGGGGGTGCCTGTGGTCCCAGCTACTCAGGAGGCTGAGGCAGGAGAATCACTTGAACCCGGGAGGCGGAGGTTGCAGTGAGCCAAGATCACGCCATTGCACTCCAGCTGGGGCAACAAGAGCAAAACTCCATCTCAAAAAAAAAAAAAGAAAAAAAAGAAAAGAAAAAAACATTGCTGCAGCATGAATGGATCTCAAAAACATTACATGAAGTGCAAGAAGCCAACACGAAAGGGCACATTCTATGTGAGACCATTTATATGAAGTATCCAGAATTCATAGATCCACAGGGATCTATGGAGAAAGCAGACTGATGGTGGCCAGGGACTGGAAGAAGGAGGGAATGAGATGTGACAACTTAATGGGTACAGTGTCTCGTTTGAAAGTGATGCAAATGTCCCGTAACCAGCTGGCAAGGACGGTTGCGCAATTCTGTGAATGTACTAAACTTCCCTGCGTTGTACACTTGAAAATGAGTCATTTTCTGTTATATAGATTTCACCTCAATTAAAACAAAAGAAGAAGACGGATGGTGTGCACCACTTGCAGATAAGAGCTGCTGGCGAAAAGAGGTGACCTGAAGAGTCCGCGTTCCATTTTGTAGCTTACCTTTATTGAGTAGATAGAGGCTGCCTTTGAAAAGAAGCAGAAGTACATAAAACCCCCGGAACCAGTGGGAAAGAAGAAAACACACTGGAAACTTGTCTTTTTTTTTAATTTAATTTTTTTTAGATGGAGTCTTGCTCTGTCGCCCAGGCTGGAGTGCAATGGCATGATCTCAGCTCACTGCAACCTCCGCCTCCCTGGTTCAAGCGATTCTCCTGCCTCAGCCTCTCAAGTAGCTAGGATTACAGGCGCCCACCACCACACACTTGGCTAATTTTTCTTTTGTATATTTAGTAGAGGTGGGGTTTCACCATGTTGGCCAGGCTGGTCTTGAACTCCTGACCTCAGGTGATCTGCCCGCCTTGGCCTCCCAAAGTGCTGTGATTACAGGCATGAGCCACCATGCTTGGCTGAAACTAGTCTTTTTGAAGTGGCCATAGGTGTTGGACATGGCATTGCTGAATTACGTGGGCAGGAAATCACTTGTCCACTTCTGTTGTCCCTGACTTAAGATAGTTTGATTTACGATAATTTGACTTACAATGGTTTGACTTACGATGGTTTGACTTATAATTTTTTGACTTTAGGATGGTGCAAATGTGATATTTACTTAGTAAAAGCCATACTTTGAATTTTTAATTTTGATTCAAAATGATTTATAATCACTTTATTATAAAACAGGCTTGGTGTTAGATGATTTTGCTGTAGGCTAATATAAGCATTCTGAGCTAGACAGAATGCTAGGCTAAGGCAGGCAAGGCTAAGTTATGTTTGGTAGGTCCAGCGTACTGAATGCACTTTCAAAGTAAGATATTTTTGTTTTATGATAGATTTATCCAAATGTGACTCCTTTGTAAGTCAAAGAGCGTCTGTAATTGTGCTGGGCCTCACGTAAGAAAACACCTGCCCCAGCGCCCTCTTCAGAATCTGGATGAATCTCTGCAGCAGATGTATTTCTTGGGCTGCTTTGGCATTTTTTGAATCCCCTTTCTACATTGGAAAATTTCCAAGCTTTTGAGTCTTGCGTCTTCAAGACGGAAGCCAGGAACTCGTTTCCAGGCATCCTTGTAACTAGGGCACAGTGACACAGATCCAATGTGAATAGCTGAGAACAATTTAGCAGGCAGTGACATGAGGAAGGGGGTTCTTTGCAGAATTGATTCCTGATGAGGGTGACAAAGGGTGTCCAGCGTTCAGGGGCAGCTGAACAGGGCTCAGGATGGAGGTCCCACACTGAACCATGGGGGAGGGCTTTTTATGCTGTGAAAGGGGCTCTAGAATTCAATATGGCGTGGGCATTTGGCCTTGGAGCCTCCAGCCTTGCTTCTGTGAGCCCTCGTGGTGATTCTTGGCTGCCTTTTTTTTTTTTTTTCTTTTTTTGAGACGGAGTCTCACTCTGTTGCCCAGGCTGGAGTGCCACGGCGCAATCTCGGCTCACTGCAACCTCCACTTCCCGGGTTCAAGTGATTCTCCTGTCTCAGCCTCCTGAGTAGCTGGGATCACAGATGCACACCACCACACCTGGCTAATTTTTGTATTTTTAGTAGAGACGGGATTTTACCATGTTGGCCAGACTGGTCTCGAACTCCTGACCTCAGGTGATCTACCCGCCTTAGCCTCAGGCTGCCTTTTTTACTGAACTAAGTGTGGTTTTGCCAATAAGGACCTCTACTGAGACAGCCCACCAGGCAATGCTGGACAACCTGCTTGCTTTGAAGGCAGGGTTGTACCAAGAGGGACAGCATCTGGAGGCTCCAGGCTGGCCTTGGAGTGGTCTATGGTTGGACCATTTGCAGGAGAGGAAGAGTCATGTCAGTTGATGAGAACACTCTGCACTCTACATGAGCAGTCTACCCTTCACCCTTTTCCTACCTTTTTTTTTTTTTTTTTTTTGAGACAGATATCATCTGTCACTTAGGCTGGAGTCCAGTGGTATGATCTTGGCTCACTGTATCCTCGATCTATCTGGCTCAAGCAATCCTCCTGCCTCAGCCCGTGAGGAGCTGGAACCACAAGTGTGTACCACCATGACCAACTAATTTTTACTTTTTGTAGAGGTGGGGTCTCCCTGTGTTTCCCAGGCTGGTTTCGAACTCCTGAGCTCAAGCAATCTGCCTACCTCGGCTTCCCAAATTGCTGAGATTACAGATGTGGGGTACCTTGACTGGCTCTCCTACCCTTTCTTCCTGACCTTCCTTTTGCTTTGGACTACATCTAAACCAGACTCCACCTGGACATGGCTTTCAAGGCTGGAAAGAATTGATCACCTAGGGCAGGAATGGTAAACACTTTCCATTTGTTCCATGAAATGTCACATTAATCGGGCAGAGAATATCATCCTGCCAAGCCTGAATATGGTCTTGGGGTCTGCTCAACACTACACTCCTAGCATCAACCTCTAGTAGTTTAATGTCAGCACAGACAATCAAATCTCCTCACTATCTCTGCCCCATAGCCTTACCTTAAACACTTAACGGGCTGGGCATGGTGGCTCACATCTGTAATCTCAGCACTTTGGGAGGCTGAGGTGGGAAGATCGCTTGAGCCCAGGAGCTCGAGGCTTCAGTGAGCCATGATAACGTTACTATACTCCAGCCTGGGTGACCAAGCAAGACCCTGTCTCTAAAAAAATAAAAATAAAAATAAACTAGAAAAACAAAACAAAACACCTAACATATTATGATGGGGAGAGAGAGGCCTTTACAGTATTGCAGGGAAAAGACAAATGGATCGGAACATGCATCTGCCCTTTGGGGCACTATCCAGAACTTCTTGCTATTCTTATTTCAGCAGTAACCACATGGATTTTTATAGAAACTACATTTGTAAAATTCACATAATTAGGGAATGTCAAAGGAAGCACGTGTTTCATGGGATCTGCAGTCCTTATTAAGAGAGAGGAGAACTGAGAGGGAGCCAGTTGAGGTGAGGGTTTGCTTGGAATCAGGAGCTCTCTGCAGAAGCCAGACCTGAGTAGATCTGAGGGGCCAACACTGAGGTGCACAGTTGAGAGGACCCCATTAAGACTACTCTAGAGACTTGGGCTCTTGAGATGCCATGGGTCTGGTTGGACACTCTGCCCTCTCCTGGTAAAGGCTCCTCTGCTCTAACCTTTGAGAAAGACATAGAAGCATTGGCCTTGTTTTCTCTCACATGGAGAGAAGTTAGGGGCCATCAGCTGGTGTTTCTCAATCTGGGCACAATTATCACTGGGGGCAAGAACATCCCCCATTACCTGTGGCTGGAAAATTGGCATCCTTGACCCTTTCAATGTCCTTAGAGCTCCTTTTCCTTTCCCTAAAGTTATAGGAGCAACTCAATGCCTCCTCATGCATTTCCAAATGTCCCTGTTTGAGGCTAACTCATTGAGTGGGTGAAGGAAAGAGATGTGTTTGAATTCACCCACAGAGAGGCAGGAGTGGAATGAGATCTTGAAGTCCTTAATCCAAAACTCTTTCCATTGAGATGTTCATGCAGGAAAAAAAAAATAAAGTTATTTCCATAGAAAACTGTATGTGTGTGTGCACCTGTGTGTGTTAAGGAGACATGTGTGTAAATGTGACCCAACACACAGTGTCAGACTGAGAAACTCCAGCACTTTGCAAGAAGCTAGACTTTGTACATTTGAAACAGGATGGAAGTCATGCCCTGCACCATAAAGTTAGCATCTCACAGACACCTAAGCTCACCCACTCCCCAAGGTGCTTTTCTCTTCCCTATGTTAAGTTAGTTTACATTACAGCGAGGTGTTACCAAAATGTCAGGGGTTCAGTCTAGGTCCTGCTATTCACCACACAGAAAGCCAATCACTGAGACAATGAGTAGTGCCAAGGAAGAAGGCTTTAATCCGGTGCTGCAGTTAAGGAGATGGGAGATCAGCCTCAAATCCATCTCCCTGACCAACTAAAATTAGGAGTTTATACAGCAGAGAAGAAATGTAATCATGTGTGGGAAACAGGAATTGGGGAGGGGTAAGGAAGAGAAGTTGGTCAATGGGAAGCAGGTAGTTGCTTAGGCAATTATGATGGATGAGGGGTCTGGTATCTCATTATCCAGATGTGATGGTCTTGTGAGTTTCAGCTCCTTGATTCTATCTGGGAGGCCTGATGGTGGTTTCCTGAGAAAGGAACTCAGATAAGACAAAAGTAACTTTCTTGAGTTTTAAGACTGGGAGGGTCAATTTATATGTTTATTCAAAAGAAACCATAAACATCATTTCTAGGGGACAATTGGGATGGTTTCATGGGAACATTTTTGTTGGAGAATGTCTTTATTCTCATCTTTGTATCCATGGTAGTTACAGCTGTTTACACTCAGGACACACACACACACTCAAGATACTGTCTCTCTGGCTTGTAAGGGACATCAAGTGATATGGTTTGGCTGTGCCCCAACCCAAATCTCATCTTGAATTGTGGCTCCCATAATTTCCACATGTCGTAGGAGGGACCCAGTGGAGATAATTGAATCATGGGGGCAGGATTTTCCATACTGTTCTCATGATAATGAATAACTCTCATGAGATCTGATGGTTTTACCAATGGGAGTTCCCCTGGACAAGCTCTCTTGCCTTCTGCCATGTAGGATGTGCCTTTGCTTCTCCTTTGCCTTCTGCCATAATTGTGAGGCTTCCCCAGTCATGTAGAACTGTGAGTCTATTAAACCTTTTTCCTTTATAAATTACCCAGTCTTTATAAGCAGCATGAGAACAGACTAATACACCAGCGTAGCAAGTACTTGGCCCTGTCTAAGGGTTGGAGGATGACAACAGTGCAAGGGAAGCAGAGGTGGGGCCTTACAGTGGAGCTCTGTGGGATTGTTGAGAATTTCCTGTTGGGCAATAACTACCCTTTCCCATCCCTAATGGAGCTGCCATGTTCATTTATGACATTATTCATCCCTTTCCCCTCTCTCATGCTATGGCTTATTCATCTAGGGCTGAGCACTTCACCCAAACAAGTTTATCATTTCCTTCCCTGAAATACTTGAATGCATGATACCTTTACCACCACAGTGGAACTATGGTACCACTTGACTGTAGTTCCTTAACAGTAATGAAAACTTTGATGTTTGGGGGGCTGCTGGCATGTATATTTTAACCATGTGTGGAAATCCAGGCATCTGGGAGCCTGGGGGAAGCAAAAATGCAGAGAAAAGCAAGGACAAGAGAGGGGAAGCCCAGTCTCTGGTTCTAGAGAATTTGGAGGTCCATTTCCATCCTGCCTATTTCAAGGCTGTTTCTGAAACTGCTTTTGCAAAAATTATGACAGTGAGAGAAATCTGACATAGCTGACTCCATTTGCTTCTAATCCTCCAAGCTAACTGCCTTTGTTAGCTTTAAAACAAAGGGGATAACAGCCCCATCATGAAACTAACCCAATCCTTGCTGGGGGACTGAAACCACCTTTGTATGTCTAATGAAAGGCTGCAAGGTTAGGATAATGGGAGGGGCTGGAATTCTGCTAAAATGTAGGCATAGTTAACATAAAACCAGTCATTATTCTTTAGCTTGATTTTCTATAAGCCCTGTATTGCTCAAGGCTTTATAATCAGAGACAGAAGACTTGTAACTTCCCTAATTGCTCCTGTACATAACATCACTACTGTCAAAACCTAAGATTAGTCTTTTTTTTTTTTTTGAGACAGAGTCTTGCTCTGTTGCCCAGTCTGGAGTGCAGTGGCACCATCTTGGCTCACTGCAACCTTCACTTTCTGGGCTGAAATGATTCTCCTGCCTCAGCCTCCCAAGTAGCTGGGACTACAGGCACATGCCACCATGCCTGGCTAATTTTTGTATTTTTAATAGAGCGAGGTTTCGCCATGTTGGCCAGACTGGCCTCCAACTCCCGGCCTCAAGTGATCTACCTGCCTTGGCCTCCAAAAATGTTGGGATTACAGGTGTGAGCCACTGCACTTGGCCCTTAGATTAGTCTTTGAGATGTTTTTCAGATTTTTGCATTCTGGAGACTGACTGACGTCACCTGGAACTGTGACTCACACCCAGGAACTGACTCCCACGAGAAACCCCCACCCAGAAATTGATGAGTGTGGGAAGACAGTTTTATTGGACTCCTATGATTTCATCTCCAGCCAATCAGCAGTTTCCGTTCCCTAGACCCTTGCTTACCAAATTATCCTTAAAAACCCTAGCCACTGAGCTTTCAGGGAGGCAGATTTGAGAAACATCTCCTATCACTCTGCTCGGCTGCCTTGCAGAAATTAAACTCTTTCTTTACTGTTTTCGGTGCATTAGGTTTTCTGGACAGTGGGTAAGATGAATCCTGCAGGGCTATTACTGTTTGTACAACTGTTCCTTGGACACCATGGACCAATCAATTTCTTCCTTTGCCTACACCAGTTCACAATGAATTTCTCTCACTTGCAATCAAGTTCCCCTAAATAAGTTCTGAGTCTGCAGGTTGGACTTCTCTATCTCCTCAAGCTCTACCCAAAGGGAGCTGATAATGAAGGCATCTGAGTGACAAGGGCCCTTTAAGCTAAGCTTCAAGAGGATAAGTGGGTAATGTAGTGTTTTTGCTAGAAAGGCAGTGGCAACCCTGAAGCAGACTCTAAAGTTTTCACAGTAGCTCTCTGCTGTGTTGGAACTCTGCAGTTAACCTTTCCACTTCAGCCTGAAGCTATACCAAAAATTTCTGGATACCCACCTCCAACCCTTGAATGACAGACTCTACAAACTTTTCTTCGACCCACCTGTGACTCACAGGGAGACCTGCTGCCTAGACACACTCTTTTCAGGGAAGTGAACCTCATCTCCCTGAGACTTTTTGAAAATCTCAGGGAGATGAGATTGTTATTTTGGTTGGTCCAGAGGGACCATATAGAGTACGTGACCCAAATAACGTCTCTTCCAACCCCTCCCTCTCTACCTGAGAATATTTTTGCAAATCTCATTGCATGTGCAGAAAGACTAACTAGTTTTTCAATAAATTACCCCAAAGCACCAGAAGGTCTAGCGCTGTCGCTCACACCTGTAATTCCATCAATTTGGGAGGCCAAGGCGGGTGGATCGCTTGAGGTCAGGAGTTCAAGACCAACCTGGCCAACATGGCAAAACACTTGACTCTACAGAAAATACAAAAATTAGCTGGGCATGGTGGTGCATGCCTGTAGTTGCAGCTACTTGGGAGGCTGAGGTGGGAGGATTGCTTTAACCCAGGAGGAAGAGGTTGCAGTGAGCCACAATTGCACCACTGGACTCAAACTTGGGCAACAGAGACACACCCTGTCAAAAAAAAAAAAAAAGGAAGGAAGGAAGAAAGAAAGAAAGAAAGAATAAGAGCACCAGAAAACTGTTCTCAGCAGAGGTGCTCAGATTGATTTACGGATGGATCTTGGAAGAGAACCTGCCATGTTAAATGTAGCTGGGCCTCCCTTAGAGATGTTCAATATTTAATGTATCCTGAACACCCTTCCGGTGCCACTAAATATTTAAACTTTACTACCAGATGAACAGGAAATGTCAGTGATGGACTGAAGAAAACATTCCAAAAACTATTTCCTTTTGTCACCGGGTTTGCTAAGCCTAGTTAGCCTCAGACTCAGCCTCGAAGAGGACAGAAGTAGCACTTTTAAAGGTAAACTTTTTACTGGTTACAGTTAATCTATCAGAGTTATGCTTGCCACTTAATTTGTGAGTGCAAATTATTTCAAGACAGTGTAGCTTTTACATAAACTCTCCTATTAAAAGCACTGGCTATTCTGCAAAGTGGCAAATTCCCTCCTGGCTTAGCAAAGGATGATAATGAGTTATTGGTAATATTACCACAAGCTCTTATTTGCCAAAGTAAAATGAAGTCAACATGTGGATAAAATAAAACTTTAAAACGAAATATCGTTAAAACAAAATAGTTAATGAATTTAGACACATTGTCGAGCAGGTACGTTTGGTAACTGATTGGAATAGATGATTTTAATTAATCTCATTGAATCGAAAACCAATAATGAACATTGTACAGCACATCAGAAGTATATTCATTTCCTCCTTCTGTTAATATTTGGACCATTTCCAGCATGAATCTCAAACCCTTTCTCATGGAGGTCAGACTCAGTGAGGGTGATTGGGTGTCAGATCACCCTTTGTTCTTGCAGATAGGGCAGCTAATCAGTCCTGAAACCCAGGAGTGCCCCACTTGATCTTCTTAAAATAAACTCTCCAGAGATGTATTGCAAAATCTGAGTGCTAACCTTGTTCTGCACCATGTTCAGCTTAGGGAGAGAAATTAAGAATCTCAGCTGTGGGCCAGGTGCAGTGGCTCACACCTGTAATCCCTGTACTTTGGGAGGCAGAGGCAGGCAGATCACTTGAGGCCAGGAGTTTGAGACCAGCCCAGCCAACATGGCAAAACTCTGTCTCTACTAAAAATACAAAAATTAGCTAGGTGTGGTGGCTCATGTCTGTAGTCCCAGCTTCTTGGGAGGCTGAGGCATGAGGATTGCTTGAACCCAGGAGGCAGAGGGCTGCAGTGAGCTGAGATCACCACTGCACTCCAGCCTGGGAGACAGAGAGAGACTCTGTCTCAAAAAAAAAAAAAAAAAGAATCCCCGTTGTGGACTGAAGCCAGGCAGGGCTTTCCATGGGGGACCTCAGATTTATGGTATTACTGGCTGGGAAGCACCTGCTTCCATTCTTCCCATCAATCCTGATTTCAGATATACTGTGGATTCTTAATTATTTTAGTTCTATTAATTATTATTTATAATAATTCTGTCAGTATTATATATCACCTGTGATATATAACTGGCTAGGCCAATGTACTCAGGGACTTAGTCAACTCTATCTGGGTTTTGCTGTGAAGGCTTTTGTTTGTTTGTTTTTTAAACATGAAGTTGACATTTAAATCAGTAGACCTTGAACAAAACAGATTAATCTGTATCATGTGGGTGGGCCTCGTCCAATCAGTTGAAGGATATTAAAGCAGAGTATCACTCTATCAACCAAGCTGGAGAGCAGTGGTGCAGTCATAGTTCACTGCAGCCTTAAACTCCTGGGCTCAAGCAATCCTCCCACGTCAGCCTCCCAAGTAGTTGCGACTACAGGTGCATGCCACCATGCCTGACTGATTTTTTAATTTTTGTAGAGATGAAGTCTCACTATGTTCCCAGGCTGGTCTGGAACTCTTGGTCATTAGTGATCCTCCTGCCTTGGGCTTAACTTCAGGTAAAGACTGACTTCCCCTGAGGAAAAAGGGAATTCTGCCCATACACTGCTTTTGGACTCAGACTACAACATCAACTCTTCCCTGGGTCTCCAGCCTACCAGGTTACTCTGCAGATTTTGAACTGGCCTCTGTGATTGCATGACCCAGTTTCTTAAAGTCTTTCTCTCTCTGTCCTCCACCCCCAACATGTGTGTGTATGAATGAAATAAGAAGGAAATAGAATGAAATGGAACCTTCTATTGATTCTGTTTCTCGGGAGACTTTGATTAATACACTACTTAAGATTTTGGGGCCTCACTTGTCCTGACTGTCTCAGGACAGGCCCATGAGGTTCCACCTCCTGAGGCCACCAGCCAGGAGAGTCTGAGACCATTTTCAGTTACAAGAAAAATGACAGTAGTACCTGGGTCAATGGCTTCCTTAGTCAATAGGTCAATGGCTTCCTTAGTCACCTTGAGAGTAATCCCTTCCATAGTCGTCTTGAGAGTAGTGCCTTCCATAGTCATCTTGAGAGCAGAGTAATCCCTTCTATTCCCAAGTCAGTAGGTCAATGGCTTCCATTGTCATCTTGACTATCCATGGAATTATAGTCAAGATGACTATTACTGACTTGGGAACAGAAGGGATTACTCTCAAACCAACAATGGACACTATAGATTCTTCCCTTGAGTGTGACTGGGTCCCCTTAGGTCATATGTCTCCCCTGACCTTGCCAGGAGGATACCATGCAACTAAGTGGCTTAGACCGGAAATTGGAAAAGTATAGCCTGTGGGACAACATCCAACTCACCATCTGCTTTTTCATGGCCAATGAGCAACAAATGGTTGTTATATTTTAAACAGTTGAAAAAAAAATGGAAAGGAGAATAGTATTTTATGATATGTGAAATTATATCAAATTAATTTTCACTGCTCATAAATAAATTTTATTGGAACACAATCACACCCATTGGCTTGTGTATCCTCTGTGGCTGCTTTCTTTTTCCATTCTTTTTTTTTTTTTTTTTTGAGATGGAGTCTTGCTGTGTCGCCCAAGCTGGAGTGCAGTGGCACGATCTCGGCTAACTAACCTCTGCCTCCTGGGTTCAAGCAATTTCCTGTCTCATCTTCCTGAGTAGCTGGGGCTACAGGCACCCGCAATCATGGCCAGCTAATTTTTGTATTTTTAGTCGAGATGGGGGTTCACCATATTGGCCAGGCTGGTCTTGAACTCCTGACCTCAGGTGATCCACCCACCTCGGCCTTCCAAAGTGTTGGGATTACAGGCATGAGCCACCGCACACAGCCATGTGGCTGCTTTCTTGATACAACGGCAGAGTTGAATAGTTGCAACAGTGTCTTCATCGCTTTTTGGCTGTTATAACAGAATAACTGATACTGGATAATTTATAATGAACGTATATATATATATTTTCTTTTTTTAAGAGATGGAGTCTTGCTCTGTGACGTAGGCTGAAGTGCAAGACGTGATCATAGCTCATTGCAGCCTTGACAATGAGTTGCCCAGACTGTGTTGCCCAGACTGGTCTGGAAAATCCTGGCCTCAAATGATTCTCCTGCCTCAGCTTCCTGAGTCACTGGGATTATAGGAATGAGTTACTGCACCTAGCATGAATAGAAATTTAATGGCTCAGAGTTCCAGAGGCTGGGAAGTCCAGGATCAATCGGCTGGCATCTGGCAAGGAGGCTCTTCTTGCTACATCTTCCCATAGCAAAGGGGCAAAAAGAGTGAGAGAGAGCAGGGCCAGGCGTGGTGGCTCACGCCTGTAATTCCAGCACTTTGGGAGGCTGAAGTGGGTGGATCACGAGGTCAGGAGATCGAGACCATCCTGGCTAACACAGTGAAACCCCATCTCTACTAAAAATACAAAAAATTAGCCAGGCATAGTGGTGGGTGCCTGTAGTCCCAGCTATTCGGGAGGCTGAGGCAGGAGAATGGCGTGAACCCTGGAGGCGGAGCTTGCAGTGAGCCGAGATTGTGCCACTGCACTCCAGCCTGGGTGACAGAGTGAGACTCCATATCAAAACAAAACAAAAAAGAATGAGAGAGAGCAAGAGGTACACTTCAGAGCCTCAAGCCCTTTCATAATCAGCATTAATCCATTCATGAGAGTGGAACCTTCATAACTTAAACACCTCTCTAATGGCCGTACCTCCCATCACTGTTGCATTGGGGATTAACTTTTCAACACATGCTTTTTAGGGTACACATTCAAATCATAGCAAACAGAGACCATATGGCTCACAAATCTAAAATATTTACTGTCTGCCCCTTTACAGAAAATGTTTGTCTATGCTTGGCTTTGATTTGTTGCTGTCCATGTATACCTAGAATTGGAAATGAGGGCTGTGTGGATGAGGGGCAGATATTTTAACAAGATCAGGATTTTATTAGGAAGGAAGGGGGAATTAACACAGTATAGGAAGTCAATCTGTTCACTACACATGAGGCTTCTCTGAGACTCAGTTTTCCCATCTACAGTTGTGAGGTATAGCAAAATATATATTATGGGAAATTGTTGAGAATTCAGGAGAAGGCATGTAGACATAACTGATTGACAGATTCATGAGATGGCTGGATGGCTGGCTGGATGGATGGATGAATGTGTGGATAGATGGATGAATAAATGGATGGATGGATGGTTAGGTGAGTGGATGGATGGATGGATGGATGGATGGTTGGATGGATAGATGGGTGGATGGGTGGATGGGTGGATGGATGGGTGGGTGGATGGCTGTCTGTCTGGCTGGATGGGTGGATGGATGGATGGGTGAATGGATGGATGGATGAATGGATGGATGGAGGGATGGTTGAATGGATGGATGGATAAATGCATAAATGGATAGGTGGATGGATGGATGCATGAATGGATGGATGGATGGATGCAAGGATGGATGGATGGATGGATGTCTGGCTGGCTGTCTGGTTAGATGGGTGGGTGGATGGATGGATGGATAGACAGATGGATGGATAGGGAATGGTTAGAGTGAGGCTGGGAAAGTAAACTGGCCCATATTATGCCAAATAGTTCTGGCTTTATTCTGCAGCCATGGGGAGCTGCAGAGAATGCAGAGAATGACAAGGTGACATTTGAATTTGAAAGCGATAACATGGTATTTTATGGCTGGCTAGAGCAGAAAGGTCATTTGATTGAAGAGCAAAAGGAACAAAATGTCTCCTGAAAGAGAGCAGGAAAACAGACTGGGAAAATTATCCAGCTGCTCTGTCCTTAGTATTTTCTCCCTGAAAGGGAATAGCCCAGGAAAAACCAGCTCTAGGGGATGAGCTAGGGGATTACATCATTGAAACACATTCAGAATAATCCTATTAAAATGGGCACTGATAACTGTGCGCCATGTGGTGGTCCTTGAGCTAGGATGATGATAAGGACAATACTACATGGGAGACCTCAGGAGAGAACATAGAGAACTCCAGTTCGGAAGCCACAGGTTCTAGTCCTGACTCCACCACTAACTTGCCTTGTGACCTGGGGCAAATAGATCCATCTTTCTGTACTATCATCTATAATACTGCCGAGAAAGAGAACTCTTTCCAATGAGATAATGTTACTGAAAACATTAACATACTAGCAGGGACAGAGTCAGGTTTTGGGAGACCTGAAGTTGAAACTATTGTGGATCCCTCTTTAAGGAAAACAAAATTGGATGAGAAAGTTAAAATTTATTTAGAAGAAGATGAGAAATCCAACAAATCACACATTTTTAAAAGAGCCCAAAATGCTATGGACACCACAAAAAAAAAAAAAAAGAAAAAAAAATGGGATTATTATTGAACTGTTTGTCAAACCCCGTCAATTGTTTTTCCTACACTTTTTGACTGCATACTTTCTGGTCACCTCTTCATGGGACAATGCTTGTATTACATTTTATTTTCTTTCTTTTTTTTTGAGATGGAGTCTAGCTCTGTCACCCAGGCTGGAGTGCACTGGTGCCATCTTGGCTCATTGCAACCTCCACCTCTTGGGTTCAAGCGATCCTCCTACCTCAGCCTCCCAAGTAGCTGGGATTACAGGTGTGCACCACCACACCCAGATAATTTTTGTATTTTCAGTAGAGATGGGATTTCACCATGTTGGCCAGGCTGGTCTCAAACTCCTGGCCTCAAGTGGTTCACCTGCGTTGGCCTCCTAAAGTGCTGGGATTACAGATGTGAGCCACTGTGCCTGGCCTTGTATTACATTTTCTAAAGAGAAGATGGATAGGTAATTCAGCCTTTCAGATTGAAGCATGTTTTTGGTGATGGACAATTGGATGGTAGAAAACATGTGGTGTGCTTCCTCCATAGCTGCACCTGTTTGTATTCTCGTTATAGGTCTATATCCTGCAAAAACAAGGATTCTGATATATTTCATTTAGCATGATTCCCATCAGAAAAGAAACATGAGTGTGGCACGTGTTTGCAATTCTCTGCGTTGTTTCCCTGAGTGAATTCCTAGAGCAAGAGGATTTACATTTTTGACTGCATCATTGAGAACTGAACTCTCAATTCTACATACTGTAGTGTGGAATGAATTCCTAGAACAAAAGGATTTACATTTTTGACTGTGCATTAGTGAGAACTGAACTCTTGGCTTGCACTGTTATCTGTCTGATGTAAGACGAACCTTGCATCCACGTATTTCACACCCGGTTTCTGTTCCATTGCCCACACACTTTCCATGCTGTGTCAGCCTCCAGGTGAGCTGACTGTGTGCAGTGGGGATATTCCTAAAAGTCAGGATGGTTAGAACAGGTGACCATAAACCATGTATACATATCCCATTGAACCTAAGCCAAATGTGTCTGTCTCCACTGCCCTTGGCTGGACACAGCTATTCAATAAGTTGTGTTTGGACAAATGACCATTCTTAAAGGAAAGATCATATAATTTCTCTACTGCACACAAGTACCCCAAATGAAATCCACGTAGATTAAAGACCTATATGCAAAAAACAAAATCATAAAACTCTTAGAGCAAGACCTAGGAGAATTTCTTTATATCACTGGGGTAAGAGAGGATATCTTAAATTTGATGGAAAAGAAACACATCACAAAAGGAGGCAATAAAACATTTGGCTTCATCAAAACTTTAAATGTCTGTGTGACAACAAATGACTCCACAAAAATAACTACAGTTTTTGGAAGAGTCTCTTAAGTGTTTTACACATATTATCTCATTTAATCCTAATAACAATAAAATAAAGAGTATTATTATCTTCACCTTAAAGACCAGGAAAATTAGGCCTAGAGAAATCAGATAATTTGCTAAAAGCCACGTGACTAATTTATAAGCAGCTGAGACCAGTTAAGAACTCAGGTATTTTGTCTATCAATCTGCCTCTCATAACCAAATGTCTTATCCCATCTCACGTTCTTGACTTCTTGTCTCTAATAAGGTGATAAGACATGCCAAACTAAGACATTTTTGCAATTTATATAGCCTATGTCACCATCAAGGAATTAGTGTTCAGAATATATAAACAGCTGCAATATATCAATTGCAAAAAGGCAAACATCTCAGTAGAAAATAGGCAAGGAATAAAGACAGATCATTCACAAATGAGTGCACCAGAAATACCAAGACACACATGAAAAGATGCTCAATATCACTCATAACCGAGGAAATGGAAATTAAAACAACAAGGAGTTCTGTCTTACATGTGGTCCATGAGCCAAAGCTGGAAAGTCTAATACAGTGTTGGAAATGATATGGGGACAGGAATTTTTTATTTTTTTTTTTGAGACGGAGTCTTGCTCTGTCACCCAGGCTGGAGTGCAGAGGCGCAATCTTGGCTCAAAGCAAGCTCCACCTCCTGGGTTCACGCCATTCTCCTGCCTCAGCCTCCCGAGTAGCTGGGACTACAGGCGCCTGCCACCATGCCGGCTAATTTTTTTGTATTTTTAGTAGAGACGGGGTTTCACTGTGTTAGCTAGAATGGTCTCAATCTCCTGACCTCGTGATCTGCCCGCCTTGGCCTCCCAAAGTGCTGGGATTACAGGCATGAGCCACTGTTCCTGGCCGGGGACAGGAATTCTTATGAGAGCATAAAGTGCTGCAATTACAGTCATCCCTGGGTATATTCAGGGGATTAGTTTCAGGATCCCTGTATATTTGAAAATTTGCACATGAGTCTTTGCAGTCACTGCTGCAGAACTAGCATATGTGAAAAGTCAATGAATTGCCTTAGTTAAAGGTTACAGTGAGCTATGATCACACCACTGCACTCCAGCCTGGTCAACAGAATAAGAATTTGTCTCTTAAAAGAAAAAAGTCCACTCTCTATATACAAAGATTTACATTTTCCTTTTTTTTTTTTTTTTAAATTATTCGAGATGTTGCCCAGGCTGGCCTCAAACTCCCGGGCTCAAGCAGTCCTCCAGCCTCAGCCTCCCAAAGTGCTGGGATTACAGGAATGAGCCACTGCACCCTGCTTCTGAATACTGTATTTTCAATCTGGGTTTGGTTGAAAAATATGCATGGATAAATGAACCCACACAGTTCAAGCCATATTGTTCAAGGATCAGCCATACTTCCAAGGGCAATTTGATAGAACCTAATGGAGTTGAAGATGTACATCTCTTGTGATGCGGCAATTTAAGCCCATGTGACTCTAACAGAAACTCTCACCCTTGTGCATAAGGAGGAAAATACAAAGTTTTCTCTAGCACACTGTTTTAATTACAAAACATGGATATGAAATCACTCTTGCTCACTAAGGAAATGAAAGAGCAAATGGTGGCTTATGCCTACAATGCTAGAGAGTGGTTAAAATGAGTGGACTGGTCAGGTATGAAACAGATGAAACAAAAAGTCATAAATTTGAATTAAAAGAAATCAGACGCAAAAGGTTATGTCGAATTTAATATCCTCATTCTATAATTTTAAACCTCACAAAGGTAGTATATTTTAGATTCTTTTATTGTGAAAGGTACATTGTGAAAAGTACACCAAATACATATTTACGTATAATTTAATTATTATAACATGAACCCCTATGCAACAAAACAGCCAGTGCCCCAGAAGCTCCTGTGTACTATTTTAAATTTGGTGTGGCCCCTCCCACCCTCCATTAGCTTGACTTTCTGTTTATATAACCCTAAATAACAAATTATTTTTCCTGGTCTCTAAGCTTCATTTAAATGCAATTCAACTACATCCTACCTTTTTAGCTTTGTTTTCCTTGCTTGAAATAGTTTTCCATGGGCTGGGGGTGGTGGCTCATGCCTATAATCCCAACACTTGGGAGGCCGAGGCGGGCGGATCACCTGAGGTCGGGAGTTCAAAACCAGCCTGGCCAACATGGTGAAACCCCATCTCTACTAAAAATGCAAAAATTAGCCGGGCATGGTGGCTCATGCCTGTAGTCCCAGCTACTCAGGAGGCTGAGACAGGAGAATCGCTTGAACCTGGGAGACAGAGTTGCAATGAACCGAGATCCCACCACTGCACTCCACCCTGGGCGACAGAGCTAGACTCCATCTCAAAAAAAAAAAAAAAAAGAAAGAAAGAAATAGTCTTCCATGATCATGTGTATACTGTAGTTTGCTCATTTTCATTGCTTTATAATATTCTCTTGCATGAATACATTCTAAGTAATTCATCCATTCTACCGTGATGGGTATTGGGGTTGCTTAGACAATGTACATGTATAGAAATTATGCTTCATGTGGAAGCTAAGATGTTAGCTCCTGCTCAGGCATGGAGGGTGATTTGGGACATGTTCATGTCATGGCTTACTTCTTTAAGAACTGAACTGAACATGGCAAAATGTTAACACCTGTTTAAATTATGTGATGACACAGAGGTGCAGTTATATCATTTTTTGCACTTTGCTGCATGTTGAAATTATTTATAATTTCCTTCCTTCCTTCCTTTCTTCCTTCCCCTCCCTCCCTTTCTCCCTCCCTCCCTCCCTCCCACTCTTCCATCTTTCCTTCCTCTCTTCATTCCTTTTCTTTTTCTGACAGGGTCTTGCTCTGTCACCCAGGCTGGAGTGCAGTGGCACAATCACAGCTCACTGCAGGCTCGACCTCCCAGTCTCAAGTGATCCTCCTGCCTCAGCCTCAGCTAGGACTATGGGCTCACACTACCAGGTCTAGCTAATTAAAACATTTTTTTTTTTTTGGTAGAGACGAGGTCTCACTGTGTTGCCCAGGCTGATCTTGAACTCCTGGTCTCAAGCATTTCTCCCACCTCAGCCTTCCAAAGTGTTGGGATTACAGGGGTGAGCCACCATGCCCAGGCTTATAATTTTTAAAATAAAAAGAAACTGTAAAGTACTTGAAACACGAAGGCATTTTCTGCCATGTTCCTAGCTACTGAAACAGATGCAAAATTCCATTGCTGATCCCAGGCAAGCAGAATTAATAGCTCTGATTTGGAACATACAGGGATTAGCGTTGCTGAAAAGCCTGGCTTTCCTGTCTTCTATATTAATTTAGCAAGCTGCACAAAGGAACCCCTACCTAGCATGGGCTGGCTCCCTGCTGCCCTGTCACATTCCCGATGGTATGATTACTCCTCACTGAAATTCTCTCCTTAGCTGTGAGGGAACAGATGCGTCATGTCTTCAGAGATGCAGCTGGTTACACAAAACCTTTAGCACTTTCCATTTTACAAAGCATGTTAACATGTGTTAGTAACCAAAAATTGCTGAACAAAGTTACTTTTTTAATAGGTAAGGGGCTTCTCAATGGAGGGACACAAGTTACTTTAAATGCCTGCATCATTTTTTTCTTTTACTATTATTATTTTATTGATTGATTGATTGATTGACTTTGAGACTGAGTTTTGCTCTTGTTGCCCAGGCTGGAGTGCAGTGATCTCAGCTCACAGCAACCTCCACCTCCCGGGTTCAAGTGATTCTCCTGCCTCAGCCTCCCAAATAGCTGGGATTACAGGCGTGTGCCGCCACGCCCGGCTAATTTTGCATTTTTAGTCAAGATGGGGTTTCTCCATGTTGGTCAGGCTGGTCTCGAACTCCTGACCTCAGGTGATCCGCCCGCCTTTGCCTCCCAAAGTGCTGGGATTACAGGCGTGAGCCACCATGCCCAGCCTCTTTTATTATTATTTTTAAACTTTTAATTTAGGTTCGGGGATACATGTACAGGTTTTATATATAGGTAAACTTAAGACTTGGGGGTTTGGTGTACAGATTATTTCACCACTTAGGTAATAAGCATAGTACCTGATAGGTGGTTTTCCAATCCTCACCCCACCCCTACCCTCCTCCCTCAAGGAGACCCCAGTCTCTATTGTTCCTCTCTTTATGTTCATGTGTTCTCATTATTTAGCTTCATTTATTAGTAATAACATGTGGTATTTGGTTTTCTGTTTCTGCGTTAGTTTGCTGAGGATAATGGCCTCCAGCTCCATCTGTGTTCCTACAAAGGACATGATCTCATTTTTTATGGCTGCATAGTATTCCATGGTGTATATGTACCACATTTTCTTGATCCAGTCTACCATCGATGGACATTTAGGTTGATTCCATGTCTTTGCTATTGTGAATAGTGCTGCAATGAACATATGGGTGCATGTGTCTTTATGACAGAACAATTTATATTCCTCTGGGTATATATCTAGTAGTGGGATTGTTGGGTGGAATGGTAGTTCTGTTTTTAGTTCTTTGAGGAATTGTCACACTGCTTTCCATAATGGTTGAACTCATTTACAATTTCCTGACTTCTTGATGTCATTTGATTCCAGTTCACAGTGGGGAGCAAATGAAGTATGTACAAAATTGTTCTTTCAATGAAGAATTTGGTCAGGAACTGGATGATGAATGGAGAATTCTGAAGGCCAGAGGCTGACTTGATTTGCTTGTAATATTTGGATAAGGAAAAAGAGTAGCAGTGAGAAGGGAGCAGTGAAGGGAGCCATAATGGGTTGTTGTGATGGTTAATTTTATATGTCAACTTGACTGGGATAAAGGATGCCCAGATAACTGGTAAAACCTTATTTCTGGGTGTGTCTGTGAGGGTGTTTCTGGAGGAGATCAGCATTTGAATCAATAGGCTGCGTAAAGAAGGTCTGCCCTGACCAATGTGGCATCATCCAACTTGCTGAGGGCCCAAATAGGACAAAAAGGCAGAGGGAGAGTGATTTGCTCTCTTTCTTAAGCTGAGACATCCATCTTCTCCTGCCCTCGGACGTGGGAGCTCTTGGTCCTCAAGTCTTCAGTCTTATGCTAAATTATGCCACTGGCTTCATCGATTATCAAGAGATCATGGGACCCTTTGTCTTCCATAAATGTATGAGCTGATTCCCATAATAAATTATTCCACCTCCTCCTCCTTTTTATTCTTCTTCTCCTTCCTCCTCCTCTTCTTCTTCTTCTTCTTCATCTTTCTTCTCTCTGACTCTCTTTCACACTCTCTCTCTCTCTATATATATATGTATGTATCTATATGCTATATTTCTCTGAAGATGACTAATACAATTGTCTTGGGAGACAGAGAGCAAAACAAGTGTATTTGAAACAGTGTTGAGAAATACAGAAAACAAATCACATTACTGATGGCTGCTTATCATATTAAAAACATTTGGCCTGGGCATGATGACTCACACCTGTAATCCCAGCATTTTGGGAGTCCAAGGTGGGTGGATCACTTGAGGTCAGGAGTTCAAGACCAGCCTGGCCAACATGGTGAAACCCCACCTCTACTAAAAATACAAAAATTAGCCATGTATGGTGGTGGACACCTGTAATCCCAGCTACTTGGGAGGTTGAGACAGGAGAATCACTTGAACCTTGGCATAGGATACAGTTGATATAGGAGTTAAAAAGAAATTATTTAGGCAGATAGTGAGGGTAAGAGAGTCTTCGGTAAGGTTTTCCTTTTAATGAAAAGCAGCCCCCAAATAATTTCTTTTCTAACCAAGAGCAGCCTGTAAAATCAAGCTGCGGACACAGATAAGCAAGCTGGAAGCTTGCAGGGGTTAATGCTGGCAGTTGTGCCAATAGGAAAAGTCTACCCGGGGGATAGGTATGTTCCACATGGCGGCTCCATCTCCCCTTTTCTTTGTCAACCACGTGCACAGTAAAGAACAGATAACATGATGCCGGCCAGGTAGAGATTTCATCTGCATAATAAAAGTTTAGGGTGGGGCACCCAGCTTCTTCCAGTGCTAAGTAAATGACACACCTGGTCCAACCAATCTTTGAGCCCTATGTAAATCAGACACTGCTTCCTCAGGGCAGTCTATAAAACTCACTCGGGCACAGCTGCGCACGGTGGCTCCTGCCTGTAATCCCAGCACCTTGGGAGGCTGAGGCTGGCGGGTCACGAGATCAGGAAATCCAGGCGATCCTGGCTAACACGGTGAAACCCCATCTCTACTAAAAATACAGAAAATTAGCCGGGCGTGGTGGCTGGCGCCTGTAGTCCAGCTGCTCGGGAGGCTGAGGCAGGAGAACGGCGTGAACCCGGGAGGCGGAGCTTGCAGAGAGCTGAGATCGCGCCACTGCACTCCAGCCCGGGCTACAGAGCGAGACTCCGTCTCAAAAACAAACAAACAAAAAACCCGTGCACTTCACTGCAGACCAAAGACCCACTGGGGCGCCCCTCTCTCTCTCTGCAGGAGAGATAACTATACTCTTTTCTCTTTCTTTCGTCGATTAAACCTCCACTCTTAAACTCACTTCTTGTGTGCCCACATCCTCGATTCCCTTGGTGTAAGACAATGAACCTTGAATATTTACCCCAGACAACGACACGGCTTCACATTCACCCAGTTTCCCAAAAGTGTATAATTAAATGTGCGGAATACACTGTCATGCAGAAAAAAATGCCACCAGGAAGATGGTAGGTAACTCAGGAAGCAGTGAACATCCTGAAAAAAACAACACTACTGTAAAATAATTCTAAATCCCATTAAATGTGAGAGCCCGTCAAGAAATAGTGCACTCAATTACCTAAGAGTGAGTTTTAGAATGCTTTGTTTAATAAAAAAATAGGGCATTTTTTTGTTATGAAAGAAAAAGGAAAGAAAGAAAAAACGGAGGATTGAAGAATTACTTAAGGGTTTCTGCATTGTCTGTATAGAAGTTTTCCAATCCCAATTGGATGATAACTTTGGGTCCTATCTATGTTTTCCAGGCTTGTGATGACACCTTTAAAATATGACGAAAACAAAATAGATGCTAATTAACATGTAGAATTCTGTTTTATATTCTCAAAGAGTATTTTCTTCTTTAAAAATTAAGAATTAATTTTATCAAAGTAATGCATGCATCTAATTTTTAAAAATTGAATAGTACTTAAAGGGCTGATAATAAGTAGTAGCAGTCCGCCCGGGAGCTGTATCTCTCAAGTCTTACTCTCTAGAGGCAATCACTTTCTACTCTTTTAGCTATTTCTTCCAGCATTTATCTCCATATTTCTAAATAATATGTGTAGCAGGACATTAAATAGATTTTTGCTTTGGTTTCAGAATTGTAGCTATAGCCTCAAAGCTAAAAATAATAGGTGCTAAGAACTCCCACAGTCTAAAGAGAATTGACAAGATGACAAGACTCATCTCTCAAGATCTTTCTAACGCGTGGCAGAAATAATAAGAACAGATAACACTTATGCAGTGTTTACGACGTCCTAGATCCTATTCCAAACTCCTTAGATTTATTTATTCATTTAACTATTATAATGACCCTTTGAAGTATTTCTATCTTGCAGATGAAGGAACTGAGGCTTGGCGAGGTTAGTTATTAATAATTCTGCCCAAAAGCAGAAACAGGTTTCTATTTTGGGTAGTCTGGGTCTGGATACTTACACGATATTGACTCTCATATCTTTCTTGCTATCACCTACTCCTCCTTCTCCAACCTTAATAAGCAGAACACCCAAAACTCTGGGAAGATCTTGGGAACCATATGCCAAGGGGGAGAAATTGCTGTCTCCTCCATTCACTTTTTTTTTTTTGAGACAGAGCTGGAGTGCAGTGGTACGATCTCAGCTCCCTGAAACCTCCGCCTCCTGGGTTCAAGTGATCCTCCCATCTCAGCCTCCTGAGTAGCTGGGATTGCAGGAGTGCACCACCATGCCCAGCTAATTTTGTATTTTTGTAGAGACAGGGTTTCATTATGTTGACCAGGCTGGTCTCGAACTTCTGACCTAAAGTGATCCGCCCACTTCAGCCTCCCTAAGTGCTGGATTAAAGGTGTGAACCCACCACGCCCTGCCTCCATTCTGTTTCATTTGCATGCTTCCTGTGGCAGCTCCACACCAACAAATGAGAGAGGGGATTTCAAGAAGAGATTAAGGGTACCCCAAAGAAGGAGAGACTGGCATCTCATTCCCCTGTTGGGTGTTTGCTATGCAACAGGCTGGCTGATTGCCCTTGATGTCTATTTCAGCAGAGGAGAAAAAGATGAAAACGAGGTGGGAGGAGCGACATGGCAAGGATGCAGGGTTGCTTGTGGACCAAAGAGGCCCTGGGGAAGCTGGCCAGCATGGAGCCATCTTTTCGGCACTCTGCTGGACAGAACAGCAGCAGGAAGAGGCCAGGTGTCAGGTTGGATGGGGTTGGAAGAGGTAAACCTGATGGTGGAAAGGTTCCTGAGGACCCTTCAAAAGATTTCTACAAGTGCCCTATGAGCAGATAAACACTGAGGTTCTAGCTGCATGGTCCATGTCCGTGGCCAATGTTAGCTAGGAGGCGACGATAACAATACCAGGTATACATTCAGATGTTTACTCCTTTAGCAGGGCCTGGTAGCTCACGCCTGTAATCCCAGCACTTTGGGAGGCTGAGGTGGGCGGATCGCCTGAGGTCAGGAGTTCGAGACTAGCCTGGCCAACATGGTGAAACCCCATCTCTACTAAAAATACAAAAATTAGCCACGTGTGGTGCCGGGTGCCTGTAATACTACTCGGGAGGCTGAGGCAGGAGAATCGCTTGAACCCTGGAGGCAGAAGTTGCAGTGAGCCGAGATTGCACCACTGCACTCCAGCCTGGGCCATGAGAGAGTGACTCCATCTCAAAAAAAAAAAAAAAAAGATGTTTACTCCTTTACTGTGACCCCAATTCCTGACCAAGATATAGGGGAGTGAAATTGCCAGCATGTCTCCTGCTTCCTCTGGATTCCTTGCCTGAGGCACGGAAGAGTGTTTAGACAGCTGTAATAATATAAATTTTTGTGATTGATTTTTCTAAAAACATAGCTGGGTAGGTAGGCTAAGGGAGGAAAGGTGTGTGTGTGTAGGGGGAAGCATGAATGGATGGAAAGGATGGGAGGGAAGGAGAGTATTCGCGGTGAAGGGGGTCAGCCCCTCTACACCTGTGGGTATTTTTTGTTAGGTGGGATGAGAGACTGAGAAAGGAGATAAGACACAGTAACAATCTGATCTCTCTTTCTTTTCCCCACACATGGCTTCTAAGATTGCGGTATCTTATTTTATTTCATTTATTTTATTTCATTTTATTTTTAGAAACTGTGTTGCCCAGGCTAGAGTGCAGTGGTGCAATCATAGCTCACTGCAGCCTCGAACTCCTGGGCTCAAGCGATCCTTCCAACTCAGCCTCCTGAGTAGCTGGGACTATAGGTGCATGCCACCATGTCCTGCTAATTTTTAATTTTTTTTGTAGTGATGGGGAGTTGCTATGCTGTCCAGGCTGGCCTCAAACTCCTGGCCTCAAGTGATAGTGATCCTCCTGCCTCAGCCTCCCAAAGTGCTGAGATTACAGGCCACTGCACCTGGCCTACGACTGAAGTTTTAAAATCAAGAAAGGTGGACTGGACATTTCGCACCTTTTGAAAAATGACTAGAGGGCTGGCGCGGTGGCTCATGCCTGTAATCCCAGCACTTTGGGAGGCCAAGGCAGGTGGATAACATGAGGTCGGTAGTTCGAGACCAGCCTGACCAACATGGAGAAACCCTGTCTCTACTAAAAATACGAAATTAGCTGGGTGTGGTGGTTGCATGCCTGTAATCCCAGCTACTCGGGAGTCTGAGGCAGGAGAATTGCTTGAACTCTGGAGGTGGAGGTTGCAGTGAGCCAAGATCATACAATTGCACTCCAGCCTGGGCAACAAGAGCAAAACTCTGTCTCAAGGAAAAAAAATGACTAGAGAGCTATGGGATCTGGTCAAGAGATTATTAAGTAAAGTGAAAATGAGATTCAATATAACACAGTTGAAGGTAGAGGTCAGAGGATAAAATAAAATAATATCATGTTTATACCCTCATTCTTAGATTGAGAATATACTTCTCTCAGTAGCAGACTGCTGCATTAACTGAAAACCTTAAAAATACTGAAAAGCAGTTTTTTACTGCTTCTTGTTGATATATCAGTTTAAATATTTTTGATTATCTTTTTTTGTGTGATAAGTGATGAATTAGCTCTTTTTCACGGTTCCCCCTACACACACCCCTTTTCCTCCCTTATCCTACCCATCTAGCTATATGTTTAGAAAAATCAATCACAAAAATTTATAGTATTATGGCTGTCTCAATATTGTTCACTAGTGGGTCATACTTTTTTATGATTACATTTCCTCTCTGGGAAATGTGGGGGAGTAAATAATTACTTTATCTTTCACTTGCATTGTTTCAATGTACATATCATTGAATTTTACCATCAGACCTGTCAGTTTCCTATATGTGGTGATTTTCTCCCCAAAGGCTCACACATGTGAAATCTTCTTTATATTATTTCCCCTACCCCCCCACCTCACCCCAATGCCTAGAGTTATCCCTCTTGAAAGTTTAATCTGCAGTGCTCCTTCTTTGAATCTGCTGCAAAGCTGTTATTCTGAAACTTGGCCAATCTCCTGAATTGGATTTAGTACTAGTTTTCCTCATCCCCATGTGTTTCTCTTTTTCTCTCTCTTCTTTCTCTCTCTCCTTTTTTCTTTTTTCTTCTTTCTCTCTCCTTCTTTTCTTTCTTTCTTTCTTTCTTTCTTTCTTCTTTCTTTCTTTTCTTTCTTTCCCATCCTTCCTTCCGTTTTTCTTCCTTTCTCCTTCCTTCCTTCCTCCCTCCCTCCCTCCCTCCCTCCCCGTCTCCCTCCTTCTCTCCCTCCCCTTCCTTCCCTCCTTCCCTTCCCTTCTCCTTCCTTCCTTCCATCCCCTTTCTACCTTCCTCCCTTCCTCTTTTCCTTCCTTCCTTCCTTACTTCTTCATTTTCTTCCTACCTTCTATCCTTTTCCTTTCTGTCATTGCATGTCTGAAAATATCTTTATTATAATTTTATATCTTTTGCCCATACAGTTGGGTAAAATTTTCAGATTTGTCTTAATTTGGACCCCTCTAAAAATGCAGAGAATGAGACAAGAGCATGCATTTAGGTAGTTATTGGGATTGTTCCAGGGGACAGGAATGAGGGACTGGGGGAGTGGAGTAAAGACAGAGGGGAAAAAAATACAAAGATGAGCTATGGTGTTGGCCATGGCTACAAGTGCTCCATCTCACCAGATCATTCTGTGGACCTCATGTGGAAGACAAAAAGGGGAAGCATTTATCCATCAGATCCCATCTTCCACTTGTCAAGGTAGTCTCATAGATTTTATTCCTCATTATTTCCTGCTTTCTGCGTGAGAGTGCCACATTTCTCACAGGCATCCATGCCGTGACATCAGAGAAGCTCCAAGGTAGGAAGTAAGAGGTGTGTAGTGTGAACTTGGAGTGAGATGCTGTCTGGTTGCAGTGGGCAGAACTGGTGGAAGTCCGCTGCTCAGAATTGGTGGCTACAACAGCAGCTGGAGTAAGACACAGGACTGAGTTAGGCAATGGTGTACAAGAGGTGTCTGAGATAGCTCACCCCTTGCAACATACAGATTTATTCAAGCTCTTCATGACATCCCATTCATCACAGAGTCCTCTTCAAGATGGGAGCCAGACATAAGCCTGAAAAAACTAATACAAGTATACTCCTGGAACAACCTATAGATCCCACTGCTGTATCTGATCAAAGATCATAGTTAATATTTATTCCATGTATTAATTCTATATTAATATATTATTTTATACTTAATAATATGTATTCTCTCCCTTCTACTTCATTCACTCTAGATTTCCCTCATCATTCATCAAAATTTTAGTTGTAGAGGTGCTATGAGCAGGTCATGAGCTAGAGGCTTAGGTGATGAATTCACTTTGCAGACTTTCATTTTATTTCCTGCTTTTAGTTTAGCACTTCACCCATGCTCTTCATCCTATCCCATGCCCTGAATTTAGAGTTATTCTGGTTTGGTTTCTCTAGAGAATAAACTCCTTATTTTCTGTTGCAAAAAAGTAGTTACTTGTCTGCACGGAGTTTGGGGAGGCACCTGCTCTGTGCACTGACTTTCAGCCAACTTACCTGTTATCAACCCCACATCTGATAGCTGCTTTTTCTTGCACCTGGTGCTATACCCATAGCTGAATAATATCCTATTGTACGGATATACCATGATTTGATTATCCACTTGTTTTCAACCAATGGATGACGAACAAGCTCATTTTCCCTTTAAAACTGACTAAAACTACACTAATCAAAATACTGTGGTACTGGCATAATCACAAGCATATAGATCAAAGAAATAGAATTGGGAGTTCAGAAATAGACCTGTACATCTCTGGCCAGTTGATGTTTGATAAAGGTGCCAAGTACATTCAATGAATAAAGAGTAGTTTCTTCTACAAATGATGCTGGGACAACCGGGTATCTAGGTGCAGAAGACTGAAGTTGAATCCTTACCTCACATAATAAAAAAAAAGTTATCTCAGCTGGGCACGGTGGTTCCTGCCTGTAATCCCAGCATTTTGAGAGGCCGAAGAGGGCAGATTACTTGAGGTCAGGAGTTGGAGACCAGCCTGGCCAACATGGCTAAACCCTGTCTCTCCTAAAAGTACAAAAATTGGCCAGGCATGGTGGCATGTGCCTATAATCCCAGCTACTCAGGACGCTGAGGCAGGAGAATTGCTTGAACCCATGAGGTGGAGGTTATAGTGAGCCGAGATTGTGCCACTGCACTCCAGTCTGGGTGACAAGAGAGAGACTCCATTAAAAAAAAAATTAACTCAAAATGGATCAAACCTAAATGTACTTGCTCAAATTATAACGCTCTTAGAAGAAGACATAAAGTTATATCTTTATCTCCTTAACACCAAAAGCACAAGTGGCAAAACAAAAAAAGACTTCATCAACATTTTAAAATTTTATATTTCAAAAGACACTATCAAGAAAATCAAGAAAATAAAAAGACAACCTACAGAAAGGGGGAAGTATTCGCAAATCATATATCTGATAAGAGTTTAATATCCAAAATACACAAAGAACTTCTATACCTCGATAACAAAAAGACAAACAATTTTACTTTAAAGATGGGCAAATGACTTGATAGACATTTTTTCAATTAAAGCAGACAGATGGCCAATAAGCACATGAAAAGATGCTCAATATCACTAATCATTAGAGAAATGCAAATAACAGCTACCACTTTCTAAGTGAGATACCACTTTCTAAGTGCAATGAGATACCACTTTCTAAGATGTCTGCAACTGAAAATATGTAAGGAAAATAAAAAGTATTGGCAAGTATGTTAAGAAATTGGAACCGTGTACACTGTTGGTGGGAATGTAAAATTGTGCAACCATTGTGTCAAACTCATGGCCTCAAGTGATCCACCCATCTCAGTCTCCCAAAGTGCTGGGATTACAGGAGTGAGCTACTGCACCTGGCCTGTGCAACCATTATTGAAACAGTTTGGCAGTTCCTCGAAAGCTAAACATAGAATTACAAAATGACCGAGCAATTCTACTCCTAGATACATACCCAGAAAAGCTGACAACAGGGACTCAAACAACCTGTATGCCAACGTTCATTGCAAGATTATTCATAATAGCCAAGAGGTGAAAATAAGGAAACAAAAGGTGAAAACCAATGTATAATCAAATCATGGTATATCTATACAATGGAATATTATTCAGGCATAAAAAGAACAAAGTTTGGATGCATGCTACAATGTGGATGAACCTTGAAAACACACTGAGTGAAATAAAAAACGCAAAATGTAAACATTACGTGATTCCACTTATACGAAACATCTGTGATTTGCTTTGGCTTTGTCCCCACCCAAATCTCATCTTGAATTGTAGCTCCCATAATTCCCACGTGTTGTGGGAGGAACCCGATAGGAGGTAATTGAATCATGGAGGTGGTTCCCCCATACTGTTCTCCTGGTAGTGAATAAGTCTCATGAGATCTGATGGTTTGAGAAGGGGAAACCCCTTTCACTTGGTTCTTGATTCTCTCTTGTCTGCCGCCATGTAAGAAGTGCCCTGTCTTGGGTATATCTTTATCAGCAGTGTGAAAACTGACTAATACTATCTGGAATGAGCAAATTCACAGAGACAAATGTATGGAAATCAGCGAATTCATTGGGAGTTATTGCTGAATGATAAGAGTTTTTGTTTGGGGGTGATGAAAAATTTTGGAAATAGATGAAGATTGTACATTATTGTGAATACAATTAATGATGTCAAAATGATGTCAAATTTAAAGAGTTAACACTTTAAAATGGTACATTTCATATATTTGCATCTATATTCAAAAGAGATTTTGATTCTATAATGCTCTTTTCTTGTACTATTTTCTTCTGGCTTTGAGGGTAATGCTAGCTTTATAGAATGAGTTAGGAAATGTTTCATCCTCTTCAATTTTTAGAAGAATTTGACAAAGATTGATGTTAATTCTGTTTCTTTTTTTTTCTTTTTCTTTTTTTCTTTTTCTTTCTTTTTTTTTTTTGAGATGAGGTCTCGCTCTGTCGCCCAATCTTGGCTCACTGCAACCCCTCCCTCCAAGGTTCAAGTGATTCTCATGCCTCAGCTTCTCAAGTAGCTGGGACTACAGGTACATGCCACCACACCCCACTAATTTTTGTATTACTAATAGAGATGGGGTTCACCATGTTGGCCAGGCTGGTCTCAAACTCCTGACCTCATGATCTGCCTGTCTTGGGCTCCCAAAGTGCTGAGATTACACTTTGTAATCCCAGCAGGATTGATGTTAATTCTTTAAATGTTAGAATTCACTGTCGAAGCCAGCTGGTTGTAAACTTTTCCTTCTTGGGAGATTTTGACTACTTATTCAATCTCTTTAATGTTATGGTCTATTGAGAGTCTCTATTTCTCCTTGAGTCAATTTAGATAATTTGTGTATTTCTAGAAACTTTATTATTTCACTTAAGTTATCTAATTTTTTGGTTTGCAGTTATTCTTAGTATTCCTTTACAATTCTTATTTATATAAGGTCTGTAGTGATATATCTTCTTTTCCATTTCTGATTTAAGTTGGTTTTCTTTTCTCTCTCTTTTTTGTCAGTCTAGCTAAAGGTTTGTCAGTTTGAAAGAAACAACTTTTAGTTCATTGATTTTCTCTACTGTTTTTATATTCTCTATTTTATTTTTCTCTGTGCTAATCTTTGTGATTTCCTTCATTCTGCTAGCTTTGTGTTCAATTTGTTCTGCTTTTCCTAGTTGCTTATGTTAGAGAGTTAGCTTATTTATTTGAGATCTTCCTTCCTTTTTAATGTAACATTTACTATTAAATATTTCCTTCTGCACACTGCCTTTGCTGTATCCCATACGTTTTGGTACATTGGTTTTTTTTTGTTGTTTTGTTTTGTTTTGTTTTTGAGACAGTCTTGTTCTGTCGCCCAGGCTGGAGTGCAGTGGCCCGTTCTCAGTTCACTGCAACCTCCGCCTCCCGGGTTCAAGCAATTCTCCTGCCTCAGCCTCAGGAGCAGCTGAGATTACAGGCACCCACCACCATGCCTGGCTAATTTTTGTATTTTTAGTACATACAGGATTTCACCATGTTGGTCAGGCTCGTCTTGAATTCCTGAGCTCAGGTGATCCGCCCTCCTTGGCCTCCCAGAGGGCTAGGATTACAGGCCTGAGTCACAGCACCCAGCCGGTATGTTGTGTTTTTTAAAAAATTTTTATTTCACCCCGTTTGGGAAATGAGGAGCACCTCTGCCTGGCTGCCAACTGTCTGGGAAGTGAGGAGACCCTCTGCCCAACTGCCCAACTGCCCACTGTCTGGGAAGTGAGGAGTGCCTCTACTGGGCCGCCAACTGTCTGGGAAGTGAGGAGTGCCTCTGCCTGGCCGCCACCCTGTCCAGGAAGTGAGGAGCGCCTCTGCCCGGTAGGCCAACTGACTGGGAAGTGAGGAGCACCTCTTCCCGGCCGCCAACTGTCTGGGAAACGTGGAGAACTTCTGCACGGCTGCCAATTGTCAGGGAAGTGAGGAGAGCCTCTGCCGGGCCGCCAACCATCTGGGAAGTGAGGAGTGCCTCTGCCCAGCTGCCAACTGTCTGGGAAACGAGGAGTGCCTCTGCCTGGCCACATCCCTGTCTGGGAAGTGATGAGCGCCTCTGCCTGGCTTACCACCGTCTGGGAACTGAGAAGCGCCTCTGAAAGGCTGCCTACTATCTGGGAACTGAGGAGCGCCTCTGCCCAGCCGCCAACCATCTGGGAAGTGAGGAGCATCTCTGCCAGGCAGCCAACCATGTGGGAAGTGAGGAGCACCTCTGCCTGGCCGGCCAACTGACTGGGAAGTGAGGAGCGCCTCTTCCCAGCCACCAACTGTCTGGGAAATGAGGAGTGCCTCTTGCCTGGCTGCCAACTGTGTGGGAAGTGAGGAGTGCCTCTGCCCAGCGGCCCACTGTCTGGGAAGTAAGGAACGCAGTGAGGAGTGCCTCTGCCCAGCTGCCAACCATCTGGGAAGTGAGGAGTGCCTCTGCCCAACGGCCGCACAATCTGGGAAGTGAGGAGCGCCTCTGCCCAGCTGCCAACCATCTGGGAAACGAGGAGCACCTCTGCCTGGCCGCGTCCCTGTCTGGGAAGTGATGAGCGCTTGTGCCTGGCTTACCACGGTCTGGGAACTGAAAGGCTGCCCACCATCTGGGAAGTGAGGAGCACCTCTGCCCGGATGCCAACCATCTGAGAAGTGAGGAGTGCCTCTGCCAGGCAGCCAGCCCTCTAGGAAGTGAGGAGCGCCTCTGGCGGCTGCCCACCATCTGGGAACTGAGAAGTGCCTCTGCCCGGCTGCCAACCATCTGGGAAGTGAGGAGCGCCTCTGCCCAGCAGCCAACCATCTGGGAAGTGAGAAGCATCTCTGCTGGGCAGCCAACCAGCTGGGAAGTGAGGAGCGCCTCTGCCCAGCTGTCCAAATGACTGGGAAGTGAGGAGCCCCTCTGCCTGGCTGCCAACCATCTGGGAAGTGAGGAGCACCTCTGCCCAGCTGCCCACAGTCTTGGAAGTGAGGAGTGCCTCTGCCCAGCTGCCAATGGTCCGGGAAGTGAGGAGCGCCTCTGCCCAGCTGCCCACAGTCTGGGAAGTGAGGAGCGCCTCTGCCCAGCTGCCAACAGTCCAGGAAGTGAGGAGCGTTTCTGTCCAGCTGCTAATCATCCAGGAAGTGAGGAACACCTCTGCCCGGTTGCCAACCTTCCGGGAAGTGAGGAGCGCCTCTGCCCAGCTGCCCAAAGTCCGGGAAGTGAGGAGCACCTCTGCACAGCTGCCAACGGTCCGGGAAGTGTGGAGCTCCTCTGCCAGGCTGCCAACCATCTGGGAAGTGAGGCACACCTCTGCCTGGCTGCCGACCATCTGGAAAGTGATGAAGGCCTTTGCCTACCCACCGTCTGGGAAGTGAGGAGCGCCTCTGCCCAGCTGCCCACAGTCCTGGAAGCAAGGAGTGCATTTGCCTGGCCGCCAATCATCTGGGAAGTGAGGAGCCCCTCTGCCCAGCTGCCCAAAGTCTGGGAAGTGAGGAGCACCTCTGCCCAGCTGCCAACCATCTGGGAAGTGAGGAGCGCCTCTGCCCAGCTGCCCACAGTCTGGGAAGTGAGGAGCGCCTCTGCCTCGTTGCCAACTGTCCGGGAAGTGAGGAGCACCTCTGACCAGCTGCTGACAGTCCAGGAAGTGAGGAGCATTTCTGCCCAGCTGCCAATCATCTGGGAAGTGAGGAGCACCTCTGCCTGGTTGCCAACCTTCTGGGAAGTGAGGAGCGCCTCTGCCCAGCTGCCCAAAGTCTGGGAAGTGAGGAGCACCTCTGCCCAGCTGCCCAAAGTCTGGCAAGTGAGGAGCACCTCTGCACAGCTGCCAACAGTCCGGGAAGTGTGGAGCTCCTCTGCCAGGCCGCCAACCATCTGGGAAGTGAGGTGCACCTCTGCCCGGCTGCCAACCATCTGGGAAGTGATGAGGGCCTCTGCCCACCCACCATCTGGGAAGTGAGGAGCACCTCTGCCCGGCCGCCGCCCCATCTGGGAAGTGAGGAGCATCTCTACCCGGCTGCCCACAGTCCTGGAAGCGAGGAGTGCATTTGCCCAGTCGCCAACCATCTGGGAAGTGAGGGGCACCTCTGAGGAGCGCCTCTGCCCTGCTGCCAGCCATCTGGGAAGTATGGAGCGCCTCTGCCCAGCTGCCAACCGTCTGGGAAGTGAGGAGTGCCTCTCCCTGGCTGCCCAAATAACTGGGAAGTGAGGAGCATCTCTGCCCAGCAACCAACCATCTGGGAAGAGAGGAGCACCTCTGCCCAGCTGCCAACTCTCTGGGAAGTAAGGAGCCTCTTTGCCCAGCTGCCAACCATCCTGGAAGTGAAGAGCGCCTCTGCCCATCTGTCCACAGTCCGGGAAGTGAGGAGCCTCTCTCCCCGGCTGCCAACTGTCTGGGAAGTGAGGAGTGCCTCTGCCTGGCCACCACTCCTTCTGGGAAGTGAGAAGTGCCTCTGTCCGGCCGCTGTGGAACCTTCCAAGTGTGAAGTGACGGCCTTGTGTGTGATCTTTTCTGTCTTCCCCAAGTTTGCATTTTCGACATTAACGTTTACTTTTTAATTAAAAGTTTACAAAAAGTTTTTTATTCATCTCTGATATTTTCTAATTTCCCTTGTGATTGCTTCTTTGACCTGTTGATTAAGAGTGTATTGGTTAATTTTCATGTATTTGTGAATTTGCATTTTCCTTTTGGTCTAGATTTCTAATTTTATTCATTGTGATTAGAACAGATAACTTTGTATGACTTCTACCTTTTTTAATTTTTTTTTTTTTTCAGAGTTTTGCTCAACAAGAGTTTTGCTCTTGTTGCTCTGGCTGGAGTGCAATGGTGCAATCTCAGCTCACCGCAACCTCTGCCTCCCAGGTTCAAGTGATTCTCCTGCCTCAGCCTCCCGAGTAGCTGGGATTACAAGCGTGCGCCACCATCCCGGGCTAATGTTTTTGTTTTTTGTTTGTCTGTTTGTTTGTTTTTGTACAGATGGGATTCCTTCCTGTTGGTCAGGCTGGTCTTGAACTCCCGACCTCAGGTGATCCACCCGCCTTGGCCTCCCAAAGTGCTGGGATTACAGGCGTGAGCCACCATGCCCGGTCTACCTTTTAAAATTTACTAAGACTTATTTTGTGGCCTAATGTATGGTCCATCCTGGAGAATGCTCCATGTGCAGTAGAGAAGAATCTGTATCTTGTTGTTGGTGGATGGATGTTTTGTAGATATTTGTTCGGTCTAGTTGATTTAAGGCATTGTTGATCTTCTTTTGTCTAGATGGTCTATTCATTATTGAAAGTGGAGTATTAAGGTACCCTAGAATTATTATAGTATCCTTCGGTTTTATAACTTCAATTTCCTTTATTTTATTTGAGAAGAATTAGAAAAAAAAATCCAGGTCAATCAATTAGGTTTAATTAGAACTCTTATAATATTTTATTCTAGGGAAATTGAAGGAAATTAGTATTTGTAACTATCTACCATATGGAAGGAACTGTATTCATTTCCTTTACTATTATTTCATTCAGATCTTTACAAGAATAAAAAGTATTGTAGCCAGATGTAGTGCCTCATGTTTGTAGTCCCAGTACATTGGGAGGCCAAGGCAGGAGGATCACTTGAGGCCAGGAATTTGAGACCAGCCTGAGAAACAGAGTGAGACCTTGTCTCTACAAAAACTAAAAATATTAGCCCGGCGTGGTGGTGCACACCTGCAATCCCAGCTACTCTGGGGATTGAGGTGGGAGAATTGCTTGAGCCTGTGAAGTCCAGCCTGCAGTGAATGGTGACTGCCCCACTGCACTCCGGCCTGGGCAACAGAGTGAGATTCTGTCTCAAAAAGAAAAAAAAAAAGTATCGAGTCCACTATTTTACTAATGAAAAAACTCAAAGTCAAGTTGCCTAAGAAACATGCCCAAGATTACACAATTAGTAAATGGTGGGACCACAGTTCAAACCCTCCCCCCTCTCATTCTAAAGCAATGCTCTTTGTATAGAATCACATTACCTGGAAAGTGCTTTAGCTTCTGTTTTATCTCATGGGAACCTGAAACCTCCTTTAAGTTGCATGAATCATGAGGAAGCTGAGGCTGAAAAAGTTAAATAACATTCTCAACGTATGAAGTAGTTAATTGACAAAATCAGAGGGTCTGCTGAACTTCTGATGTCTAAATTCCACTGTTTTTCTCTGACAGTACTGTAATGCTAGGTTTGAGGGCAGCCAAAGTAGTGATGTCATCCAATCTTTTAAAAGTTGTGCAAAAATTCACAACAGACTTACTTATTCCAAATAAAAAGCCAAATGTAAATATATATGGAATAGAATGATAATAGAAAGTATGTTTTCTTTTTTAAAATGAGTATGCATTTGGCCAGTAGGGGTGGTGCACACCTGCACTTTGGGAGGCAGAGGTGGGAGGATTGCTTGAGCCCAGGAGTTCAAGACCAGCCTGGGCAACATAGAGAGACCCAGTCTCTACCAAACAAACAAAAATTAGGCAGGCATGGAGGTGCATGTCTGTGGTCCCAGCTACTCAGTAGGCTGAGGAAGGAGGATCGCTTGAGCTTGAGGCTGCTATGAACTGAGATCATGACTCTGCACTCCAGCCCCTGGGTGATAGAGCAAGACTTTGTCTCAAAAAAGAAAAAAAAGAAAGAAAAGAGTATGCATTTAGAAAGAGGATTTACGCAGCTGAAGCACTGGAGAGCTGTGGAACCTTTACATGTTAACAGCAGTCACTACTTCCTACCCACCATCCCCAGCCACCAATCAGTAGTTTCAGATCTAAGAGAGCAAACAGATCATCTCTTTTTCTTTTTTTTTTGAGATGGAGTTTCACTCCTGTCGCCCAGGCTGGATTGCAATGGCACCATCTCGGCTCACTGCAACCTCTGTCTCCCAGGTTCAAGCGATTCTCCTGCTTCAGCCTCCCAACTAGCTGGGATTACAGGCACCCACCACCACGCCTGGCTAATATTTTGTATTTTTAGTAGAGACACGGTTTCACCATGTTGGCCAGGCTGGTCTCTAACTCCTGATCCCAAGTGATCCACCTGCCTTGGCCTCCCAAAGTGCTGGGATTACAGGTGTGAGCCACTGCGCTCAACCTCTTTTTCTTTTTTTTAAGAGATAGTGTCTTGCTCTGTTGCCCAGGCTGCAGGGCAGTGGCATGATCATATCTCACTTCCCCTGTAGCCCTGTCTCAGCCTCCTGAGTAGCTGAGATGATAGGGGCATGCCACCACACTTGGCTAACTTTTTAAATTTGTTGTAGCAATGGAAATCTCACAATGTTTCCCAGGCTGGTCTCGAACTCCTGGACTCAAGCGATTCTCCTGCCTCGCCTCCCAAAGTGCTGGGATTACAGGCATGAGCCACTGCTCCCGGCCTTTAACAGAGCATCATGAAGCTTCCCTGGTAGATCTCTAAACTGGCTCTAAGTGGTTTAAGCTAACTTTGGGTGGAGTTATGGTTAGCAAGCAGGGAAGCCTCCCTGCCCTTCTCACTGTTTATATTGTCACTCCTAATAGGGAAATGATCAGCCCCTGCCTTCCCTTGTCTCTTCTGATTAGAATCACTGGTACCCTTCATTATAGCCATCAGACTCAGTGTGTTCCTGAGCCAGACCTGCCCTGGGCAGAAGTTGATCAGCAGTCTCAGCCCTGCCAGGAGGAGAGAAGCCCAGAATTTTTCTTCCTCCCTACTGCTACCTACTGTTACCTGTCCTCCTGGTGCCACCTGTTGCTAACCTGGCTCTGTTGTTCTCCCCAGAAATAAGTGAGGGTTCTAGGCTGGACACAGTGGCTCATGCCTGTAACCCTAGCACTTTGGAAGGCCAAGGTGGGCGGATCACCTGAGGTCAGGAGTTCGAGACCAGCCTGGCCAATAAGGCAAAACCTCCTCTCTACTAAAAATTCAAAAATTAGTCAGGCGTGGTAGTGGGTGCCTGTAATCTCAGCTGCTCAGGAAGCTGAGGCAGGAGAATCGCTTGACCTGGGAGGCAGAGGCTGCAGTGAGCCGAGATTGCGCCACTGCACTCCAGTCTGGGTGACAGAGTGAGACTCCATCTCAAAATTAAAACAAATAAACAAACAAAAAAAGTATCAGCTGGGGGGCCGAGAGGCTCCATAATGCCACAAGCACAGAACCTAGAGAAACCCAAGAACTGTCAACTCTATCTTGGCTTGTTGGGTTATCATGAAAATCTATTTGTCGAAGGTGATGGATAGGTCATATTGGATGGATCAGTCTGTTGACTTGGCTTATAACTTGTCAATATTTTGGGGAGTGCTGTGCAGGCCTGCATTCGTACTCTTTCTCCAGACCCTGCAGAATTTAGAGTTAGGCTTGGGCTCAGCTCTTGACTCATCGGCCCCTGATTTCTTCATTCCCGCTTGCTCATGTTCTTGAGATGCCATATGTCTCATACCATGGTTGAGCCAAAGCATGATATAAATAGCATTTCAGGAGGGAGAGAAGCCAAGTCTGTTCAGAAAAGTTAGAATATTTTAATAAAAATAAAAGGGGCTTGGGCCGGGCATGGTGGCTCAGTCCTGTGATCCTAGCACTTTGGGAGGCCGAGGCAGGTGGATCGCTTGAGGTTAGGAGTTGGAGACCAGCCTGGCCAACATGGTGAAACCCCATCTCTACTAAAAATACAAAAATTAGCCGTGTGTCATGGCACGTGTCTGTAAACCCAGCTACCCAGGAGGCTGAGGCAGGAAAATCGCTTGAAGCTCAGAGGTGGTAGTTGCAATGAGACAAGATCGCACCACTGCACTCCAGCCTGGATGACAGAGCAAGACTCTGTCTCAAAACAAACAAACCAACCAACCAGGGGCTTTAAAAACCAATATACCTATATTCAAATCTCAGCACAGCTAGCAAGTAATTTGACTTCTCCAGGTTCTAATTTCCTAATTTATATGTATCTAATTTGATATGTCAGGGGAATAATCTCCACCTTAAGACTGGGAAGCATTCACAAAATGTGTGAGTCAAGGGCCTTACAACAGTGCTTGGCTCACCATCCACACTCAGTAAACAAGCCTGTCTTGTGAGTGATGGAAAGCTGTATTCTCCTAGGACAGAATCTACCACCTTGAACTTGTGCTCTTTTTTTTGTTTTTTGTTTGTTTGTTTGTTTTTTTGAGACGGAGTCTCACTCTTGTCGCTCATGCTGGAGTGCAGTGGCACAATCTCAGCTCACCGCAACCTCCACCTCCTGGGTTCCAGCAACTTTCCTCCCTCAGCCTCCTGAGTAGCTGGGACTACAGGCGTGCCCCACCATGCCCAGCTAATTTTTGTATTTTTAGTAGAGATAGGGTTTCACCACATTGGTCAGGCTGGTCTTGAACTCCTGACCTCAGGTGATCCACCCACCTCAGCCTCCCAAAGTGCTGGGATTACAGGTGTGAGCCACCGTGCCCAGCCTCTTGTGCCCTTTTCCAGTGCATTGCATGGGAAAGACATTTGCTACTGGAACCTGACATCCATGCCAAAAGTGATACTTTCCCCAGCCTGCCCTTTATTCTCTGACACCTACCTTCACTCAAACTTCTCAGCCTCAGTTTTCTTTTCTTTCTTTCTTTTTTTTTCTTATTTCCATACGTTATTGGAGAACATGTGGTGTTTGGTTACATGAGTAAATTCTTTAGTGGTGATTTGTGAGATTTGGTGTACCTGTCACCCGAGGAGTATACACTACACTCAATTTGTAGTCTTTTATTCCTCATCCCTTTCCCTTCCTGTCCCCCTGAGTCCCCAAAGTCCATTGTATCATTCTTATGCCTTTGCATTCTCATAGCTTGGTTCTCACAAGTGAGAACATACGATGTTTTGTTTTCCATTCCTGAGTTACTTCACTTAGAATAATAGTCTCCAATCTCATCCAGGTCACTGCAAATGCCATTAATTCATTCCTTTTATGGTTGAGTAATATTCCATTGTATATATACATACCACATTTCTTTATTCACTCTTTGATTGATGGGCATTTGTGTTGGTTCCACATTTTTGCAATTGCAAATTGTCCAGCCTCAGTTTTATGACTAGCATTGAGATCTTGCTTTTCTAGCCTCACGGGGCGACGGGTGGGGGGCGGAGGGGTGGTGAGGTGCTTCTGTCTCATGTCACCATTGTTTGGAATGATTATCTAGAATTTTGTCTTCGTGGGTTGGCCCCTGTCCCCTGTCCCTTTTTGACCTGAGTCTTCCCCATAAGTGGTTTTGGACTGTATATTCTTATGTATCCAGACTGACTTTCCTCCCTCCCAGACTCTGGCTGTTGCAACAGGTCTCAGTGCAAGCACTATCTGTGGCTCAAGCAGGGCTATGAATAAAAAAGATGTCCTCCTTCTCCTTAGGAAATAGCAGGCAGATGATGAGGTAATTGCTAAGGCCAGGAAAGGAGAGAGGAAGTCCTCTGTAGCACTGAGAACAGGAAATAACAAACTCCATGCCCTGTAAATTGCCAGGCAAGCTAGTGTGTCACTCCTCCAAGTCTTTTTTTTTTTTTTTTTTTTTTTTTTGAGACAGAGACTTGCTCTGTTGACCAGGCTGGAGTCCAGTGGCACAATCTCAGCTCACTGCAACCTCCACATCCTGGGTTCATGTGTTTCTCTTGTCTCAGCCTCCCTAGTAGCTGGGACTACAGGTGCGCACCACCATGCCCAGCTAATTTTTGTATTTTTAGAGTGATGGGATTTCACCACGTTGTCCAGGCTGGTCTTGAACTTCTGACCTCAAGCTATCCACCCACCTCGGCCTCCCAAAGTGCTAGGATTACAGGCATAAGCCACAACACCCAGCCATGTCTTTAGTATAATTTGGTTTTCTTTAGATTTCTTGGCAAAATTGAATTTTAAAACTTCGAACTTGTGTTAGTTCAACCAACAAAGAATGCATTTTAGAGACATGTAGAGTTCTAGACCCAAAGTATCAGATGGAACCTGGCTGAACATGTGTAGGGGATATAGAAGAGGTCAACATTTGGTAGGGAGAGAAGCTAGGATGACTGGAATTACTATGATCTTTCCACTAAGAAATGTTCTCAAGAGACTGTGGTCTAACCAATGGCACCCAAAGGGGAAGCTTGGACCTAGCCTTGCCTTTGTTTTTTCCAATGCCTTCCCACAGCCATTAAATCCTACACTTTCACATTAAATCTTAATATATCCCTTGATTTGCTCAGCTCCAACCTCCTCTCTTCATCTCCACTGCTATGGTCTTTTGTCAGGTCCACAGTTTCCTAACTGCTTCTGATGCCTCCAATCTAGAGAGATCCTCTCTGGTTCCAAAGTACAAAGAAACCGTATGCATGGAAGTCTCCAGGGGCTTGTTCAGAAGGATGGATCTAACGGCTGGAGAGAAGACAGAAAGGCACAGAGAAGTCATTCCCAGAGCATAGTGGTCAGAGAATGGCCAGACATCCTAGGTGCTCTCAACACCATGGAGGAAGAGAGAGGAAGAGAGGGCTTTGAGTGTGAATTAGAAGGAATGAATTGGCTCTGAAATGGCTGGACCTTCCAGAAGTCCTAAATTTGCACTTGAGAAAGAATATCTGTTAGTTTAGGTGGTCAGGCAACGGGGAAGCAGGTATTGAGACAGAGGCTAGAGAAGTGCAGGGAGTTTATCTGCAAAATGGTGTCAGGGAACTGGAGTGAGGGACCAGAGGAGAAAGATGAAAAACCAACTCAAAGATAAGTCACAGAGGACGGGCATGGTGATTCACGCCTGTGATCTCAGCACCTTGGGAAGCTGAGGTGGGTAGATCACACGAGACCAGCCTGACCAACATGGTGAAACCCCGTCTCTACTAAAAATACAAAAATTAGCCAAGCATGGTGGCAGGTGCCTGTAATCCCAGCTACTGGGGAGGCTGAGGCAGAAGAATCGTTTGAACCCAGGAGGTGGAGCTTGCAGTGAGCCGAGATCGCACCACTGCACTCAGCCTGGGTGAGAGAGTGAGACTCCATCTCAAAAAAGAGAAAAAAAAGGTAAGTCATAGAGTCAACTACTGCTATGGAAAACTGGAGCTTACTCCTTGGGCCTAGAACCAATAACAACTTTCATCATATGAGTAAACCTTCTATGTAATTCTCAAATAGCCCAGGTTTACTTTTTTATGTTTCCAGCCAGGATCCTGGATATGATTCAGTGGATTGGGCAAGAAATTTAGCCTCCTAAGAGTCTGAAATCCAGAGCAGGGAGTTAAATCCAGGCCAATGAGAGAGATTCTGGAAACAATACCATCTGCTCGGGCAAAGGGGTTGCAGACACTAGGTGAAAATTAAGGAGTCCAGGTCCCAGAAGGTTAAAGTTGAGAAGCAGAATTCCGACCTTTTGGATGTAGAATGTGGAATGATACAAAATGGAGACTTAGAAGCATGAGAGAGGGTGAGAGGGAGGTGGATAATAAAAACATACCTAATGAGTACGATGTACGTTATTTGAGTGATGGATACTCTAAAAGCCCTGATTCACCATTATGCAATCTATCCATAAATTACACTTGTAACCCATAATTTTTTTTTTTTTTTTGAGATGGGGTCTTACTCTGTAGCCCAGGTTGGAGTGCAGTGGCATGATCGTAGCTCACTATAGCCTCAAACTCCTGGGCTGAAGCAATTCTCCTGCCTCAGCCTCTGGAGTAGTGGGGAATACAAGCACAGGTCACCTTGCTCAGCTAATTTTTTTATTTTTATTTTTATTTGCAGAAATGAGGTCTCACCCTGTTGCCCAGGCTGATCTCAAACTCTTGGTCTCAAGCAACCCTCCAGCCTCAGCCTCCCAAAATATTGGGATTATAAGCATGAGCCACTGTGCCTGGCCACTTTATACAGATTTTAAAAAATAAAATAAAATAAGAATTCAGACTTTTTTTTTTTTTTTTTGAAACAGAGTTTTGCTCTTGTTGCCCAGGCTGGAGTGCAATGGCATGATCTCGGTTCACCGCAACCACTGCCTCCCAAGTTCTAGTGATTCTTCCACCTCAGACTCCTGATTAGCTGGGATTATAGGCATGCGCCACCACGCCCGGCTAATTTTGTATTTTTGGTAGAGACGGGGTTTCTCCATGTTGGTCAGGCTGGTCTCGAACTCCCAACCTCAGGTGATCCGCCTGCCTAGGCCTCCCAAAGTGTTGGGATTACAGGCTTGAGCCACTGTGCCTGGCCGAATTCAGACCTTTTAAGGCAGCTTATGAAATATATTTCTGAACTGTTGATGGGGGTCCCTGGCTTCTGGCACCTGTGAGTCAAGTGTAGCCCCACAGTGTGAACTCTCCACACTTCAGGTTGTGTATGGATAAAAGATGAGGAGATTTCTATAGGAATCTCTGCTGTGTTCTTGGACTGGTCTAGGGCAAAGAGTTGCCATGTCACCCACTTAAAGCTGGAGGAAGTCTGCTTAAAAGAGCTCACCAGAGGCTGGGCGCCATGGCTCATGCCTGTAATCCTAGCACTTCGGAAGGCTGAGGCAGGTGGATTGTGAGGTCAGGAGTTTGAGACCAGCCTGCCCAAGGTGGTGAAACCCTGTCTCTACTAAAAATACAAAAATAAGCCACGCACAGTGGCGGGCACCTGTGATCCCAGCTACTCAGGAGGCTGAAGCAGGAGGACCGCTTGAACCTGGAAGGTGGAGGTTGCAGTGAGCCAAGATGGTACTACTGCACTCTAGCCTGGGTAACAGAACAAGACTACATCTGAAAAAAAAAAAAAAAAAAAAAAAAAAAATAAGGCTTACCAGAGTAGCCACTGGAGTCAGAGATGGAGCTGGAAAAACTTGCACCTAGGATTTGTCCAGTGTTTTCAAGGAGTTCTGAGAGTCTCATGTTCTGTGAGGCCAGTCAGTTTCAGTTCATTGTCACCCAGTTCCAGTTCAACGGTACCACCAGGGGTGGTGTGGGGCTGAGTATTTGTTGCTGTCTATTGACTCCTTCCCTCTTCTCTGTTCTACTCTGTCTGTGCCCCAGAAGAGTGACCTGCTTGGGCCACAGCAATGGGCTTCTTCATTCTCCAGCTTCTGATTGGACACAGGCCATGGGAGAGGGCAGAGCAGAGTCAGGGGCTTTATCCTCTGGGCTCCATTCCTGCAAGATTGCCATGGCCTGGCTGCATCCCTCCATGAAATGCTACAGCTGAGTCAGCACTTCCTCTCTGAGCTCTGCTAAGCTCTCCCTCCCTTGTGTCCCTAAAAGTCACAGTTGTGTCTATGGTTCCTCTTATTCAATTTTCCTGCAAAGACCCAGTTTGAATGTGCCATCTAGATCTAGGGCCTCTACGGGATGAACTAGGTTTCTCAATCAGGATCAATTCCGGAGAAGAGTGGAGGTGGGATCCAAGATGCAGCAGTGGACTTGGGGGAACCAGCCAGCCTGAGGGGCCGTCCTCAGCGAGGGAGGGGGTGGTGAGGAGGTTGCAACCTGATGTCAGAGAAGCATTGGAGGCTTGGTTTCCTCCAGAAAATTATGTATCTATCTATCTATCTATCTATCTATCTATCTATCTATCTATCTATCTATCTATCATCTATCTATCTATTTATTTATTTATTTGAGTCAGAGTCTCGCTCTGTTGCCCAGGCTGGAGTCCAGTGGTGTGATCTCGGCTCATTGAAACCTCCACCTCCTGGGTTCCAGAGATTGTTGTGCCTCAGTCTCTCGAGTAGCTGGGATTACAGGCATGCACCACCACACCTGGCTAATTTTTATATTTTTTAGTAGAGATGGGATTTCACCATGTTGGCCAGGCTGGTCTCAAACTCCTGACCTCAAGCGATCCACCCACCTCGGCTTCCCAAAGTGCTGGGATTACAGGCATGAGCCACTGCGCCGGGCCCCTCCAGAAATTTAGACCTGGGCTGAGGAGCAGCATACCACGTCTAGACTCCCCTCCTCCCTTTCTAGAGAGGCAGGCACTCCTAAAACTGCCAGTCTGAACCCCAAGGCTCTGGACAAACTATTGGAGAGGGCTGCAGGAGCAGATACACAGCCAAGAGGTCTCATGCTTACAACTAGGTGCTCAGGATTTTGCCATAGAACACAGGAAAACCCCAAAGTGGAACACAGCCGTGTGTGCATTGAACATGCACCTATATGTGACAGGTGCTTTACCTGTATTCCCATGTATTCGTCATTACTACCCTCGAGGCGGCTTTTTCCATCCTCGTTTTATGAATAAGAGTTATGAGGCTTATGACAGTTCATGAAATATCCCAAGATCACACAGACAGGAACTTGTGCCTTGTGCAGAATGGTTCTCACTCATATGCTGTTTCCACTGGACTAAGCTAGTCCTTGAATGCACACCAGGGCATCCTTTGCTAGAATTTTAGGGTAAGGACGTCTGTTAAGTGGCTATTGGCTTGTCCTGCAGTTTGATAGCATGTTATAGGTGACATATACACCAATTCACTCCTTCCTGAGCTAGGAGGACCTCGCTCACTGCAGGCTGTGCAGATAAACCTGTTGAACATTTCTCCCCCATCCGTCCTCACGCCCCCCTTCCAGCCAAGTCTCCACTAACGTTGATCTGAAGGGTAATTTTCTTGTCAACTGTATAATTAATGGGCCGCACACTACCGTGGCCCTCTGTTATTCTGCTTCTCGAAGATATATTTCAAAATGAATAGCTGTTTAACCAATCACTCGGCAGACGTCTTACCCTTAGGTGTTTCTGTCTGTCAGCATTTTCACACATTGAGACTGAAGTAGGCAGAATCAATTTGGATATCGGCTCTGGGAAAGTGAAAGCAGCCATGAATTAGAAATTCTTGGAATATCAGAACTTGTCGCCTATTAGCGCTGAACAGTGTGTGGATTGCCCTTGCAAGCTCCTTGGCCCTGCGCTCTGGCATTCCGGCATTGCCTGCCAATTTTAATAAAACGAGAAGAGGTCTTTTGTGGTGGCTTTAAGATAATGTCTTGTACGGCATGCATGTCTGATCTTTTGCAGTAATCAGAGCATTTATTTTGCTGTTCCCTGCACAAAGGCTCAAAGCGGTAGTTTTACAAGAGAATTTCAAAACTACTGACAACCCTGGGAATGTGAGAATGAAAAAGGCATGCATTTATTCAGAAAGAAAATTCTGACACATCAGAGGGGTGCTTTGGAGGTGCCTTTTATGCGAAGGGAGTTTTGCCAGAAGCTTGCTAATGTAGAGGATGACAAAAAGGATTTGGGAGATATGTTCAGTTACTGGAACCAACGTCTCCAATTGACCTCACCTGTTGCCCTGCCCAATACTGGTTAAAGAGGCAGAAGTAATTGTAGGAACCTTATTAGTGCCCAGTTCTTGTGCCCGTGCCCTACCATGGAGGTCACCTGCAGAAGTCCTATATTAGTCCATTTCACGCTGCTGATAAACACATACCCGAGACTGGGTAATTTATAAAGAAAAAGAGGTTTAATGGACTCACAGTTCCACGTGGCTGGGGAGGCCTCACAATCATGGCAGAAGGCGAAAGGCACAGCTTACATGGCGGCAGACAAGAGAAAATGAGAACCAAGCGAAAGGGGTTTCACCTTATCAAACCATCAGATCTCGTGAGACTTATTCACTACCAAGAGAACAGCCCCCATGATTCAATTATCTCCCACCAGGTCCCTCCCACAACACATGGGAATTATGGGAGCTACAATTCAAGATGAGATTTGGGTGAGGACACAGCTAAACCATGTCAAGTTCCATACGTGTTGGTGGCCTCCTAAGTCTCCAGTGGGGTTCTTTAGTCAAAGGACTGTGCTCACCTCTTGAGTTGGGCACAAGTTGGATGTGCCTGGATTTAACTCCACAGGAGTGACCATCCACCTATGAGTGACAGAAGCTGGTGAGTAAATACTCCAGTGTCTTCACTTCTCTGATGAGCCTTGCCTTAGTGTGCTCTCCTTCTGTCTTAGAGTTTCTGACAGTCTATGGAGTGGAAACCCCTAGGATCTAACATGCCCAGAACCCAAAGGTGGGGAAATGATTGCCCCTTGGCCCAAGCTTTAGAGGTAAATGTTACCCTTTTCTGCACTACCATGGACATTCTACCTGCCTATATTAGTCAGGGTTCTCTAGAGGGACAGAACAAATAGGCCATATGTATATGTAAAAGGGAGTTTAGGCCAGGTATGGTGGCTGACGCCTGTAATTCCAGCACCTTGGGAGGCTGAGGGAGGTGGATTACCTGAGATCAGGAGTTTGACACCAGCCTGGCCAATATGGTGAAACCCCACCTCTACCAAAAATACAAAAAAAATAGCTGGGTGTGGTGGCCCATGCCTGTAATCCCAGTCACTCGGGAGGCTGAGGCAGGAGAATCTCTTGAATCCAGGAGGCAGAGGTTGCACCGCTGCACTCCAGCCTGGGCAACAAGAGCGAAACTCCATCTAAAAAAAAAAAAAAAAAAAAGGGAGTTTGTTAGGGATAATTGGCTTACATAATTACAGGGCGAAGTCTCACAAGGGGTCTTCTGCAAGCTGGGGAAAGAGAGAAGCCAGTAGCGTGGCTCAGACCAAGCCTGAAATCCTCACAATCAAGAAAGCCGACAGGGCAACCCCCAGTGTGAGGCTGAAGGCCTGAGAGTCCCTGGGAGACTGCCGGTGCAAGTCCCAGAGCCCAACGGCTGAAGAACCTGGAGCCTGATGTCCAAGGGCAGGAGGAAAGGAAGCAAAGTGCCTTGCACAGGAAGAGAGAAAGAGCAAGATACTCCCTGAGCTGCTCAGCACTCTTCTTCTGCGTACTTTGTTCTGGCCGCTTCTGCAGCCAATTGGATGGTCCCTACCCACATTAAGGATGGGTCTTCCTCTTCCAGTCCACCTACTCAAATGTCAGTCTCCACTAGAAACACTCTCACAGACACATCCAGAAACAATGCTTCACCAGCCATCTAGACATCCCTCCATCCCATCAACTTGACACCTGTTATTGACCATCACACTGACTAAAAGGATCTCAGAGGGACCAAGACTCAGGTGCCTGCTGAAGGGAGGACCAGCCCACAGGCATACTCCTATATCTGCCTTTGCTCCTTTATTTTTATTTCTTTATTTATTTTTAATCTTTTCAGACAGAATCTTGCTCTGTTACCCAGGCTAGAATGCAGTGGTATGATCATAGCTCACTGCAGCCTTGACTTCCTGGGCTCAAATGATCCTCCTGCCTCAGTCTCCTGAGTATCTGGTACTACAGGTGTGCACCACCAAAGCCAGCTAATTTTTAAAAAAAATGTTGAAAGAGGGTCTTACTATGTTGTCCAGGCTGGTCTCAAACTCCTGGGCTCAAGTGATTCTCCCACCTCAGCCTCCCAAGTCACTGGGCTTATAGGTGTGAGCATCACACCTGGCTTTTCCCTGCTTTCTGGATACACTTTTCGCAGACCTCTACTCCTCACTCCCTTAAACAAAAAACAAAACAACAATGAAAAACTACCTGGGCAAAGTCTTTCTCTTAGGTTGTTCTCTCCATAGGAATATTGGCTACAATAGAAGAGTCTCTAGAAAGCAGATCTTCGGGATGGGGTTCAGAGACCTGATCCCTCACTCCTCAGTTAGGTGCAAACTGGACCCCGTTGACTGGGAAAGTGGGGTAGTGCTAACCTCTGGCCTGCAGAAGGCTCACAGTGACTAAGCCTCTCACAGATGGTGGATCAAGCTGAGATTTGAATAGAAGGCAAAGCTTCGACTTACTTCAAGCATGCACATTTGATGAGTATGAGGTTGCTGGTCATGATAAAGCTTCTGGAGTTGGCTGGCTTCTGTCAACAGCTTTGGAAGAGTTGAAATAAAATGAGAAGACTCAGGTTAGTCAGCCGTCAACTCAGAAAGCCTTCATGGACACATTTACAGAGATTTCCGTCTCTCTTAGCTGTAGGACAAAACGTGCTGAAAATTTGGCACAGCAGTTTATGGTCAGAACAGGAAAAGAAAACGAATTGCATAGCCTTGATAGGTATCCTTTGTCAAAATGAAAACCCAAAAGACTGAGACCCTGAGACAGAGATGGGGATATTTGTTGGATAGCCTGAGAATATTGAAACCTGGATTCTCCTGAATCTTTCAGTCCAGCAGAAGCAGTGCTCTCCCTTGATAGAGAAGAGCAGCTTCTCTTTGCCTGGAAGTCTGCAAAAAGCTCACATGAAGACACCCTGCAAGATGATATTTGCTCACCGTATCACCCATTCCTGTGTCTTCACATGGCCAGGCTATAGCCCAGCCCAGCCACTTTGGGCTTTGGAAGATAATAATGTACTCACCCAAAGAACTGCAAGACTCAGCTGGGTGTGGTGCCTCACACCTGTAATCCCAGCACTTTGGGAGGCCGAGGTGGGCGGGTCACCTGAGGTCAGGGGTTCGAGACCAGCCTGGTCAACATGGCGAAACCCTGTCTCTATTAAAAACACAAAAAATTAGCCAGGTGTGGTGGTGGGCACCTGTAGTCCCAGCTACTTGGGAGGTTGAGGCAGGAGAATGGCTTGAACCCAGGAGGCGGAGGCTGCAGTGAGCTGAGATTGCACCACTTCACTATAGCCTGGATGGCAGAGTGAAACTCTGTCTCAAAAAAAAAAAAAAAAAGAAAGAAAAGAATAGTAAGACTGAGCAAATATACATTGAGAGGATTTATAGGAGAGAAACTTGTGGTGTTAGGCCAGGAGTGCTGCTGCTGCTAGTGGTGGGGTAGCATATACAGGTAAAAAAGGAAAATTTATTAATATGAGAACACTTTCCCATAACTTAGGGGTTAATATCTTGGTGAGGTCACATGAAACCAGTCCTCCAATCTTGCTGGGTGGGCTCCTTGAAGCTTATGCAGGATGATGGTTCTTAGTAAATGGGTTAGTCTATTCTCTTGCTGCTAATAAAGACATACCCAAGACTAGGTAATTTATAAAGGAAAGAGGTTTAACCGACTCACAGTTCCACAAGGCTAGGGAGGCCTCACAATCATGGTAGAAGAAGGAACAGCAAAGAGACATCGTACATGGCAGTAGGCAAGAAACAGCATGTTCAGGGGAACACCCATTTATAAAACTGACAGATCTCATGAGACTTACTCACTATCATGAGAGCAGCACGGGAAAGACCTAAACTCATGATTTAATTACCTCCCACTGGGTACCTCCCATGACATGTGGGGATTATGGGAGCTACAATTCAAGATGAGATTTGGGTGGGGACACAGCCAAACCATAGAAGTAAATAAGGTGGCTTTGCCAACTTTGTGTTGGCAGAATATTGAGTGAGCAGTCAAAAGACTGAGAGAGGTGGGAATGTTAGAAAGATTCATTATGTGAAACCAGAAAATCCATCCTTTTACGAAAAACTCTCTCTTACCTCACTCTCTTCACCAAGACAGTAAGAAATATGATGGTAAAGGAAGCACAGACTTCTTTGAGAGGTTCAGTGGTAGCTGTTTTCTGTTGGCTGAGGTTGGTACTAGGAGATGCTGCCATGAAGCTGAGCTTCCCATTGTCAACAGGGGTAATAGAATCTCAGAACTCCAGAAGCCTGGTGGTGGCATTTAACTGACAGGGCAAGGCAGAGTTAATTAATATAGTGGGCAATAAAGTTGGCATGGCAGCCAGTGTGCCCCGACCCACAGGGATCTATCACAATGACCATGGCATTCCTAGAGACAAGACAGAAAGTTGTCTAGGGTGTTATGTGACGTGGATAACCAGGAAAAAAAATTGAGTAAGAAGAATATTGGTAGCTGGTGCACCAGGAAGCTGATGCCAGCTGCTACAATGGAAGTAATGATGATTGAGTTTTCAGAACAAAGCTAGATGCTCTATTGAAGAGGAAGACAAGAGGATTCTGCAACCCCATCATAAGCATGTAGAGTATGTGAGTTCCCAAAGGAAGCTGCAGTCAGATTAACTGTGCACTGGAAATAGCTAGACTTTTCAAGAGCTGTGGGATGTAGTGTGAAATGATCCTGATAGCAGGGGACCTGAAACATTCACAAGGTCCCTTGTTTAGTACGGTGGCTTATGGAAACCAAGTGACAGATAGAGCTTTGACCCAAGTCTATGTCACAGAGGGCTCAAGAGATTTACAGAACTACCCTGTAAGTATCCTCCTAGCCTCCAAGTGTGTTATCTTATGGATACATGGAATACTCACATTGGTTTTCTGCCCTGTGTGGTAAGATCCTCTATTAAAAAAAACAAACAAAAAAAAAACAAGTAAAAGCCTGTTCTATGCGGAGATGCATAAGGGGAAAGGAAAAGTCACACACAATACTTTTAAGGGCAAACAACTTTTATCCCACGTAAATGGCAATGCAGATATAATAAGCAAATGATATAACAAGCAAATTGTAATGGGAAAGGGAGAAGGGAAAAGATATATATATATACTCACCAGACTATGGAGGATTCATCACCAGACTGGGAAGCAACAGCCTGGGCTCCAGAGTCGGCCACCCATTCATGCACAGCTGAGGAGAGGAATCATGAAGCTCCGACGCGGTCTGGGACCTTAGCTCTTTTTGTAACTAGTTGTGTGGCATGAGGCCCAGTCATGAGGGCCCTTCACAACTGGGCTCAAGGAACACAAAAAGATCAACTTGTTTTTGCGACTGTCTGTTGTTTTTCAGTAACTAATGTGTAGGAATAGATTGAAATAGAGATTTCTCTGAAACAGTACTGGATGAATGCCTCAAGGGGCTCATGCCCCCTCTTTTGGGACTTGGTGACCATTGTTTGTGTCCACGTTCAATTGAGTTCAAATTTAATATTTAACTTTTCCTCCACAAAGCCCAAAGCCATAGTGTATTCCAAGAGGAAGTAAAACAATAAATGCCACTTTCAAGGAGTTAAATGATGCAAGTGCGGTGATCCCACCAAATCCCATCAGCTCATCAACAAGGATCATCTAGATTATGATGGATGACAGTGGGCTGTTTTATCGCCTTCACCAGGTAATAGCCCCAATTGCAGCTGTGATCCCAGATGTGATATGTTTACTAGAACAGATCAACACAGCATCTGACACTTGATATATGATACTCAATATGTCAAATACATTCTTTTCAATCCCTATCATTAAGGAAGACCAAAGGCAGTTAACTTTTACACAGCAAGGACAGTAATACACATACCACTTGCCCTATGTTAAGTTACCTACTCTCTGTGGTAACATTTTCCACAGGGACCCTGGTCCTCTTGACATTCCACAGAACATCATAGTTGTCCACTATATCAATGACATCATGATCATTGGATTTGTTGAGCAGGAAATGTCAAGTACTCTGGGTGTACTAACATGATACTTGTTGCCAAAAGATGGAAGATAAGTTCTATGAAATTCAGAGTTCTGCCATATGAGTAGAGTATTTATGGATCCAGTCAGTGGTCTGGAGCATAAAGGGCAAAGTTAGTGAGCCATGTGGCCCCTACCATTAAGAAAGAGGCACTGTGCTTAGTTCATCCACAGATTGTGGAGGCAGCATGTACTACATGGGAACACACTGCTGTGACCCATTTATAGGATAATTCATAAGGCTGAAAGTTTGGATGGAGCCAAGAGGAAGCAGGAGCTCTGCAGCAGACAGAAGCTACGATGAAAGACATCCTGCTGTGAAGGCCTTATGCCCCAGCAGATTCCATAGTACTAGAGGTACCCCACAGATCCCCATAGGAAGCCACGGTGTAGACCCCTAGGATCCTGAAGCATTCTGGAGCAAGGTCATGCACTCTGTGGCAGAGAACGGCTTGCTGTTTGAAAAATCACCTCCAGCCATGTTATTGTGCCTTAGTAGAGACTGAACAACCGCAGGACCTCAGAAAAACGTTGCCCATCATTAGCTAAAAATTATGAAACACACTGGAATCATAAGCTTGGGTACATACAGCAACAATTTATTGTAGGATGGAAATGGTCCATTTAGAGTTGGATCTGAACAAGGCCAGAAAGCACACTTAGGAAGCATGAACTGATGGCCTAGACTTCCATGCCAAGTACCTCTAAAGCTTATACTTAGGGCATTGTGGATATTCCATCTGATCAGCTGTCAGAGGAGACATTCAGACACGGCTCACAGATAGGTTCATACACTGAGTATTATTTAATATTAGGCAGCATATAGGGCGTGGGAAAACACTACCCTGACCCCCATTTATAGAATAAGTCATAAGGGTGCCAGTTTGAACGGGACCAAGAGGAAGGGGGAACTGTGAAGCAGACAGAAGCTATAATTATATAATATACTATATATACTTATATGATTATATATTATATATTAACGTAAGCATATATAATATAATCATATCACTATATTTATATTATTATATTTACAATTGCATTATAATATATTAGTTATATTATATTCATTATAATATAATTTATATTTATGTAATTATAAATCATATAAATTAATATATAATTATTGTTAATATAATAATAATTATAATATAATGTAATAATATATAGTAATATATGCATATATAATATAATCATGTTACTATAATTGTGTATAATTATATAGTATTATCTTTTTTTTTTTTTGAGATGGAGTCTCTGTCACTCAGGCTGGAGTGCAGTGGCACAGTCTCAGCTCACTGCAACCTCCACCTCCCAAGCTCAAGCGATTCTGCTGCCTCAGCCTCCCAAGTAGCTGGAATTACAGGTGCACACCACCAGGCCCAGCTAGTTTTTGTACTTTTAGTAGAGATAGGGTTTCACCATGTTGGCCAAGCTGGTCTCAAACTCCTGACTTCAAGTAATCTGCCTGCCTTGGCCTCCCAAAGTGCCAGGACTGCAGGTGTGAGCCATTGCGCCCAACTTTTAATTATATATTATTATTTTATATAATTATGTATTACTAAATAGTATCATATGCATATATAAATATAATAAATATTGCAATTGATATATAATATAATTATAATATTTAATATGTTTCCACTCATGAAAATTGACTTTTGCTGTACTACAGCTCCACAACTGACTATCCCTGAAGGACAAGGGTGAAGAGGCTACTACCAGTGGGCAAAACTGTAAACAGTGTACTTTGTAACTGTACTTGTACTCCTGGCAGAGGCTCATGGCTTATCTGGTTGGTTGGAGGCATAAAAAGGCAAGACTGAAAGATCAGAGAAAAGAAAGTGGAAGGCAGAGGTGGGAGGACACGTGTGCTAATCTTTATGCCTCATTATTTTTTGGGTTTTTTGAAATAGAGTCTTACCCTGTCGCCCAGGCTAGAGTGCAGTGGTGCGATCTCTGCTCACTGCAACCTCCGCCTCCCAGATTCAAGCAATTCTCCTGTGTCAGCCACCCGAGTAGCTGGGATTACAGTTATGGGCCACCATCCCCCGCTAATTTTTTTGTATTTTTAGTAGAGACGGGGTTTCACCATATTGAACTCCTTACCTTGTGATCTGCCCACCTTGGCCTCCCAAAGTGCTGGGATTACAGGCGTGAGCCACTCCGCCCGGTCGATGCCTCGTTTTAATGCTCACCAGAGAACGTCTTCCCCACGATGGTTGGTTAGTGACCAGATGGATGGGATGACTCAGTGATGATAGGTGTTAGTCGTTGTCTCTCCTAGGCTATGTTGGTGCTTGTACAATTGGCTAAAGAGTTGGTCATGGGGAAGTTACCCATGGGTCCAAGATTGATCTAGTTGTTCCTATTGCTGAATATTTACCTTGCTAGCAGCAGAGATTGGCTCTGAGCATGTATTACAGTGCCATCCATGAGAAACCCCTCAAGGTGGTTATTAGGTGGCAAGTTGATTAAACTGATCTTCCTCCACCCTAGAGATGATAGTTTTTCACGTTTACTTGAATTATTACCTATTCCAAACGTGGTCTGTCTTCCCTGCCCTTGGTGCCTCTGCTGGCACTGCCATACAAGGGCTAGGGAATGCCTGATTTACTGATACGGAATTACCAACCACATTGCGTCAAAACAAGAGACCCATTAGGTCGGAGCAAAGGTAATTGCAGTTTTCACCATTACTTTTCAAGTATTCCATGTGCCCCACTTTACATTCCCTTATTTTATCTTTTGTCTGATTTGCCATGGTAGAAATTGACAGTACCTTAAGTCAGGTGCAGTACATGGCTTACTACTTTTTTATTTTTTATTTTTATTTTTATTTTTTGAGACAGAGTCTTGCTCTGTCACCCAGGCTGGAGTACGGTGGTGTGATCTCCACTCACTGCAACCTCCGCCTCCTGGGTTCAAGTGATTCTCCTGCCTCAGTCTCCTGAGTAGTTGGGATTACAGGTGCGTGCCACCACTCCTGGATAATTTTTTGTATTTTTAGTAGAGATGGAGTTTCCCCATGTTGGCCAGGTTGGTCTCGAACTCCTGAACTCATGACCCACCTGCCTCAACCTCCCAAAGTGCTGGGATTACAGATGAGAGCCACTGCACCTGGCTCAGGTTACTATTTTTAATGGCAAAAACAGTAATTACTTTTGCACCTACGTAATATTTTTTGGAGTTGTGACAAAGAGTGCATGACCATGGGATCCACTGCTTCTATCATAAATGATACAGCCCTAAAGCAGCCACTCTAATACAATACATAAATGATCTGTTAAAGTCTTGGTGAAGGTGCAGCTCAAGGGAAAAAAATCCTGTTGGGTTGGAGACTTGTCCTCCAGAATGCAGTATATGCAGTGAAGCCTATATGTGGTGCTACGTCCCCAAGAAACTCCAATGCCAGGGTCTAGGAACCAAGCAGTGAAGGTGGGTTTGGAGCCCCATGTGGTGACCCACGCCTGTAATCCCAGCACTTTGGGAGTCCGAGGCAGGCAGATCAAGAGATCAAGACCATCCTGGCCAAAAGGGTGAAATCCTGTCTGTACTAAAAAATACGAAAATTAGCTGGGCATGGTGGCACATGCCTGTAATCCCAGCTACTAGGGAGGCTGAGGCAGAAGAATCACTTAAACCTGGGAGGAGGAGGTTGCAGTGAGCTGAGATCACACCATTGCACTCCAGCCCGGGCAACAAGAGCAAAATTCTGTCTCAAAAACAAAACACAAAACAAAATGGGTTTAGATCCTCTCACTATCGCTCTTAATGACACATTTAAAATGTTTATGATTCTTCTTCCTGCAAACTTAGTCCTTGCTGGAATAGAAGTTCTGGTTTCTAAGGAGGAAATTCTTCCACTAGGGGTCACAGTAAGAATTCCACTAATGTTGAAACCACAGCTATCACCTGGGCATGCTGGGCTCTTCATGTGTGTGGACCAGGAGGCAAATAAAAAAATCTCAATTTTAGAAGAAATATTGTATTAATACTTTCCTGATTACCATGAGGACATGAGGCTATGGCTACACACTAGGAGGGCAGAAAATAAGCAGTAAGATTCCTCTTGGTGCTTCTATGCTCAGAGGTAGCTGGAAATGTACAATTGTAGCAAATCCAGTTCAGGAAGAGCAAAGCAAAGAAGGTCTCAGACCCCTTGCACAAAAAGGTTTTGTAGGTCATCCCATTTAGTAAGTATTCAGGACCTACTGAGGTGCTGGTCGAAGTGAAGAGGGTCTAAAAGAATGGTCGACTGAAGAGATAGATCTATTGCACTCTCAAGACCAGTTGCAATAGCAGGAATTGTAGCTTAGTGCATGAGCATGGGATCCACTAATCCATTAATCTATTAATCTATTATATTAAATGTTTTATACAGATTGCTGCCAGCTGCCTGCCACCTTGAAAAGGTCTGAGACAGACTGAACTTAGTGGTGAGCTTGAACAGTTCACAGTCATGCAACTATACTGGTTATTCCATGTGCCCCATGTTACATCCCCTTAGTTCACTTTTTGTCTGATTTGTTAATGTATAAATTGACAGTACTTTGAGTCAGGTGCACTACAGGAGTCTTGATTTTCCATCAAGGGCTTCTTTGATGTTGCAGCATGGGACCCATACAGGAATCCCACGGACACTTCCTCACGCATATTCTGGAGGTATGAAAACATTAACACCCCATGGGGCAATCCTTGACCAACTAAGAAGTGGATCAGTGAGTTAATGCTTTTATCTTCTGACTTTCAGGTGAACAGTCCTAAAGCTCATAGCCCAGCCCCAATTTCCGTTAGCAATGACTAGCTTGATAAATCATCCTTGTATTGATTTTGCTTCTGTATTAGATAGCTTTTGCTGTATAGCAAACCATTCCAAATCTTAGTTGCTTAAGATAACAACCATTTATTTGGCTCATAAATGTGTGGATCAGATAGATGAGCATTCTGCTTATCTATTCCAGACTTAGCTGATCTTAGCTGTGCTGACTCATGCATTCTGTGGGCAGGTGCTGAGTCAGATGGGCACAGGATAAGCTAGGGCAGCCTCTGTGGGGATGTCATTGTGGTTTCCCATTCTTCATCAGGGTAGCCTGGGCTTCCTCACATTGGAGGTTGCAGAGTCCCAAGAAAATAAAAGCAAGTGTGCAAAGCCTGTGGATGTCTAGGCTGAAACTGGAACAATGTCACTTCTGACACATTCTATTTGTCCCAGAAAATCACAAGTTTAGCACAGATTCAAATACACTCTATCTCTGGATGAAAAGAGCCACAAGGCTGCATTGCAGAACTTCTACACAGTGAAGGGAATAATGGCAACCATTTTTGCAAATATTCGGCTACACTTTCTATGACTGTGAGTGTGATGTGTCAACTTGGGTAGGTGATGGTACCCAGCTATTTAATCAAAGAGGAATCTAGGTGTTGCTGTGAAGGTATTTTGTAGACATGGTTAACATCTATAACCACCTCACTTTAAGTAAGGAGGATTACCCTTAGTAATGTGGCTTTGTCAGAGGTGTGTAAACCAGAGTAACTTCATCTTGAATAGGAGCTGGGTAAAATGAGGCTGAGATCTACTGGGCTGCATTCCCAGAAGGTAAAGTCATTCTAAGTCATAGGATGAGATAAGAGGTCAGCACAACATACAGGTCATAAAGACCTTGCTGATAAAACAGGTTGCAGTAAAGAAGTCGGCCAAAACCCACCAAAACCAAGATGCAGCAAGAGTGACCTCTGATCGTCCTCACTGCTACACTCCCACCAGCGCCATGACCGTTTACAAATGCCATGATAACATCAGGAAGTTACGTTATATGGTCTAAAAAGGGGAGGCATGAATAATCCACTCCTTGCTTAGCATATCTTCAAGAAATAACCATAAAAATGGACAACCAGTGACCCTTGGGGCTGCTCTGTTTATGGAGTAGTGATTCTTTATTCCTTTACATTCTTAATAAACTTGCCTTCACTTTACTCTATGGACTCACCCTGAATTCTTTCTTGCATGAGATCCAAGAACCCTCTCTTGGTGTCTGGATCGGGACCCCTTTCCTGTAACAGCTGTGCCTCATCACATCATTTGAAAGACCTTAAGAGTAAGAACTGAGATTTCTCAAAGAAGAAGAAATCCTGTCTCGAGGCCGCAGCATCAGTTCGCCCTTGAGTGTCCAGGCTGCTGGCCTGTCCTGTGGATTTCAGACTTGCCAGTTCCTATCATTGTGTAAGCCAATCCTTTAAAATAAATCTCTTAATATTTTATCAATAGATGTAAATAGATCTAATGTTTTATGGATAGTTTGATTGATTTTGTTTTTCTGGAATGCATCGGCTGATATACCTTCCTTCCCCATGTCCCTTTTCCAAGATCTTTCCTGTTCCCTGGGATGACTTCCCAAAATAAGCTGCCCACAATAAACCCGTGTCTGAGGTTCTGCTTTTTTGAGACAACTCAGCCTAAGCCGGTAGGTATTTCGACAAAAAAAAAAAGTCACTTTTGCTTTGTTTCAGGAAAAGTCTGTGATACGCCATTTGTGGCCTGTGAGGACTTGTTATTCAGAGAGAAGTTCAAAAATACTGAAACTGAATGTGAGAAATATATATGTACTTGAAGCTTTACTGGAAAATTAAAAATGCAAATGGAAGATGTCAGAGCCATGAGCTGGGAACGGTGTCACCAACATTTGTTACGATGGAAGATTATATTTATCTTTGAGGTCATTGGGATTCTCAGTTATATGGAAGGCTGGTAGGGAGGATTAACAGCAGTACATTCTGCTGAATGTCCCCTACATCCTTCCCCTGCAAATCTAAAATTGGACAACTTATCATCACCTCTAATTCTCCTATTCTGGTAACCAGCCACTGTCATTTCTTACCTGGATTGTCATAGCCTCCTAACCGATCTCTGTGATTCCACCCTCAGTCCCTTCCAGTCTATTCTTACCCTACAGGTCAGAGGGAACCCCGGTAAAATGCTAAGTCAGATCACACAATTCCTCAAGTCACAATCTCACCAAACTTCCATTGTTCTCGGGATAAAAATTGACACGGTAGTTTTCAAGGCTCAGCATGATCTGGCCCCGGTTTAACTCTCTGGTCTTGCGTCCTGTTATTTCCCTCCCTCACTTCAGCAACCCTGGTCTCATTGCTACTCCCCAAGCACTCTAGACATGCTCATGCCTTAAGACCATGCTGCCTACTCCTCCCAAACAGCTCTTCACCCAGGTGTCTATATGGCCTCCACACTCACATCTCCAAGGGACACCATCTGCATTGTAGCACAGACACACAACATGTTGGAGATTTGTTAGCCAATCCCATAACTTTCTTTTTCTTTTCTTTTATTGAGACAGGGACTCACTGTTGCACAGGCTGGAGTGCAGTGACAGGATCATAGCTGACTGCAGCCTTGAATTCTTGGGCTCAAATGATCCTCCCACCTCAGCCTCCCAAGTAGCTGGGACTACAGCTGTACACTACAACACCTGACTAATTTTTAACATTTATTTATAGCGATGGGGTCTCACTATGTTGCCCAGGCTGATCTCAAACTCCTGGCCTCAAGTGATCCTCCTGCCTTGGCCTCCTAAAGTACTGGGATTACAGGCATAAGACACCATGCCCAGCCTCCCTAACCTTCAAGTTGGGGAAAGGGAGGAACAGATAGGTTAAATGACTTCCCCAGGGTCTCTCATCTGATAGGAAAACTGGCAAAAGAAACCCTGTTTCACAGACCCTGTGTTGCAAGAAATGTTTCACAAAATAATTTCATTTAGAGAAAGAGGGTTTGGCAACTGATCATCCAGAGAACATTTTCATCTGGGTATCTTGGCATTGCTTGGTTCTATTAGAGAATTGTAACGTAGAGAATGATGAATGCATATTTATTCCCACACTGTGTGAGACACAGAGCTGGAAACCTTGCCCCCCATCCCCCAACCCCCACGTCAACCTCTGCAATCAACAAACTCAGCAGCACGAATCCCCATGTGAAATGACTAGGGAGAGAAGCTGATCCCAGCCTTGTACTTTGTCTCTGTCTCATATTCAATATTCCCTGGCAGGTGCGGAGAATGACTCATTCCCCCTACTCCTCTGAAAATGTCCCTTTCATGTTTCATAAACAACAGCTTTGCTGTGCCATTGTCTCTGTTAGTTATTTTCATAATTCATAATTATCTTCGTTCTTAAAATGTAGACGTACATTTAAAAGCATGATCCAATCCAGCTTGATTGCCGCCACATTGTGTTCAAAGTAATTACCATTCATTTGGCTTTTGAGGCCGTTGAATGAATTTTCCACATGAGATTCCTTAATTTGTACATATTTTATTGCTATAAAATAGGTATTGGCAAGCTGCCTAAACTGCAGCGAAGGCCTTTAATTCCTATCACTCTGTGATAAAACAAACTGAGTGCAAACTGAGAGTCTTAAGATAGAACACTTGAAATGGATTTGACTCCTTTTGCCAAACCAAGTTTCCCCAGGTGTGAGACACAGGTAAGATTAAGGTAGCTTAGTTCAGGCTGAGAGCTCAGAATTGTTTTAGCATTTGTATAAAAATGATAATGTCCCTCCACAATGGCAAACCTTTCTCTTTCCTTGATCTATTATTCCTTGGAGAAAGGATGTTTGGAGAGAAAATGTTATTAACATTTTTTCATGCATAGTGAGAGAAATCAAGTAAGGCGCAAAACAGAGCCAGGGAATTCTTGGTCACAGTAGAGACCTGGGCCAGGTGTTATGAGACCTGGCAGGGGGCGGGAGGGGGACAGTGTCCTGGAGGGAGCTCTGGAAAGCTGTGTGGCCTTTGGAAAGCCTTCTACCTCTCTGAATCCAATTTGCTCCCTTGTAAAATTAAGGGGTTAGGAGAAGTGATTCCTAAATTTAATTTGTAATTTGTTTTTCTGAGGTTATCGGTACCTTGGGTTTACTCAAGTTCTTTTCACTGAGGCTTTCTCTAGGGTTTTGTTTGTTTGCCTGTTTTGTTTTGTTTTGGTTTTGTATACATTGAAGGGGTGCAAGTGCAATTTTGTTGCGTGCAATATTGCACAGTAATGAAGTCTTGGCTTTTAGTGTGTCCATCACCCAAGTACCCAGTAATGTACATTGTATCTGTTAAGCAATTTCTCATCCCCCAGCCCCCACCCACCCTCCCACCTTTCAGAGTCTCCAATATCTATCATTCGACACTCCTTTTATATGCATTTAGCTCCCACTTACAAGTGAGAACGTGTGGCTTTTGTCTTTCTGTTTCTGAGTTGTTTTGCATGAAATAATGGCCTCTAATTCTATGTTGCTGCAAAATACATGATTTTATTCTTTTTTATGGATGAATAGTATTCCATTACACACACACACACACACACACACACACACACACACACACACACACATATATATACGTGTTATTTATCCAATCATCCATTGATGGACACAAAATCACATCTATGTTGTTTCTTACACATAGGAAAAAGGAAGTGAGATGGCAGGAGGCTGTTCTGAATCAGGAAGTGAGATGGTGGGAGGCCATTCTGAAACAGGAAGTGAGATGGTGGGAGGCCATTCTGAAACAGGAAGTGAGATGGTGGGAGGCCGTTCTGAAACAGGAAGTGAGATGGTGGGAGGCGATTCTGAAACAGGAAGTGAGATGGTGGGAGGCTGTTCTGAAACAGGAAGTGAGGTGGCCAGAGGCTAAGTTGTAGAAAGGATTCAAGTGTTGGGTAAATGACCTTCAAGGTTTTTCCTAATCCAGAAATCCTTTGATTCCATGTGTTCGGTGGACATTTCTCCTGACTTCATCAGTGGGATTTTCACCACCTTCCAGTCCAAATCCTTCCCACCATTTCTGGGTTTTCATGGGCATGTGCACATGCTTAGGCATTTATTGTCTGTGTTAGTCCAGACACAGTTTGCATTGCTATAAAGGAATACCTGAGACTGGGTAATTGATCAAGAAAATAGGTGTATTTGGGTCACAGCTCTTCAGGCTGTATAAGCATAGTGCCAACTTCTGCTTGGCTTCTGGTGAGGCTTCAGGAGGCTTTCACTAATGGGAGAAGGTGAAAGGGGAGCAGGTGTGTCACATGGCAGGAAAGGAAGCAGGAGAGAGATGGGGGTGGTCCCAAACTCTTTTTAACAATCAGATCTCATGGTAATTTATTACCACAGCGAGGGTACCAAACCATTCATGAAGGATCTGCCTCCTGGACCAAAACATCTCCCACTAGCCCCCACTTCCAACACTGGGGATCACATTTCAACATGAGATTTGGAGGGGCAAACATCCAAACTATGGCATTGTCTTTGAAATCCACCCCAGCTTTTCTCTGCTTTCCAAGAGCTACCCTTTTTAGCCTGATTTAGGGTAACTGGCATGACGTCCATGGAGCCATTTCCAGTGAATTCTACCCAGCAATAAATGTCTCTACAAAGCACATAGTTCCACAGTAGTCTATCCTGTTTTCTGGTGTTTAATACGTATTTCTCTTCTTTGTGCAACTAATTGTATATTCTTTAAGAAAAGAGTTGATGTCTTATACTCCTATGCTCATCACAGCACTATTCACAATAGCTAAGTCATGGAACCAACGTTAAGTGTCCATCAGTGGTTGATTTGGTTGATTGAATAAAGAAAATGAGGTACGTATACACTGTGGAATACTATGCAGCCATAAAAAGAATGAAATCATGTCCTTTGAAGGAAAGTGAATGGAGCTGGACACTATTATCCTAAGTGAACTAACTCAGAAACAAAAACCATACTCTGAATGTTTTCACTTATAAACGGGAACTAAACAATGGGTACACATGGATATAAAGATGGAAATAATAGACTCTGGGGACTCCAAAAGTGGAGAGGGTGGCAGAAGGGCAAGGGCTTAAAAAGTGCCCATCGGGTGCCATGTTCACTCTTAGTAATGAGTACGCTAGAAGCCCAATCCCACCAGTATGCAATCCACCTATGCACATGCACCCCCTGAATCTAAAATAAAATTAAATTAAATTAAAAGAGAAAAAAAGTGGTGTCAACTTCCTTTTCTCACCATAGTGAGACTCATAGCTGGTATTTAATAGATACTCATTGATCAGTGGATCCAACATGAATTTTTTCATTCATTTATTTATCAAACATTTAATTGGCATATTTATTTACTCTCTCTGGATCCTAGGGATTGACTAGTCTGTTCTCTTCCACTGAAAACACCCATTTTTTGGCCAGGTGCGATGGCTCACAACTGTAATCCCAGCACTTTGGGAGGCTGAGGCAGGCGGATCACCTGAGTTCAGGAGTTCGAGAACAGCCTGACCGACATGGAGAAACTCCGTCTCTACTAAAAATACAAAATTAGCCATGCATGGTGGGACATGCCTGTAATCCAGCTACTTGGGAGGTAGAGGCAGGAGAATCGCTTGAATCCCAGAAGTGGAGGTTGCAGTGAGCCGAGATGGCACCATTGCACTCCAGCCTGGGTAACAAGAGAGAAACTCCATTTCAAAAAAAAAAAGAAAAGAAAAAAAAAAGGAACACCCATTTTTCTCTTTGACATTCTTTTCCCCAAATCTTCATTAGTGCAGGCCTATAATACCTCTATCAGATTATCTCGAAAATAAGCACATGATGCTTCTTTTTGTTTTTTGTAAGCATGGTCTCACTCTGTTGCTCAAGCTGGAGTGCAGTGGCACATTCATGGCTCACTGTAGCCTTGACCCCCCGCACCCTGAGCTCAAGTGATCCTCCCACTTCAAGCTCCTGAGTAGCTGGGACAATGCGCCCGGCTAATTTCTTGATTTTTTTTTTTTATAGAGATAGAGTCCCACTATATTGCCCAGGCTGGTTTCAAACTCCTGGGCTTAAGCCATCCTCCAGCCTCAGCCTCCCAAACTGCTGGGATTATAGGTGTGAGCCACCTCACCCAGCCCCAAACCCAAATCTTCATGAATATACCCACAGGGTTTTTGACAATGAGTAGGAAGAGCTCTATCCCTGACCCCTATAAACTGCCGATCTTAGCAAAACAAAATGTTGAAAAAGCATTTCCTATGGTACTTAAATGGAATTCAATACTAACACATCAGAGGTTGTAAGTATCTCTGGCCTTATCCCAACTATAAGTAACTCAATGGTCCTTATTTATTTAGTAATTATAAATAATGTGATAACAGGGGTGTCTGCTATGCTCACCATTTTACACTTGTTCTGCAAAATCTCAAACATACACAGAAATAGAAATCATAGCAATGAACCTTAGGTGCCCATCACTCAGCTTTCACAATTCTTTATTTATGGCCAATCTTTTCTCATCTATACTGCCCCATCCCAGGTATCTATACATTTTCCAGAACGCGTGTCTAAATGATAAGAATTTTTAAATATGCATAATCATAATACCAATATTGCATCCTAAAAAGCTAGCAATAGTTCTTTAATATTATCAAATAGCCATCTGTGCAGTTTGTACATTTCCCCAATAGTCTCATAAATTTTTTTTAAAGAATTCACTTATTAAATAGGATCCACTTAAAGCCCACACATTGCATTTGATTAATGTGTCCCTTAAGTGTTTTTAAATCTAGAGGTTCCATCTTCATCTCTTTTAAAAACATTTTTATTTGCAATTTATTTTTTTTAATAAACCCAGCCATTTATCCTCTATAGCTTTCTACATTCTGAACTTTACTGATTACATCCCAAAGGTCTTGTTAAACCTGGTCCTCTGGACCCTGAATGTCTTGTAAACTGGTAGCTATGTCTGAGGCTCAATGCAATTCAGTTGGAATTTGGGGCAAGAATAAGTTAGAGGTGATGGTGTTATCATTTCATCTCTGTCTCATAGCACAAGGCTGACATAGAGGGGGTGATTCGTGAATGCTTGTTAGATACATGAATGCATGATCTCTTACCCTGTTATGTTCCAATTGAATTCCTTAACATCTCCCATGCCAAGGTATTGTTCCATTTTCTCATGGCATGATATTTGGCTTAGCCAATGCAGTGTCAGCCTTGTACTGGGCAATAAAAGATCTCCCACAAGGAGCTCACTGCCTGGGGAACAGGGGAGGCAGGATGGCAATGGAATTTATAGGTTGCCATGAGAATACAGAACAAGGATGTCAAATCAGTCTCAAGGGGCATAGAAAGTCTTACTGGGGAATGAATGCCTGATATTAAAGGATAATCAGGAGTGTCCAGGCCCGGTGGCTCACACCTGTAATCCCAGCACTTTGGGAGGTCGAGGCGGGCAGATCACCAGAGGTCAGGAGTTCGAGACCAGCCTGGCCAATATGGTGAAACCCCATCTCTACTAAAAATACAAAAATTAGCCGGGTATGGTGGTGTGTACCTGTAGTCCCAGCTACTTGGGAGGCTGAAGCAGGAGAATCGCTTGAACCCAGTAGGTGGAGATTACAGTGAGCCAAGATTGTGCCATTGCACTCCACGCTGGGCAACACAGTGAGACTCTGACAACAAATAAATAAATAAAATAACCAGGAGTTATCGAGGGCAGAGATCAGGGAGAGTATCTAAGGCAAAGGGCCATTGGACAACAGGTGAATGGTGCATGGGAAGCTGCCAGTGGTTCTGGAGGGTGGATAACAAAGAGTAATAAGGTCCAAGAGGCAGACCATGGATGACCTGGAATCCCAACTAGGGAATTTTAATTGCATTTTAAAGAGGATGAAAAGCCTTTGAATGAGTTCTCACACCTGTAATCCCCGCATTTGGGGAAGCTGAGGCCAGTGGATTACTTGAGCCCAGGAGTTTGAGACCAGCCTGGGTAACATGGTGAAACCCTGTCGCTACAAAAAATACAAAAATTAGCTGGGCATGGTGGCTGGCACTGGCAGTTTCAGCTACTCCACAGGTTGAGGATTGGTTGAGGAGGACTGCATGAACCCAGGAAGCTGAGGCTGCAGTGAGCCATGATTGAGCCACTGTACTCCAGCCTAGGTGGCAGAGGGAGACCCTCTCTCAAAAAAAAAAGAGGATAAGACTCGTGTTGGAGTCACAGTTAAGAAGGCAAGAAATGATGAGAAGCCGGAATTTTGGCTGGGGCTATGGGGATCCAGAGATAAACAGGCATTTCAGACACATTTTATTTATCTATTTTTTGAAAAGTGGTCTCGCTTTGTCACCCAGCCTGGAGTGCAGTGACCCGTGATCTCGGCTCACTGCAACCTTTGCCTTCCTGGTTCAAGCAATTCTCCTGCTTCAGGCTCCCAAGTAGTTAGGATTACAGGTGTGCGCCACCACACCTGGCTAATTTTTGTATTTTTAGTAGAGACAGGGTTTCACCATGTTGGCCAGGCTGGTCTCGAACTCCTGACCTCAGGTGATCTGCCTACCTCAGCCTCCCAAAGTGCTGGGGTTACAGGCATAAGCCACTGCGCCGGGCCAAGGCACATTTTAAAGTAGAACCAACACTGCACACTTATTGGAATGGCCAAATTCCAAAACATTGACAACACAATGCTGATGAGGCTGTGGAGGAACAGGAATGCGTTCAGCCATTGCTGGTGAAAATGCAAAATGGTACAGCCACTTTGGAAGACAGTTTGGTAGTTTCTTACAAAACTAAGCATTCTCTTACCTTAGATTCCAGCAATTGGGCTCCTTGGTATTTACCCAAAGGAATTGAGTACTTATGTTCCTACAGAAACCAATATGCAGATATTTATAGCAGCTTTAGTCATAATTGCAAAAACTTGGAAGCAAGCGAGAGGTTGTTCAGTAGATGAATGGGTAAACGGGCATATCCTGCCAATGGAATATTATTCAATGCTAAAAAGAAATGAGCTGTCAAGCCATGAAAAGACATAGAGGAAACTTAAATGCATATTACTAAGTGAAAGAAGCCAATCTGGGGAGGCTACATACTGTATGACTGTAACTATCAGACATTCTGGAAAACGCAGAACTATGGAGACAATAAAAAGATCAGAGTCTCTCAGGGATTGTGGGGAGGGAGAGATGAACAGGCAGAACACAGATAATGTTTACTGCAGTGAAAATACTTGTGGCCAGGTGCGGTGGCTCACGCCTGTAATCCCAGTGCTTTGGGAGGCCGAGGCTGGTGGATCGCTTGAGGTCAGGAGTTGGAGACCAACCTGGTCAACATGGTGAAACCCTGTCTCTACTAAAAACACAAAAGTTAGCCGGGCATGATGGTGCGCACCTGTAATCCCAGCTACTCAGGAGGCTGAGGCAGGAGAATCACTTGAACCCAGGAGGTGGAGGTTGCAGTGAGCTGAGATCGCACCACTGCCCTCCAGCCTGCGAGGCAGAGCAATGCTCCCTCTCAAAAAAAAAAAAAAAAAAAGAAAGAAAGAAAAAGAAAAAAAATACTTGTATGACACCACAATGGTTGCACACGTCATTATGCATTCATCAAAACCCATAGAATGGGCCAGGCACGGTGGCTCATGCCTGTAATCCCAGCACTTTGGGAGGCCGAGGCAGGCGGATCACGAGGTCAGGAGATCGAGACCATCCTGGCTAACATGGTGAAACCCCATCTCTACTAAAAAATACAAAAAATTAGCTGGGCATGGTGGCGGGTGCCTGTAGGTCCCAGCTGCTTGGGAGGCTGAGGCAGAAGAATGGCATGAACCCAGGAGGTGAAGCTTGCAGTGAGCTGAGATCACGCCACTGTACTCTAGCCTGGGCGACAGATCGAGACTCCATCTCCAAAAAAAAAACAAACAAAAAAAACCCCATAGAATGTACACCACCAGAAATGAACCCTAATGTACACTGAGTGTTGGCTTTAGCTGATAATGGTGTGTCAATGCAAGTTCCTCATAAATGTATCACTCTGGAGGGGGATGTTAATAGTGGGAGAGGCTGTGTATGTGTGGGGGCTGGGGATATAAGGGAAGTCTCTGTACACTGTGCTCAATTTGCTCAATTTTGCTGTGAACCCAAAATTTCCTAATAAATAAAGTCTTACTTTGAAGAAAGAAGTAGACTCAACTGGAATCTGTAATGGTTTAGATGTAGGGAAGTGGGCAACAGAGCCTGAGGTAAAGTGGCCCCAAGTTGCTGGTATAGGCATTTATTTTCTGCCACTTGTCACACTATCTTCTGTCTCCACTGTGCAAGCACAGATACTTTCGCAAAAGCCAGAAAATTGCTGACAATTATCTTAATATGTGAGCTTTTCCAAAGCACAGGCTGGATTATAAATCACAGAGAAAATTGAGACAAAAACAAACAAACAAACAAACAAACAATCCTTCATTTGTTAGTTCCATGCTGTCACTTTAAACATTAGAAAACTAGGACCCCAGTAGGATTTTTCCTGGTTAATAGAATTAGTGCCTGGGCTGGGATCAGAAGGTGGATAAGCCAAGGGGTGTTGACTCATATTTCAACAGAGCTAATACCACATCCTGGGGCTGGCTGTGCTTGTTTGCAGACTTAGTGTTAGTAAGTCTAGGTCTGTGGGACTTAAGATGTGTTACTTAACTTTCTTGAAGGGAAAAGAGCACCTGCCAAGTCCATTGTCCCAAGGAGAGTTGCCTTTCTGACCTTGGTCTCTGCACCTGTAAAACGACCTTGGCAATATCTACCCTCTCTACTGCAGAGGACTTTGGAGAGAATGAAGTATGACAACGTGTTGGAAGTCCTGTGAAACTAATCTGGAAGTGAGATTGTGATTGGTTGGCTCAGGCCCTGAGAGTCCCAGGGCTCTGCTTCTGGTCCAGATTTTGTTACTAAGGAGGACAGTGCCTGGACAGGTAACTGAAGAGGGAGGCAATTTTGTTTCTGGTCTCTTTCTCATCTGTCCAGTGAGATATCTGGAAGAGACAACTCCCACTGTCCCTCCCTTTTATAACATGGAATGATACTATACACCAAAAATTACAAAGGATTATTGTTTACTCGCAGTACTACGTTCTAATTTGCTACTCCTTTTTTCCCCTCTAAGGTAGAAAAGTGCTATAACATAGTTCCTTGTTGCACATATTAAATCTCTTTGCAACCAAATCACCCATAGTCCAAGTGCATTGGAATCCTGGAGCTAGGAAAGTGGGAAGAGCAGCTACAAATGGGTAGCAATCTGCATGAATTAAAAAAAAATCAAGCTTTTTTTTGGAAGTAATTTTAGACACACAGGAAGTTGCAAAGATAGTAAGTGAACTCCCATGTAGGAGCCCTCGATGGTTCTATCTTAATAATTATTAAACAATGTTTAATTTTAAGTAATTAAAATAATTATTGAATAATTGAATAATGATAGGACAGTATAAAAACCAAATATGTGACATTGGTGCCATGTATGAGTATAGTTCCACGTCATTCTTCCCACATATCTAGATGTGCATGACCACTACTGCAATTAAGATACATGGGATGTTAATTTTATGTGTCAACTTGGCTGGCCACGGTATCTGGATATGTGGTCAAATATTATTCTGGATGTTCTTATGAGGTTGTTTTTGAATGAGATTGACATTTAAGTTGGTGGACTTTGAGTAAAGCAAATTGCCCCACCTTGTGGGGTGGACCTCATCCAATCAGTAGAAGATGTGAGTAGAATAAAAGGCTGATCTCCCCCAAGCAAGAGGACATTCTGACAGCAGATGGCTGGCCTTGACTTACACTGCAGCATCAGCTCTTCCCCAGGTCTCGCCTGACAGTCTGACCTGCAAAGTCTAGATTTGTCAGCCTCCGTAATGTTTTGAGCCTTCTCCTTAACATATGTATGTATGTATCTACGTATCTATCTATGTATCTATGTATCTGTCTATTTATACATAGATACATACGTATCTATGTATCTAAGTATCTGTCTATGTATCTATGTATCTATCTATGTATCTATGTATTTATCTATTTATCTCTATCCATCTATCATCATCTATATCTACATATCTTTGTATCTATCATCTATGTATCTATCAATCATCTATCTGTATGTATCTATCTATCTATATATCACCTATCTATGTATCTGTCTATGTATCTATCATCTGTCTATCTCTATGTATTTGTGTATCTATATATCATCTATCTATCTGGATCTATGTATCTGTATATCATTTATCTATCTATGCATCTATCTAGGTACGTATCTATCTATGTACCTAGCTATGTATCTATCTACATACCTATTTATGTATCTATCTGCGCATATACAGATCTATGTGTGTATGTATGTATGTATCTATCAGTCATGTATCTATGTATCTATTTGTCATCTATGTATGTATATATGTATGTGTCTTTGTGTATATATGTATGTATGTATGTATCTATCTGTGTATTTATCTATGTGACTTTCTCTTTCTCTCATTAGTTCTTTTTGTCTGGAGGACTGTGACTACTACAGCACAGAATTAAGGAACCTGTCCTTTGACCAGCAGTAGAGGCGATTGTCAGACACTCTGAAGTTTGAGCAGCCCTGTCCCCAGTAAACACTACTTCCAGCAGGATGAACAATGAATGAATCGGAAGTTCTGGTGGTCATTGCTACATAACACAGCAGTCCCTCTGGACAGTGGAGAGAGGAGCACGTCCTAATGGCCCCAAATGTTAGGAAGCTTTCCATCCTCTGTCAGCTTCATGGCTTGGAGTGTAAAGTGTGCTTCTCACACTTTCACAGGTGCAGCGGGGCAGGGACCTGAGAGTTTGCATCTCCATTGAGCTCCTAGGTAAGACCAGTGCTTCTGGCCTGCACAACACACTTCTTGGCATCAGATGCCCCTGAACTGGACCCCTAGCCCTGACCCCAACTGGTTCTGGGATTCTGGGAACATTGCTCAATTTAGTTGAGCCTAAACTTCACTATTTACAAATTGGGGGTGATGAGGCCTGGTTTACACACGTGCTGTGAGAGTCGGTGACATTGTGCCATGCAGTGCCTAGCACTGGTCTGGTACACAGTTATCACTCACTAAGTATTTCTCTTCTTCTCCTTCTTCCTATCCCCAAATGGGGATGACCTTCCCGTAGGAGAATAACAAAAGTTTAGTTTGAACACACACAAAAAGAACAGGACCTTCAGGACTGCCATCCCGGTTTTGAGTTTCTATTCTCCCAGTTTTCCCCTTCTTGAATTATTGAGAGGTTAGACCTTGTCCAGCCTGCATTGATTCTGGTTGGCCCATAGTCATTTTTGTTTTAGAAACTGTGTTTTATCATTTTCCACGGGTCCACACTGACCTTTGATATATAACTGCTTGAAAAATGAGTGTTCTTAGAGAATCATTCTCTAAAAAAGGGCAGCTTCACCTTATTCCCCATCTTCTTGGAGAATGGGGTCCCAGAGCCCATCTCAGAATAATCCTTCTGACCATGCACTTTTCCCCTGGGGAGAAAGGTCTCAAAATGCAATTTATTGTAAAACACACAGTGGTTACAGAGCTACCACAGTCAATGATATTCCTTTTATTACCACTCAGATGAGAACAGAAAATGACATTGGGAAGCAGTGAACTCACCAGAAGGGCAGAGAAAGTCATTAAATTCAACATGCATCATATTTCATAATCAGAACCCCGCAGTCAGCACTGACACCACCGAATGAGTTTGTTGCAGCCATGATAATATAAAATCCAGTGCGTCTCCTTCCCCTGGCTCTCTCTTCCTGGACCCTAGCTAGGGCCAGGGCATTAATCATTGCAGACAGGGGACGGTGCAGGCCACTGCACTCTGGATTGCATAAATTGAAAATACGTCAGTATTAGTGGAGAACACTGTCTTTAGTTTATCTTTGTTTGGAGCTCTGGCTTCTGAAGGGCTGGGATGTTATTACAGCTAAACCATCTAATTAGAGCCCTTCATGGCTTATGTGGGAAGGATTAAGAGGAAACCCTTTCTTCAGGGAGGGAAGCCTGCACTGAGAAGTTGTGGGGATGCTGATGGAGTCTCCTAGTTGATATCCCAAGAGGTATATGGGAGTGAACGGGCACTCCTGTGGGCCCGGAGCGGGCCACCAGAAATACCTGGATGGACATCAGCTTTATCTTAGCATTTTAGTTTGATTTTGTGTTCTGTGCCATAGAGTGTATGTTGTTTAATTCATACTTTTCTTTTATTTATTTATTTATTTATTTATTTATTTATTTATTTATTTATTTTTTGAGATGGAGTCTCACTCTGTCACCCAGGCTGGAGTGCAATGGCTCAATCTTGGCTCACTGCAACCTCTGCTTCCCGGGTTCAAGCGATTCTCCTGCCTCAGCCTCCTGAGTAGCTGAGATTACAGGCACCCGCCACCATGCCCAGCTAACTTTTATGTTTTTAGTAAAGACAAAACTGGGTTTCGCCATATTGGCCAGGCTGGTCTCGAACTCCTGACCTCAGGTCATCCACCTGCCTCGGCCTCCTAAAGTGCTGGGATTAACATGCAAGACCCACCACACCCGACCAATACTTTTAAAATACTGTTTTGAAACAAGGCATGGTGGCTTACACCTGTAATCTCTGCATTTAGGGAGGCTGAGGTGGAAGGATTGTTTGAATCCAGGAGTTCATGACCAGCCTGAGCAACACAGTGAGACCCCATCTCGACAGAAAATTTTTAAAAAATTAGATAGGTGTGGTGGCACACACCTGCAGTCCCAGCTACACAGGAGACTGAGGCAGGAGGATTACTTGAGCCCAAGAGGTCCAGGCTGCAGTGAGATCGCACCACTGCACTCCAGCCTGCGTGACAAAGCAAGACCCTGTCTCAAAAAATAATAATAATAAAAATAAAAAATGAAAACTCCAAGGACATGCGACAAGAATAACCTGAGGTTTCTTGAGTCCAGGGTATGTACTTAAGGAGTACCTTTTCTACAGGATAAAATCTTATACTTGATTTGATCATACAAGAACCTGCAGGATCTAACCCTTTTTTTGACTTCTAATCTTAGCACACAAACCCAGCATTTCCTACTTCCATCACACTGAATGTTTGGATCAAGCTTGTCCAACCTGCGGCCCATGGGCTGCATGTGGCCCAGGATGTCTTTGAATGTGGCCCAATGCAAAATTGTAAACTTTCTTAAAACATTATGAGATTTTTTTGCATTTTTTTTTTTTAGCTTGTCAGCAATTGTTAGTGTTAGTGTATTTTATGTGTGGCCCAAGACAGTCCTTCTTCTTCCGATGTAACCCAGGGAAGGCAAAAGATTGAACACCCTCGCATGGCCTTCTCTGTCTCCACTGACCCAAATCTCTCTTGGCTCTTTAAATGCATGCTGCCAGCTTCTCGCTGCTGTTATGGAACATATCACAATGAATTCAAAGTTCTTGGTTTATCCCTTTCTCTGTGATGATAAGGTCACCACAGTTTTTAAATGGAAGGATTAGGATTTAAAATCAAGTAATCCTCAGCCCCGCAAAACGTATCTTACTTATAATTCAAGAGGTACTTTAAAAGATGTTGCAGTTAATATACAAAGCCAGTCCATGAAGAGAAATGCAATAACCAAAATCAGATCATTAGCGAAACAGTAAAAGGCTGAACTGATGTGGCAGAAAATCAAATTAGCCACATAAAAGTCAGAATCAAGAAAAAGACACCGTATAAAAATTAATAGAAAAATAATGCAAAGTAATGAACGTAGGAGAGAGCATGTGGAACTCCAACCCACCACTGAAGGCAGGATAAAAAGGGGAGAAGATAAAGGGATGGTGCAGAATTAGTAACCAAGGGTATAAGTGAAGAATGATCCATAGCTTAAAAAAAAAAAAAGGAAATTTAAAAATGTTTACTCAACTCCAGGTAAAACTAATAAGCAGAGAGCATTACCAAGATACAGTTTTTAACTTTGTTCTTTTAATTCAAAGACATAATTTAAGCTAATTGGAAGTTTACTTTAGTGGGGAATAAAGATGAAACTTTGCTGGGCATGGTGGCTCATGCCTGTAATCCCAGCACTTTGGGAGGCAGAGGCGGGAGGATCATTTGAGGTCAGGAGTTCAAAACCAGCCTGGCCAACATGGTGAAATCCCGTCTCTACTAAAAATACAAAAATTAGCCAGGCATGGTGGCAGGTGCCTGCAATCTCAGTTACTAGGGAGGCTGAGGCAGGAGAATTGCTTGGACCTGGGAGGTGGAGGCTGCAGTGAGCCAAGATTGTGCCACTGCACTCTAGCCTGGGCAACAGAGTGAGACTGTCTCAATAATAATAATGATAATAATAAAATAAAAATAAAATTCCTTTATGCTCTTTCTGATCAACCACGAGGTATCAAATCACCTATTCTTGGCCATTAAGGGTTTCTCTGGGAGATCCAATAACTTCATTCACTTTTGATTACATTCAGTCTACTGTAAGACTTCAGTCTCAAAATTGATTTTACTCTAATATTTCATTCTAAACTCTCCTCTGTGCCTTCACCAACCTCCTAGTGGAGAAGAGTTGGCAAGCAAGGCCTAGCTCTGAGACGAGCCACCTGTTACTCTCCCCTAATGTTTCAGGTCCTCTAGTCATTTGGGGGAAAGAGGGGTTTCAGGTAATAATTGTCATTTTTCAGTGGTTTCTCAGGTTTTTTTTCTGGCATTTCTGGTTCTAACTCCCTATTGCTTCTGCAGATGTAGCCATTGGCATCTTCATAGATGCAATGTGAGTTTTCTTAAGGTCAAGTTCAACTACACCTCAACCCATCCTTCATCTGGACTCCCAAATGGCTTTCTTCCTTTGCCCTCGAACCATCAGATCATGCGACCTCTGACAAATAGCGTGTTGCCTGCTGGCCAGGCAGCCCTACTGTGTCTGTTCCCTCCTCTGACCACAGGGCTCCCTTGTGAGCAGTTGCAGGAGCCAGGAAGGTCTTTTAATTCTCCAAAGAATGGGAGAGGTGGAGTGTGTATGACTTGTTCCGTCCACCCATCCTTTTCTTCCAGGCACACTACCCTTGTGGTCTTTTGCCCTTGTGGTGCAGTGAGCCTCCTGCATTGAGAAATCTCTAGAAGGGGAGAGGCTGTGGTTCACACAGGCTTCCAAACTCCAGGGATCCATGACAAACCCTCCAACAACTCCTCACTATACTTCTTTTTGTCCTGAGGACTGCACTTGAGTGACCACGTGGATTCCTCAGTTCAGCAAACACACGGCTGGGGCAGGTGATACAAATGTCCAGTTCTAGCAGACTCCCTGCATTTTGGCACGTTTTTCTACTGGAGTCCTCCTGGGGACAGAAGAAAAAGCCTTAGAAGCCCGGTGCGGTGGCTCACGCCTGTAATCCCAGCACTTTGGGAGGCCGAGGCGGGCGATTCACAAGGTCAGGAGATCGAGACCATCCCGGCCAACATGGTAAAACCCCGTCCCTATTAAAAATACAAAAATTAGTTGATGAAAGTAGGTAGGAAGAATGATGGTTTAAGCAATAAACAAACGTTGGGCTTGGTGGCTCACGTCTGTTATCCCAACACTTTGGGAGGCTGAGGTGACCGGGTTGCCTGAGGTCAGGAGTTTGAGACCTGTCTGGCCAACATGGCTTAACCCCGTCTCTACTAAAAATACAAAAATTAGCCCATCATGGTGGCAGGTGCCTGTAATCTCAGCTACTCGGGAGGCTGAGGCAAGAGAATGGCTTGAACCCGGGAGGCGGAGGTTGCAGTGAGTTGAGATCATACCACTGCACTGCAGCGTGGCGACAGAGCGAGACTCTTTCTCCAAAAAACAAACAAACAAACAAACAAACAAACAAAAAACTCAGAGTATAACTATTGCCCCCCGTCAAGGCTCTAGTGACTTTCCACCTCCTCCCCACAGTATCTTCCCTATTTAGACTTGTACATGAGTGGAGTCTCAGACGATTGAGGTGCAGGGGTGACATTTGGGTATAGTCCTCTTTAGAATATGGAAATGTTGGCTGGGCATGGTGGCTCATGCTTGTAATCCCAGCACTTTGGGAGGCCAAGGTAGAGGATCACTTGAGTAACCCTCCAGCAGTTCAAGGCCAGCCTGGGCAACATAGTGAGATCCTGTCTCTACAAGAAATTAAAAAATTAGCTGGGCGTGGTGACCTGTGCCTATAGTCCCAGCTACTCAGGAGGCTGAGGTGAGAGGATTGCTTGAGCCTGGGAGGTGGAGGCTGCAGTGAGCTATGATTGTGCCACTGCACTTCAGCCCGGGCAACAGAGTGAGACCCTGTCTCAAGAAGAAAAAAATTAATAGAATATGGAAATGCTAAGCCCATTTTGACATCAACTTTGAACTCTAGTCATTAATTTCAGGGCAACAGAAAAAACTCCATGCAATATACCATTACTTAGAAAAATGTTAACTATTAATGTACTTATAAAAATGTTAACTATTACATAAGGGCAAGAGCACACTCACTGCAGTTTTTAAAAATATGGAATCATTCCCTGCAAGCATTCTGAAGATTACATTTTGCACGTTAGCAAATGACCTTGAAACTATTTCCAGAGCAACTTTTTAATTTTTCTCCCATGTACACAGGAAGAACCCAGCTCCTCTTGGAGAGAGGTGGGACCATGTTACTAAGTGGTGGGCACAGGTGGTGGAGAACACTTCCAGGCTGACCAGAAAATATCTTATAACATCATCCTCACTGTCTGCCTCATCTACACAGTGAAAACAAAGGATTCTAAGATGGTAGAACCACAACTTGAAGAGAGACTGGGCCTTTGAATTCATATATATATATTTTGTTTGTTTGTGTGTTTTGTTTTGTTTTGTTTCTTTGAGATGGAGTCTCACTCTGTCATCCAGGCTGGAGCGCAGTGGTGCGATTTCAGCTCACTGCAACCTCCACCTCTCGGGTTCAAGCAATTCTTCTACCTCAACCTCCCAAGTAGCTGGGACTAGCACCACCACGTCCAGCTATTTCTTTTTTTTTTTTTTTTTTGTATTTTTTTAGTAGAGATGGGATTTCACCATATTGGCCAGGATGGTCTCGATCTCTTGACCTCTTGATCTGCCTGCTTGGCTTCCCAAAGTGCTGGGATTACAGGCATGAGCCACTGTGCCCAGCCTGAATTCACATCTTTAAAGAGTCACTTGGGCTGTGATCTAGACTTCAGCTTGACATATTTACTATTCTTCTAAGGGTGGATTATGGAATCATTTCCAATTATTGAGGATTTCATACAGTGATTCAATGAGTACCTTTGTGTATATGACAGCATATTTCTGTGTAGAGCCAGGATTGCTGGACCAAAGGGTATGTACAAGTTTTACTCTGATAGTGGCAAAATCCCTCCCTCCAAAATTATCCTGACATAAGCTATTTATAGTATATAACAGTACCTCACTCCTTAGACCCAACTGATATATTGTTTTCCTGTGACTTGCTTATTCATAAGTTCTGCCCATTTATTTGTGCTGAATTCTATGCAATATTTTCCTTACACATTTGTAGCATCTGTATATGTTATTTACTTACTTATCCAAGAATATATATTGGGATCCTAGTATTTGCAAGGGGCTATCCTTGGCATTGAGTAAATCATTGGGAATGAAAGCACATGTGGTTTCTGAAGAAAAGAAAGAAGGTGAGATTGAGGGTTGGGTAGGAATAAACCAGGGAAGGTCAAAAAGAAAGGGAAAGAAAAGAGGAAGGTTCTAAGTAGAGGCAGCAAGTGCCAAGGGCATGATAGAAAGATTACAAAGAGAACCAAATAAATACTCCTTGTTGTTGAGTTTCAGATGATAGAACAAGAGAAAAAGAGACACTGGAATATGTAAAAGCTAGAGCAGAGATATACCCATATACGAATGAGGCAGAATACAGGGCTGAGTTGGCAAAGTAGGTGTTAAACTTCATATCCTCTTCGGTAACTTTAGTCTAGGTACGTGAACACAGCTTTGTTGATACCAGTGGTTACATGGTGAATTCCGGTGAGCTTCGTCCTCAAAATTCTGGTCTCCTCTGGAATGTCAGGGCACTTCATTGCTGGAGGTGAGGGACCATGGCTGCTCATGGAAACTTAGGAAAGATTGTAGAATGGCCGGGGTAGGCTGGACTTGGTGGTTCACACTTGTAATCCCAGCACTTTGGGAGGGCGAGGTGGGCAGATCACTTGAGGTCAGGAGTTCGAGACCAGCCTGTCCAACATGGTGCAACCCCATCTTTACTAAAAATACAAAAATTAGCCAGGCATGGTGGTGGACGCCTGTAGTCCCAGCTACTTAGGAGGCTGAGGCAGGAGGTTCTCTTGAGCCAGGGGGCGGAGGTGGTAGTGATCCAAGAATATACCACTGTACTACAGCCTGGGTGATGGGAGAGAAACCCTGTCTCAAAAAAAAAAAAAAATTATAGAATTACTTTCCCCAAGTCGAGGCCTTGCTTTATTTGAGGGAGTTTTAAAAAGTTTCAACAATATTTCTTTTATAATTTTATTATTGTTTTTTGAGATGGTGTCTCACTCTGTCACCCAGGCTGGAGTGCAGTGGCAGCATCCTGGCTTACTGCAATCCCTGCCTCCCAGGTTCAAGCCATTCTCCTGCCTCAGCCTCCCGAGTAGCTGGAATTACAGGTGCCCACCACCACGCCTGGCTAATTTTTGTATTTTTAATAGAGACAGGGTTTCGCCATGTTGGTCACGCTGGTCTCAAACAAACCCCTGACCTCAGGTGATCCACCCACCTCGGCCTCCCAAAGTGTTGGGATTACAGGCGTAAGCCACCGCACCCAACCTCCGATTTATATATCAAGATGGCAAATTTAGTCTATGAGTTTATCATTTATTTCATCCCCAAATTGTTTAAATTGTTTCAACAGTTTATGTTGAAGCCAAAATAAAAATGTAGAGATGAATCTCTTAAATTCAACTGTTTTATTTGACAGGCAGGAATTGTCATGTGGGGGATACACACAGACGAGGTGGCCTTCGGTATGTCCAAAGAACAAAGAGGATATTGGAGATTTTATTTAAAAAAAAATGGAAAAATAGGCTAGGCGCAGTGACTCACACCTGTAATCCCAGCACTTTGGAAGGCTGAGGCGGGTGGATCACCTAACCCCGTCTCTACCAAAAATACAAAAATTAGCCAGACGTGGTTGTGGGAGCCTGTAATCCCGGCTACCCAGGAGGCTGAGGCAGGAGAATCGCTGGAACCCGGGAGGCAGAGGCTACAGTGAGCCAAGATCGTGCCCCTGCACTCCAGCCTGGGTGACAGAGCAAGACAGACTGCATCTTAAAAGAAAACAAAACAACAACAAACAAACAAACAAACAAAACAAAGGAAAATGTTGTACATTGTCTTGAAAGAAAATTCATTGGCACCAGTGAGTTTTGGGGAGCTGTCAAGCTCTGATGGGTGAGTGATGGCGGTGGGTGAGACCAGTTGTAGAATCTCAGCGAGCTGTTTCAGTAGCTATTAGATTAGTAGGGTTTCAGGTGACAGCAGGCAGATTCTGCAGCCAGGCTTGCAGAGAATTACATTCTCAGAGCAATGTTATGCACCCCAAGCACTTTCTACCCTGGTCTCTCTATTCTGTTTTCATTGAGTATGATAAGAATGACCCAATTTGTATGATCACCTTTAACAAAACTACATGAAAGAGATGTAATGTCATAAATGTTAACCATTTGTGTATTATATGCCTTAGTAACATTCCCCCCCGGCCCCAATTCTGGCTCTTGAGTTTGTGTCTTTCCCAAGAATTTCTAATTCTTATATAGGAAAATGTCTCAGTCTTTTCCTTTGTGATATTTGATTTTTGTGCCAGGTTCCAGAAGGTGTTGCCTGTACCGAGAATACATAGCAATATTATGTTACTTTTTTAGGTTATTTTTAATACTTAACCTTTAATCTACCCAGAACAGCCGAGTGCAGTGGCTCACACCTATAATCCCAGCACTTGGGAGGCTGAGGAGGGCGGATCACTTGAGGTCAGGAGTCCGAGACCAGCCTGGCCAACATGGCAAAACGCCGTCTGTAGTAAAAATACAAAAAAAAAAAAAAAAATCAGCTGGGCATAGTGCCTGTATCCCAGGCTGAAGCAGGAGAGTCACTTGAACCTGGGAGGCAGAGGTTGCAGTGAGCCGAGATTGCACCACTGCACTCTAGCCTGGAGAACAGAGTGAGACGCCATCTCAAAAAAAAAAAAAAGAAAGAAAGAAAGAAAGAAAAAATCTACCCAGAATATATATTTGTGTGCACGTGTGTGTGTGTGATAATATGGGGGGGGGGGCTTAGATAATTTTTAAATGCCCCCAAATTATTTGTTGAGTAACTTTTCTGCATATAGGTTCTATTTGTAAGCTCTCCAGTATAGGCTACTGGTCTGTCGGTTCTTAAGCCACCACTCACCTACTTAATTATTGTAGCTTTTAGGATAGGTCAATAACTGAAGAGGAATTCCCGATTGATTAGTCTCCATTTTTGAACTTTTCTTCAGTTTTCTAGGTTGATTTTAGAACTAAGTTTCCAAAAAGTATTTTGTTGGAAAGTTCATGGAAATTGTATTGAATATATGGTACCAAATGACACGAACTAGTAATGCTTCCCAGCACTGAAGAAACAAGCTGGGGACCGAGCACGGTGGCTCATACCTGTAATCCCAGCACTTTGGGAGGCTGAGGTGGGCAGATCACTTGAGGTCAGGAATTTGAGACCAGTCTGGCCAACATGGTGAAACCCCGTCTCCACTGAAAATACAAAAATTAGCTGGGTGTGGTCGGTGGGTGCCTGCAATCCCAGCTGAGGCTGAGGCATGAGAGTTGCTTGAACCCGGCAGGCAGAGGTTGCAGTGAGCTGAGATCGCGTCACTGTACTTCAGCCTGGGCGATAGAGCTAAACTCAGTCTCAAAAAAAAACAAAAGAAAAGAAAAGAAACAAGTTGGGAAATTTCTAAAATATTGCTTTCTTCCTAGGTAAACTTAATAAATAAGAAAACATCCAACTGTTAAATTTCTTGGGGAAGAAGTTTCCAAACAGAGGGAGGGGATAGAGATAAGTGTCCCACTCCACCATCCATTCCAAAAGTCACTGACTGACATGTTCTCGAGTGATCAGGGTATGACCCAGGCTGCTGTATCCAGCCAGGCTGTCATTCATGTAAGAGAACTGCACAAAGACATTCTTAGATCCAAACACTGACACTTTTTTTCTTTCACTGCAAGCCCTTTCTGCTAAAAGGCCTGGAAGCTATGACTCAGAACACCCACTACTAGATAGCAGTGAGAATTCTTGAAAAGGAATGTTACTTTTGAAAAGGACATGCGATAGCAAGTAAAACCAAGTAACCATTAGAGAGAGAAGTCGCTTGGAATACCAAGGATGTGTCTGTGTGTTGGAGGCAGAAAGAATGAGGGCCGTGATCAACTCAGTATACCACTGGAGGCTGTATGAGTAAGCAGCAAACTGTTTCTCATGAATGCAGAATGTTGGCAGACCGACAAACTGCGTCTGCCACCCAGAAGGAATGCTGAGGGCAGTCACACCCCCAAGCGCAGTGTTTCTTGTGATTAGGTACATATGAAGCCAGTTAGTAATAATATGAACCTGTGATCAATTAAGCAGCTGACCAATCATTACCTCGTCCTCCCTGCTCTTTCCACCCAATAAATATGAAGGGCTGAAGAAGCTTGGGGCTGCTGCCCTTGCTCACTAGAAGGAGGGAGCCCTCTTCTTCTTCCCCTGGCCCCTTCCTTTAAAATAGTTTCTTTTGTCTTAAGTTTTCATTTCTACGTTCGTCCTTTCGTTCAGTCTCGTAATGACGGTCTCAAGTAGTGACAGTAGTAACTGCCCTAGTGACGGTCTCAAGTAGCAGCTGTGGCAGTCAGCCGTATCTCTCTCTCTCTCTCTCTCTCTCTGTGTGTGTGTGTGTGTGTGTGTGTGTGTGTGTGTGTGTGTGTGGTGTCTGAATAGAATAGCCTATATATTCAGAAATACATAGCAATATTATGTTACCTCTTTAGGTTATTTTTAATACTTAACCTTTAATCTACCCAGAATGGCTGATGTGGTGGCTCACACCTGTAATCCCAGCACTTCCGGAGGCTGAGGTGGGCGGATCACTTGAGGTCAGGAGTTGGAGATCAGCCTGGCCAACATGGCAAAACCCCGTCTCCAGTAAAAATACAAAAAAATTGTATTAGGAGAGTGGGTGCTAAGTATATTTCCCTGCTATAGTCGTTAGAAAAAAGTTAAAGGTCCAAAGTCTATAAAGCCAATTGTTTTTTTCCCTTTTCTTTAGGGAAAAATGTTTTTCTTAGATTGCTAATAATGTGAGGTTAACGGTCATATTTCCTATCTGTAAATTAGTAAGTTGGCATTCTGGTTTCATACCAGAATTGAGGTTTCATACTTAATCTCTGAGTTTGGTTATATAGTGACATTCCCCCCTTCAAATACAATAATTTCTGTTCAACTGCAGAGGTTAGGGTCTTGTCAATCATGGTTGAAAAAATGTGTGATAAAATAAACAGATGTTCTTTTAGAAAAATAAATCATGCTGTTATAAAGACACATGCACACGTATGTTTATTGCGCCACTATTCACAATAGCAAAGACTTGGAACCAAGCCAAATGTCCAACAATGATAGACTGGATTAAGAAAATGTGGCACATATACACCACGGAATACTATGCAGCCATAAAAAATGATGAGTTCATGTCCTTTGTAGGGACATGGATGAAGCTGGAAACGATCACTCTCAGCAAACTATCACAAGGACAAAAAACCAAACACTGCATGTTCTCACTCATAGCTGGGAATTGAACAATGAGAACACATGGACGCAGGAAGGGGAACATCACACACTGGGGCCTGTTTTGGGGTGGGGGGAGGGGGAAGAGATAGCATTAGGAGATATACCTAATGTTAAATGATGAGTTAATGGGTGTAACACATCAACATGGCACATGTATACATATGTAACTAACGTGCACGTTGTGCACATGTACCCTAAAACTTGAAGTATAATAAAAAAAATAGTGGTTAATCATGAACACACTGACATTAGAACAGGGAAGTCCAATAGAAATACAATGTGAGCTACAGATGCAATTTAAAGTTTCCTAGAAGCCATACTTAAAAAGTAAAAAGAAACAGATGAATCAGTTTTAATAATAAATTTTATTTAACTCAGGATATTAAAAATATTACCACTTCAACATGTGATCAATATAAAAATTATTAATGAGATATTTTATTTCTTTTTTTAAAACCTTTATTTTAGAATGAAGAGGTACATGTGCAGGTTTGTTAAAAGGTATATTGTGTGATGCTGATGTTTAGACTGTGAATGAACCCATTGGGAATGTAAATTAATTCAGCCACTGTGGAGAGCAGTTTGGAGATTTCTCAAATAACTGTTTATTATTTAAAAAAAAAAGAAAGCAAAAGAAAATGAGGGTGTTTGAGACAGAACCTCAATGAACACATGAAAACCTTTATAAATTTTTTTCTTTATGAAAGTACAATAATATTGATCGGTAACTAAGAATAGTATTAATAACATTTTAGCAACATATAGTAACAACTAGATGCCTTTATACATTTTTTCTTTATGAAAGGAAAATAATAAAGACTGATCAGTAACTAGGAATAGTATTAACATTTTAATAGTACATATTAACAATGAGATACTGCGTTTTTCATTTCTCATCTCTCTAGAAGCCTTGCAGGACGTACTCTTTTTTTTTTTTCTTTGAGATGGAGTCTCGCTTTATCACCCAGGCTGAAGTGCGGTGGTGCAATCTCTGCTCACTGGAACCTCCACCTCCTGGGTTCAAGCAATTCTCCTGCCTCAGCTCCCCCGAGTAGTTGGAACTACAGGCGCCCGCCACCATGCCCGGCTAAGTTTTTGTATTTTTAGTAGAGACGGCATTTTGCCATGTTGGCCAGGCTGGTCTTGATCTCCTGACCTTGTGATCTGCCCGCTTCGGCCTGCCAAAGTGCTAGGATTACAGCCGTGAGCCACCGCGCCCGGCCACCACGTACTCTTTGTGTCAGTTCATTTCATTTCAAATCATTTCAGTTATTTCCTCAAAATTCATTTGTTGAGTCTATAAGTGCAAATCAAGCTTTCAAATAATACAACGCAAAGGACATTAGAACAACCATTAGGTGAATTATACTTACATTATTAAATATTTTTCTTTTTGGTGACTAAGGGAAAAGGCTGAGAATGCTGGACTCTTCATGGTGCCAGGTCTGTGCAGGCAAGATGAGCTGCCGATAAACGACAACAGTGACAGAAACTTTAACCACAAAAACCATCGCTCTCACATGTGCTGGCTCTGTGCTACTAAGCACGCATGTGCATTATATGCTTTGATCCTCAATAAGACACATTAAAGCTGGTTTTTGTTTGTTTGTTTGTTTTGAGATGGAGTCTCGCTCTGTCACCCAGGCTGGAACGCAGTGATGCGATCTCAGCTCACTGCAACCTCCACCTCCCGGGTTCAAGCAATTGTCCTGCCTCAGTCTCCTGAGTAGCTGGGATTATAGGCGCACCACCAGGCCCAGCTAATTTTTGTATTTTGGTAGAGATGGGGTTTCACCATATTGGCCAGGTTGGTCTCGAACTCCTGACCTCAGGTGATCCACCTGCCTTGGCCTCCCAAAGTGCTGGGATTACAGACATGAGCCATCACGCCCGGCCAGATACATTTTAAGTTGGGCCTAAAGATTTCTTCATACATAGGGAACTATAACTTAACTGTACATGTAAATACACTGTCACCTACTCCTGTGCCAATCACCAAGTTTCAGCCCATCAAAGGTGGCCAACTGTTCAAACCCTGTTCAAATAAGGCAAATGCCAAATTGTAACCAATCCAGCTGTTTCTGTACCTCAATTCTGTTTTTTTTTTAGGTCACATTCCTTTTTTTTGTTCATAAATCTTCTTTCACCTAATAGCTGTGCCAGAGACTTTCTAAACCTATTCTGGTTCAGGGGCTCTCCAGTTCATGCATTATTCTTTGCTCAATTAAACCCTGTTAAATTTAATTTGCCTGAAGTTTTTCTTTTAACAAAATCCAAATAATTATTAAAACGTGAACTGAATACAGGTTGAGCATCCCACTGGAGCACTACAGATTTCCAATTTTGGGGTTTGAGATGCTAAACCAGTAAGTAGAATGCAAATATTTCAAAATCTGAACATACTCAAAATCCAAAATGTTCTGGTTCCAAGAATTTTGGGTAGGGGGTATTTAAATACAGTAATTTCTATTCAGCTGTAGAGGTTAGGGTCTTGTCAATCATGGTAGAAAAATGTGTAATCAAATAAACATGGCCGGGCGTGGTGGCTCATTCTTGTAATCCTAGCATTTTGGGAGGCCGCAGCAGGTGGATCACCTGAGGTCAGGAGTTTGAGACCAGCCTGGCCAACATGGTGAAACCCTTTCTCTACTAAAAATAAAAAAAAAATTAGCCAAGCGTAATGGTGCATGCCTGTAATCCCAGCTACTCGGGAGACTGAGGTGGGAGAATCGCTTGAACCTGGGAGGCAGAGGCTGCAGTAAATTGAGATTGTGCCACTGCACTCCAGCCTGGGTGATAGAGTGAAATGCCATCTCAAAAACAAAAACAAACAAAACAAACAAACAAAAAACAAAACATAAACAAAAAAAGCAAATAAACATATGTACTGTTTTCAACCTGTATTATGTTAGAATATTTCTTCCACCATCCGTACCTTATGAAAACTCAAAAAGAAGTCAGTCACTTTTCTCTTTCATGTTCAGAAACAAATTAGCAACAATCAATCTATTTCACAGAATATTTGCAAAGATAGTCTCCTGAACTCATGCATGATACTCAGAAGAAACCACACACACACACACACACACACACACACACACACACAGGACTCAAAGCAAAACAAAATAAATAAATAAATAACAGGTGCTGGCCTAATCACAAGCACACTTGATAGGGTAGATTTCTCATTCTTGAGTACTGGCTCCTACAATTAAAATGCTTGTATTAGGTCGGGCGTGGTGGCTCACGCCTGTAATCCCAGCACTTTGGGAGGCCAAGGTGGGCGGATCACCTGAGGTCAGGAGTTTGAGACCAGCCTGGCCAATATGGTGAAACCCCTTCTCTACTAAAAATACAAAAATCAGCCAGGTGTTGTGGCTTGTGCCTGTAATCCTAGCTACCTAGGAGGCTGAGGCAGGAGAATTGCTTGAAACTGGGAGGCAGAGGTTGCAGTGAGCTGAGATCATGCCACTGAACTCCAGCCTGGGTGACAGAGTAAGACTCTGTCTCAAAAATAAATAAATAAATAAAATAAAAAATAATAAAATGCTAGTATTAATCCATTCTTGCATTGCTCTAAAGAAATACCCAAGATTAGGCTGGGCGCGGTGGCTCACACCTGTAATCCCAACACTTTGGGAGGCCGAGGTGGGCAGATCACGAGGTCAGGAGATCGAGACCATCCTGGCTAACATGGTGAAACCCCGTCTCTACTAAAAACACAAAAAATTAGCAGGGCATGGTGGCGGGCACCTGTAGTCCCAGCTACTCATTAGGCTGAGGCAGGAGAATGGCGTGAACCCGGGAGGTGGAGCTTGCAGTGAACCGAGATCATGCCACTGCACTCCAGCCTGGGCGACAGAGCGAGACTCCGCCTCAAAAAAAAAAAGAAATACCCAAAATTAGGTAATTTATTAAGAGAAGAGGTTTAATTGGCTCCTGGTTCTGTAGTCTGTACAGGGAGCATCGCGGCTTCTGCTTCTGGGGAGACCTCAGGAAGCTTCCAATGATGGCCGAAGGCAAAGGAGGAGTAAAGTGTTTTACATGGTGGGAGCAGGAGAGACAGAGAGTAGGGAGATGCTACATGCCTTTTAAATGATCAGATCTCATGAGAATTCACTCACTGTCATGAGGACAGTACCAAGAGGGATGGGGTAAACCATTCACGAAGGACCGCCCCTATGATTCAATTGCCAATATCAATTGCCTCCCACCAGGGACCCTCTTCCATCATGGAGGATGACAATTCCACATGAGATGTGGTGAGGACACAGATCCAAACCGTATCCATGCTCTTAGAAACAAGCTAAATTGGACTGAAGGCCTGACATTAGACACGTGTGAGTAGAACAGAAAAATAGACAATAGGTGGCGTATTTTCACGTCAAGAGCAGAACGGCAGGCAGGCGGGAGTCTTGCCCTTTACTGGATGTGCAAGCCTTGGGAAGTTTTTTTTTTTTTGAGACAGAGTCTCACGCGGTCGCCCAGTCTGTAGTCCAGTGGTGTAATCTTGGCTCACTGCAACCTCTGCCTCCCAGGTTCAAGCGATTCTCCTGCCTCAGCCTCCCGAGTAGCTGGGACTACGGGCACACGCCACCATGCCGGGCCAATTTTTTGTATTTTTGTATTTTTTGTATTTTTAGTAGAGATGGGGTTTCACCGTGTTAGCCATGATGGTCTTGATCTAACCTTGTGATCCGCCCTCATCGGCCTCCCAAAGTGCTGGGATCACAGGTGTGAGCCACCACGCCCAGTCGGCAAGTTACTTTTAACTATTTGGACCCACTGTTTTTTCTCATCTGGAAAATGGTGTGAAATAACCACTTTGCATGGTTACTGTAAGGATCAGAGATGACAGCAGGACTCTTGTGGTTTAGGTGCTCTCCAGTGGAAGCTTTGTTATTCCTGCCCTAAATGGTGGGAGCCACTGCCGCAGCCCATGGACAGGCCTAGCACCCCCTTGGCCCAGAATGGGCGCATCCCCTTTACTCTGCACAGCTGACCCACCAGCCTCTGAGGCAGGGCTCAGAGAGAGCTCTGTCAAGGACTGGGAGGTCCATGTGCTGTCTCTCATTGGAGGTGTTGTCAGTATTTCTGCCTTGCTTCCATTTATGTGCTTGCAATCCAGGTACTCACGTGAGATTTCTGTTTATTGTTTGTTTTTGTTTTGCTTTGTTTTTTGAGACGGACTCTCAACCTGTCGTCCAGGCTGACATGCAGTGGCACAATCTTGGCTCACTGCAACCTCTGCCTCCCCAGTTCAAGCAATTCTCCTGCCTCAGCCTCCCAAGTAGCTGGGATTATAGGTGTGTGCCACCATGCCCGGCTGATTTTTGTATTTTTAGTACAGACAGGGTTTTGCCATGTTGGCCAGGCTGGTCTCGAACTCCCAAACTGCTGGAATGACAGGCGTGAGCCACTGAGCCTGGCCTTTGTTTATTGTTTAAACCATCACTCTTCCTACCTACTTCCATGAACCTGCTCATGGATAATATTGTGAGTCAATTTCTTAGCTTCTCCGCTTACTTTCACCTGTTTCAGCCTTACTTTTGGCTATCTAAAGAGCCTAGTCTGCACTAAGTAAAAACTTTCATATTTTTTATTCCAAATATTGATGAATTGAATGTAATTCAATAGCTTTCTTCCTCGCTACCAGCTCAGGATGGATGGACCCAGGCTTGGAGCTACCCATACATTGCTTCTTCCCTGCTGTTTTCTGTCTCTTTTCTCTACTTTTTTTTTTTTGAGACGGAGTCTCGCTCTGTCACCCAGGTCAAAGTGCAGTGGTGCACTTGGCTCACTGCAGCCTCTGCCTCCCAGGCTCAAGTGATTCTCCTGCCTCAGCCTCCCAAGTAACTGGGATTACAGGTGGGTGCCACCACACCTGGCTAATTTTTGTATTTTCAATAAAGACGGGATTTCACCATGTTTGCCAGGGTGGTCTGAAACTCCTGACCTCAAATAATCTGCCCCCCCTCAGCCTCCCGAAGTGCTGGGATTACAGGTGTGAGCCACCATGCCTGGCCTGTCTGTACTTTTTAATAAGCACAGCTCTTCCAGGGTTGCAGAGGGGAGCGTATCAGTTCTCTGTGGCAGCTGTAACAAGTGACCACAAACTTAGTAGCTTAAAACAACAGAAATATATTCTTTCACAGTTCTAGAGTCCAGAAATCTGAATGTGGTAGCCCTGGGTGGAAATCAATGTCTCAGCAGGGCCGAGCTCCTTCCAGTGCTCTGGAGATTATCCATTCCTAACCTCTTCCAGCTTCTGTGGCTGCAGGCTTTCCATGGCTTGTCGCTGTGTCACTCAGTCTCTGTTCCTGTGGTCACACTGCCTCTGTCTTTTCTGTGTGTAATTGTCCCTCTGTTTCTTTCTGATAAGGACACTTGTGGTTCCATTTAGGGCCCACCTGGCTAACCCAGGACGATCTCCTTATCTCAAAGGTCCTTAAATTAATCACATCTGCAAAGACTTTTTTTTTCTGAGATAGAGTGTTGGTCTGTCACCCAGGCTGGAGTGCAATGGCATGATCAGAGTTCATGGCAGCCTTGAACTCCCAGGCTCAAGCCATCCTTCCACCTCAGCCTCCCAAGTAGCTGGGACTACAGGCATGCACCACCATGTCCAGCTAATTTACATATATATATATATAAAGTGTAGAGACAAGGTCTCACTATGTTGCCCAGGCTGATCTTGAACTCCTGGGCTCAAGCAGTCCTCTGACCTCGGCCTCTCAAAGAGCTGAGATTACAGCTATAAGCCACCGTGACCAGCCATGCTTTTTTCAAATAAGATAACATTTGCAGGCCAGGAGTGTTGGCTCACACCTGTAATCCCAGCACTTTGGGAGGCTGAGGCAGGTGGATCACTTGGAGTTAGGAGTTCAAGACCAGCCTGCCCAACATGGTGAAACCCCATCTCTACTAAAAACACAAAAATTAGCTGGGTGTCATGGCATGTGCCTGTAGTCCCAGCTACTCAGGAGGCTAAGGCAGTAGAATCACTTTAACCCAGAGGCAGAGGTTGCAGTGAGCTGAGATCATGCCACTGCACTCCAGCCTGGGTGACAGTGAGACTCCATCTCGGAAAAAAAAAAAAAAAAGATAACATTCGCAAGTTCCAGGGAACAGGACCTAGATATTTTTGAGAGGTGGGAGACATTTTTCAGACCACCATGGAGAGGAAGAGAACAGAATAGTACTGATGTTTCTGCTATGGTGCTTCAGAAAGCAGATGCCTAAACTCCAGTTCTTCCTCAGTGAGATTAGGGTTGAGGTGGGCGTTTATTAGAGAAACTCTAGCATTGGATTCTCATCTGATACGGGCCATGCTCTTTAGGACGTTATGTTCATCTCTTAGGCCCCTGCTCTCATGATGCACTCACACAGCCTCTCTTGGATGTGGCTCTGCCACCTCTACCAGGCAGACCTCCTGGGATACTCAGAATGTCTAGTATAAGTATGTCTTTTTTTTCTTTTTCTTTTTTTTTTTTTTTAACAGAGTCTTCCTCTTATTGCCCAGGTTGGAGTGCAATGGCACGATCTCAGCTCACTGCAACCTCCGCCTCCCAGGTTCAAGTGATTCTCCTGCCTCAGCCTCCTGAGTAGCTGGGATTACAGGCATGTGCCACCACACCCAGCTAATTTTGTATTTTTAGTAGAGATGTGGTTTCTCCATGTTGGTCAGGCTGGTCTCGAACTCCCGATCTCAGGTGATCCACCCACCTTGGTCTCCTAAAGTGCTGGGATTACAGGCATGAGCCACCTTGCCCAGCCTAGTCTGAGTATGTCTTAAGGCTTCCCTAGGTGATTCTATTATGTACCCAGGGTTGACAGATACTGGATTCAACAAATAAGAGTTGATGATCCTGCCTAGAGATCTTTAGGGAGCAATGGAACAATGAGCCTTGGGTATTTTAGATGACTAACAGGAGTAGGGCACATAGAGGGCTCTGTCAAGTGATAGGCTGGGAGGTACATGTGCCATTTCTCACTGTGGGTGTTGTCAGCCCTCGGAGCAGTTGTTCACTCTCTGCTCTGAGCACCCCCATATCTCCTTTACTGCACTCAACATTTTATTTTAGTTAGTTTTGCCATCTACAGAGATATGTGTCTGTCTATCGACTGACCATCTAGCTATCTAGCTATCCATCTATCATCTCTGTATCTCTCCTATTGATTTTGTTTCACTGGACAACCCTGATAATACACAGTCAATCCATAAATTGAGACCAAAAAAAGCCCAGGCTGGATGTTGTAGCTTAAGCCTGTAGTTCAGCATTTTGGGAGGCCGAGGTGAGAGGATCACTTGAGGCCAGCAGTTTGAGACCAACCTGGACAACATAGAAAGACACCGTAACTCCAAGAAAATAAAAATTAAAAATTAGCCAAGCCCAGTGGTGCATGCCTGTAGTCCCAGCTACTCAGAAGGCTGAGGTGGGAAGATTGCCAGAGCCCAGGAATTTGAGGTTGCGGTGAGCTGGGATTGCACTATGGCACTCCAGCCTGGGTGACAGAGCAAGACCCAATATCTAAAAAATAAAATTACGAAGAAAAGTTTGTCCACACCCCTAAAATAATCTTGTAAAGATTTATTCGCTCTTTGTTCTCTTCACTTAATAAAGTGCAGGTTTCCCTTTTACCCTCTCAATTCAAACTTAACAAAACCCATTTACTTTCTAGAATGTGTAGGATATTAGTCTTGACATAGAGTAGGCATGCAGATTGGGATACAGAACAAAGGAAAGAGGGAGGATAAAAATAAAATAAGCAAAAGTTTCCATTCTCAAAGAGTTAGTGGGAAAAATGGTTATGTTTTCAAATATCTATATGGCAGATTGTATTTTTCAAAAATAGCAGCAACAGTATTTCCTTTCCCATATGTTCTCCTGTAGTGTGACTTTGCCATTTTCTCAACAAGAAGTGGAGTTTAATTTTCCTTCCTGTAAATCTGATTGACCTTAGTTACTTGCTCGACCAACACAATGCGGTGAATGTGATAGTCTGTGCCTTCCAAAGATAGGTCAAAAGAAACCTTGCAGATTCTGCCTGGGTCTCTTTGAAAGCTTACTTGTAGGGTGTTTTGGGAACCCAGCTGCAATGCTGTGAGAAGCCCAAGCCATGTGGAAAGGCCATATGTGAACACACTGGCCAATGGCCCTTGTTGAACTCTCAACCAATGGCCAGCATCAATTGCCTGCCATGTAAGTGCCCCATCTTGGATGTCCACTCCAGCTCAGATGACTACAGCTCCAGCGCCTGAGAAAACCAAGTGAGAGTCCCTAATTGAGCCCTGTCAACCCAGAGAACCGTGAACAATCAATAAATTGTTGTTTTAAGCCACTATATTTTGAGGGTGATATTTTTTAGGTTTTTAGACTGTGATAGAGAATCAGAGCAATGTATAAATAAGGCAGAAAATGGCAATTGTACAATAATTTCTAATTTTATGGAGGCCTTAATGAAGACATAGAATGAGTTCCCATGATGTCAGGGTTGGGAGTTAGCTGCTCTGTCTTATTTTACCTAACAGCTTGACCCTGTTCTAAAAGGCAAACAGTCACAGCACCGGAGGAGACACTGGCCTGCCCGATCCCAGTGCAAAGCTCTTGTACTGACACACGCAGAGGAAGGTGAGCCAATAGCCATCCATTCACTGAATTTAGCCCACATCTCCTTCAACCCTTCTGACAAGCAGATACCTCCTGCTGTATTAGTCTGTTCTCACACTGCTAATAAAGACATACCCCAGAGTGGGTAATTTACAAAGGAAAGAGGTTTAATGGACTCACAGTTCCACATGGCTGGGGAGGCCTCAAAATCATGGTGGAAGACAAAGGAAGAGCAAGGGGAAGTCTTACATGGCAGCAGGCAAGAGAAAGCCTGTACGGGGAACTCCCATTTATAAAACCATCAGATCCCATGACACTTATTCACTACCATGAAAACAGTATGGGGGAAACCACCCTCATTATTCGATTATCTCCACCTGGCCCCACCCTTGACACCTGGGGATTATTACAATTCGAGGTGAAATTTGGGTGGGGACACAGCCAAGCCATATCACCGACCATGCCTCCCTTCCTCTCTAGTTCCATTCTGCCACTGTCTCAGTTCAGGTTATTGCCATTTCTTGCATGGACTGTTGCAGTAGCTTCCTACTGTGTCTGCCTGATTCCAATCTGCATTTCTTCCAACTTAACTTTCAATTTACCAGGCAGCCAGGTTGAAGGCTCTAAAATAGAAATCAGGTCACATTTCTCTCCTAATAACAGTTGTCAAAGCCTCCTCTTGAAGGAACGTGTTCAAATCTCCTAAATTAGCACAAAGAGCTTCCTGTGATCTGGCACCTGCCTTCTTCCCAGCCTCAGTTCTCACTCCAGCCATAGCAGGACACCCCGTCCCAGGCTTCCCTTCCAGAATGCTTTCCCTCTTCATCTTATTATCTTCTAATGACACCTCAAAACTCCTTTTCGGGAAACTTGATTTTATATTTGTTTTCAAAACAAACACTTTGGCTGGGTGCTGGGGCTCATGTTTGTAATCCCAGTACTTTGGGAGGCTGAGGCAGGTGGATCATCTGTGGTCAGGAGTTCGAGACCAGCCTGGCCAAGATGGTGAAACCCCATCTCTACTAAAAATACAAAAATTATCTGGGTGTGGTGATGCGTGCCTGCAATCCCAGCTACTCGGGAGGCTGAGGCAAGAGAATCGCTTGAACCCGGGGGGTGGAGTTTGCAGTGAGCCGAGACTGAGATTGCACCACTGCACTCCAGCCTGGGCGACAAGATCAAAACTCCATCTCAAAAACAAACAAACAAACAAAAAACTGCCTTTACTTTCTGACATTTTTTCCTCTTTAAAATAAAGCAGGGAGAGAACATGATTAATTCTGTGGTTGAATCTGAAAAATATTACGCAGTTCCTCTGAAGGATGCTTCCCTAAATGTAAAGTTATATCACTGGAATGCACTTATGTGAAAAATATCTGCAATTCTGATGTTAAGAACATCATATTTCTTCATCATGAGCAGGAGGCTTTGGTGAAGCTTTCTGCCCTGCTCTTTAGGAACATGCTCGCACTTCCGGCTTAATTTGGTGCAGAGTCACTGTGAGACAGCTTGGTAAGAAAATTCAACACCAATTAGCCCTTCCTCACATTCTCAAGGTCTGAAATAAAGTTAATTAGATTTGCTCACAAATCTAAGGGTTTGTTCACAACAGTGTTGCCCAAAGGCCATTGCATAGAACACTGGTTTTAAGTGAAATAAGCGTCAAGGGTTCCGTGATATAAATTGAGGAAGTATAGAGTTACGCAAGATTAAGTGATTTTTTTTTCCCTTGCAGAAAAATCTCAGAGGCTTTACTCTGCTATTATGCGTTGACTATCTCCTACAGGGCACTATGGTATGCAGAGTATCTGTACTTAACTTGACCACCAGTGCCTTCTATTACAGATCACCTTGCATCTCTCGTGGTCTGTGGGATGCATTTTCAGAAAAACACCTTGTCTACTGAGAGGGCAGGGATTGCTGCAGATACTATGGTTAAGGAAAAATAGCTTTAGCTTCTACAAATGAGGAGGAAACACATACCCTCTTCATTACCCTTTGCCACAAATTCTGTCTTCTCAGAGAGCTACAGTGGCTGAAATCTTATGGGATGGCTGGATATAATTTACTGTGCACCACGCCTGTCTCTGAGTCAGGATACTGTATCCCAAGGAAGTACGTGGTGGGGAGGTGCCCACAGGCTCTTGCTCCCTTTTGCTGGAACATTTTGCTGCAGGGGCGACTAGAGAAGGATGAATGCCATGTAGGTACTTAGATGTGAGTGCAGTCAGTGGGCCGGGAGCAGAGGTGTGGGCAGATGGCTGACTGGACACGGCCCATGGTGCATGGCAAAACCACATCTGAAATGTCTGACCTAGATACACCGGCTGATCAAAAAAACTCAGAAAATCCTAAGGTCAAAACAAACACTTGGAATAAATTTTTTTTATTTTTTATTTTTTGGAGACAGAGTCTTGCTGTGTCACCCAAGCTGGAATGCAGTAGTGTGATCTTGGCTCACTACAACCTCCACATCCCAGTTTCAAGTGATTCTCATGCCTCAGCCTCCAGAGTAGCTGAGACTACAGGCATGTGCCACCATACCTGGCTAATTTTTGTATTTTTAGTAGAGATGGGGTTTCACCATGTTGGCCAGGCTGGTCTTGAACTCCTAGCCTCAAGTGATCCACCCACCTCGGCCTTCCAAAGCGCTGAGATTACAGGTGTGAGCCCCCGTGCCCAGCCATAAAATTTTAAAACGAAAAGAAGGTAGCATTTCTCCCCTTCAATGTTGCCTCAACCTTACTCTTGACTTTGGCTATAAAGGGGAAGCTTTCCTTAAAATGATAAAGAGGAGGGGAAAAACCCACATACATTCATACTGCCGAGTATGTACGTGTATTTTCTCTTTCACCTAAGATTTAAAAAAAAAAAATAGAATGTCTAGGGGAAAAGATTTGAACTAAGATGATCTTCCTCATACACCTGACATATAAGGCTCCTGGGAAGCAAACTTTGGGGACCAATTTCAAAGCAGAGGAAACTGGCCGTTCCATTAAGTAGGGGCCATCCCCTACTGAGTTTTTTATACTTTGATATTTTGAACTCACATAATAAAGCCAAAACAAGCATTACAGAACAATGTAACATAAACATAGGATGCAAGCTTTGCCCTTAGTCTTGAGTGCACACATGTGCCCTTGTCAGTTTATGAGCTTGCCTTGGCCAGGACCAAATAGAAGGGTCCTCCTCCTTCAGGGAAGACATTCGTTTTAGGAAATCTTGAATGGTTATTCATGCGAACACCTTCTTCCTTTTTTTTTTGAGTTGGAGTCTTGCTCCATCGCCCAGGCTCAAGTGCAATGGTGCCATCTCGGCTCACTGTGGCCTCCGCCTCCCGGGTTCAAGCGATTCTCCTGTATCAGCCTCCCAAGTAGTGGGGACTACAAGCACCTGCCACCATGCCGGGTAATTTTTGTATTTTTAGTAGAGACAGGGTTTCACCTTGTTGGTCATGCTGGTCTCGAACTCGTGACCTCAGGTGATCCACCTGCCTCAGCCTCCCAAAGTGCTGGGATTACAGGTGTGAACCACCACGCCCAGACACAAACACCTTCTATATTCAGATAATGTTTCATAGTTGACAAAGTGCTTTCAACATGCCATTATCTCATTTCCTTCTGATCACAACACCATAAGGATTAAGGAAACCACTAATATTCATTAGTATATTCATTACAATATTCTTAGAAACAGAAGGGCTTTATAGAGCACGTATTTGGTAATATAACAAATATTTATTGACAGTCATAATACAAGTGAGCCCTGTACCAGGCTTTTGGTACTTCACAGCATAGAAGTTACACACACTTACAAGACGAAGCAGAAAAAACAGATAAATGTGTAAAATATACATATATATATATATATATTTTTTTTTTTTTTTTGAGATGGAGTCTTGCTCTGTCGCCCAGGCTGGAGTGCAGTGGCGTGATCTCGGCTCACTGCAAGCTCCACCTCCCAGGTTCATGCCATTCTCCTGCCTCAGCCTCCTGAGTAGCTGGAACTACAGAAGTCCACCACCACGCCCGGCTAATTTTTTTGTATTTTTAGTAGAGATGGGGTTAAACCGTGTTAGCCAGGATGGGCTCAATCTCCTGACCTCGTGATCCTCCCACCTCGGCCTCCCAAAGTGCTGGGATTACAGGCTTGAGCCACCCCGCCCAGCCTAAAATATATTTTTTACATAGTGATAAGAAATAGGGAAGTAGGGCCGGGCACGGTGGCTCATGTCTGTAATCCCAGCGCTATGGGAGGCCGAGGTGGGAGGATCACCTGAGGTCGGGAGTTTGAGACCAGCCTGACCAACATGGTGAAATCCCGTCTCTACTGAAAATACAAAATTAGCTGGGCATGATGGCACATGCCTGTAATCCCAGCTACTTGGGAGGCTGAGGCAGGAGAATCACTTGAACCCAGGAGGCAGAAGTTGAAGCAGGAGAATTGCTTGAACCCAGGAGGCAGATCACACCATTGCACTCCAGCCTGGGCAACAAGAGTGAAACTCTGTTTTAAAAAGGAAAGAAATAGGGGAGCAATAAAATTGTGTAATGGCTGGAGAAAGATGATGGTGAAGTGGGAGCAACCTCACATGGGTGTGTTGGTGAAGACCTCTCTAAAGAGAGTGGAGGCTGGGCATGGTGACTCACATTTGTAATCTCATCACTTTGGGAGCCCGAGCCAAGAGGATCGCTTGAGCCCAGGAATTCAAGACCAGCCTGGGCAACATAAAGAGACCCCATCTCTATAAAAAAAATTAAAACAATTAGCCAGGAAAGGTGGCACGTGCCAGTAGTCCCAGCTACTCAGGAGGCTGAGATGGGAGGATCTCTTGAGCCCAGGAGTTGGAGGATGTAGTGAGGTCTGATCATGCCATTGCACTCCAGCCTGGGTGACAGAGTAGGGCCCTGTCACAAAAATAAATAAATAAAAACATAAAAATTTATAAGAGAACTGAGACCAAAATAATGAGAGAAAACTAACCATGCATTGGGTGGTAGCTGGTGGGAGACTTGTGTAAAGGGACGTATTTTTGAACAAGGACATGTTTACATGTCAATGACTTGTACCCTTGTACCGCAATGGTAGCAGTAGAGGTGGTGGGAAGAGGTCAGAATCTGAATATATGTTGAAGGTAGATGTGACAAAATTTAGTGATGCGGGATGTGAGAAAGAAAGGAGCCAAAGATGATGTCAAGGTTTTTAGGCTAAGCATCAGACGATCGAGTTGCTACTTACTAAAATATGGAATAGTAGGAGTTTGGCCTGAGATGTCCATGAGAGACCTAAGTGAAGACATTGCAAAGGTAGATATATGCAGCTGAAACTCCAGGGAGAGGCCCAGGATGCAGATGGAAATTATAGATCAGTATGCAGATTGTATATAAGCCACGTGGCTGGATAAATTCACCAAGGGAATAAGATCACTGGAGAAGAAGAGAGGCCCATCGACTGAGCCCCAGGACCTCCATGGTTTATAGGTTTCCCTAAACCTCGGAATGGTGTTTCAAGGAGGAAGGAGGATTCGATTCTGTCAAATGCTGCCCATCAATAAGTCAGAATAAGACTGAGAGTTGGTCCATACATTTAGCAACACGGAGGTCAGTAATGATACTGACACAAGTAGCATTTGTGGAAGAGTGGGGATGAAAATATGATGGAGAAGTGGGGTGTATTAGTCTGTTCTCACACTGCTAAGACTGGGTAATTTATTAAGAAAAAAAAAAGAGGTTGAATGGACCCACAGTTCCACGTGGCTGGAGATGCCTCACAATCATGGAGGAGGCAGCAGGCAAAGAAGGAAGAAAGAGCCAAGAAAAAAGGGAAACCCCTTATAAAACCATTAGATCTTGTGAGACTTGTTCACTACTATGAGAACAGTATAAGAGAAACCAACCCCACAATTCAATTATCTCCCACTGGCTCGCTCCCACAACAAGTGGGAATTACGGGACTGCAATTCAAGATGAAATTTGGGTGGGAACACAGCCAAACCATACCATGGGGTTGAGATGAAAAAAAAAATCAGAGAATATGAGTAAAGACCCCTCTTTCCAGGAGTTTTGTTGTTAAAAAACAAAAACAAAACAAAACACTGGTATATTTATTTTTCCAATAACTGTTGGGTGAGGAATGGGTGATGAAGTCACCTTTTGGCCAGATTTCAGGCAGCAGAGAAGGACCTGGGGGGACTGCTTTTATGACAGCACTGGTTGGCCTTAGGGGGAAGTCACAGGGAGATGAGGTTACATTAGAAACCAACGAATATGAATAGGATTAAGGGAACAACAGGGGCTATTGATGCACTCGGGAAGTAGGGGAAGGAGCAGGAGTGGGAAGCCAGCATCCCCGCAAGCCTGAGAGAGAAAGGGAGGAAGCCCATTGAGAGCTGGAGGCAGAATCCAGGAAAGAAAATCCTCTACAAATGTTCTGAAAGGCATCTAATGAAGTAATTGTTTATAGAGTAGTGAGGAGGGTTAGGAGAACCAATAAGGCATCCTAGGGCTACCTCATTCATTGAGTTGGTGCCCAATAAACCATTAAGATAATTTTTAGAATACTATACTGAAACCTGTCATTTTGGATCAAGGTCCAAGCACGGTCTCTCCTAGCCCCTTTATCCCAATTTTAGCCATAGCATGTGTGTGAGAATAAGGGATTACAATGACCTCTGTTGAGGACTGGCTTGAAGCTTATAAAGGCCATACGCTTGCACTAACTTTGAATCTGGCTTCATGAGGAACAGAAGGAAGAGAGAAGTTGAACCCGAGAAAGAAGAGTCCAGAAAGGCTGAGGATGGAGTTGACTGGAGGTAGACTGTGGAGGAAGAGACAAGTCCAGAAATAATTTCTGTTTGTTATATTTCAAACATAGCAATTTTGTCAGAGGTGTTCGAATAAGAGTGACTCCATCTGGAGTGAGGGTTAGAAAAAAAATGGGCCTGGGACTTGCTGGGCTGCGTTCCCAGAAAGTTAGGTATTCCTAGCCTCTAGATGGTTATGGTTAAGGGGGCAGATTGATAAAGTTTACTAAACACACCCAGATGTGGGGGTGTCCTGATATCCCACTGTCTTGAGAACAGAAGCATTCCTAATTTTGCTTTAAAGATAATAATATCGAATCTTGCAAAATATAGTCATTAAGAAAATTAATCCTTTATCACAAACCCTTGTAGCAGAGCACTTATCCCCATGATCTTTTTTTTTTTTTTAATCCTGTATATAAGTAAGTATTGTACCTAGGGTGGATGCGTTCCTCCTCCTACTTTTGGGAATGCTCTATGCTGTCCATGGAGTAACCATTCTTTTATTTCTTTACTTTCCTAATAAACTTGCTTTCATTTTACTCTATGGACTCGCTCTGAATTCTTTCTTTTGTGAAATCCAAGAACCCTCTCTTGGGATCTGGATCTGGACCCCTTTTCGGTAACAATTTTGCCTTCTAAACATGACCCAATTAGACTTCTGGAACTTGGCCCAGGGCTTAGAGTTAAATAGGATTTCACTACTCACTTAAATTTACATAACATGTTAACATTTTAAAGAGACTTGAACTTCAGTGATTATATTTGACGACCCCCATAACTCTGTACAGTAGTGAGAGAGGGATCTGTCATCCCATTTCTCATATGAGGATTTACTTCTTTGCTCAACAGATGACCATAGAGTACCTATTAAGAGCCTCAGCCAGGCGCAGTGGTTCACACCTGTAATCCCAGCACTTTGGGAGGCCGAGGTAGGCGGATCACTTAAGGTCAGGAGTTTGAGACCAACCTGGCCAACATGGTGTAACCCTGTCTCTACTAAAATTAGGAAAAGTAACCCAGCATGATGGAGGGTGCCTGTAATCCCAGCTACTCGAGAGGCTGAGGCAGGAGAATCACTTGAACCCAGGAGGTGGAGGTTGTGGTGAGCCGAGATCCCAAGATTGCACTCCAGCCTGGGCAACAAGAGTGAAACTCCATCTCAAAAAAAAAAAAAAAAAAATCCAAGTATATGCTGTCTATAAAAGACACACCTTAGATTCAAAGACATAAATAAGCAAGTCAAAGGATGAAAAAGAGAGACTATATGAACACTAGCCAAAGAGGTCTGGAATGGCCACACTAATACCAGACAAAATAGACTTTAAGTCTGGGCGCAGTGGCTCATGCTTGTAATCCCAGCACTTTGGGAGCCCAAGGAGGGCAGATCACCTGAGGTCAGGAGTTCAAGACCAGCCTGGCCAATATGGTGAAACCCTGTCTCTACTAAAAATACAAAAAAATTAGCTGGGCATGGTGGCGGGCACCTGTAATCCTAGCTACTCAGGAGGCTGAGGCAGGAAAATCGCTTGAACCTGGGAGGCGGAGATTGCAGCAATCTGAGATTGTGCCACTGTACTCAAGCCCAGATGACAGAGCAAGACTCCATCTAAAAAAAAAAAAAAAAAAAAAAGACTGTAAGTCAAAAGTTATTACTAGGGCAAATAAGGATATTTTATGATGCTAAAAGAATTAATTTATAAAGAAGATATGGCAATTATAAACATTTAGGCACCTAATAACAGAGTTCTGAAATACCTGAAGCAAAAAAACTGAGAAAATCTAGGAGAAAAATAGATTTAACAATAAAAATGGGAGATGTGATTACCCGTGTCCAATAATGAATAGAACAACCAGGCAGAAGATCAAAGAAGCAAAGAAATAGAAACTGGAACAGCAGGCCAGGCACGGTGGCTCAAGGCTGTAATCCCAGCACTTTGGGAGGCCAAGACGGATGGATCACCTGAGGTCGGGAGTTCAAGACCAGCCTGACCAACATGGAGAAACCCTGTCTCTACTAAAAATGCAGAATCAGCCAGGTGTGGTAATTACAAGCCAGGTGTGCTTGTAATCCCCGCTACTCGGGAGGCTGAGGCAGAAGAATCACTTGAACCCGGGAGGCGGAGGTTGCGGTGAGCCGAGATCATGTCACTGCACTCCAGCCTGGGCGACAAGAGTGAAACTGTGTCCCAAAAAAAAAAAAAAGAAAAGAAAAGAAAAAAGAAACTGGAACAGCATTGCAAACCACCTAGGACTCTCTACCCAACAATACCAGAATACACATTATTCTCAAGTACTTATGGCACATTCTCAGGAGATACCATACATTAACACATAAAATAAGTCGCCATAATCTTTAAAGAATTAAAATCATGCAAAGTATGTTCTCCAACCACATGGAGGTCAAGGCTGCAGTGAGCTGTGATTGCACCATTGCACTCTGGTCTGGGTGACAGAGTAAGATCCTGTCTCAGAGGAAAAAAAAAAAAGTGAAAAGGTGACCACATAATAGAAAAATATAATTGCAAATTATATATCTGATAAGGGACTTATATCCAGTATGTAAAAGAATTCTTATAACTTCACAATAAAAGATAAATAATCCACTTAAAACATAGGTAGAGGACTTGATAGAGATTTCTCCAAAGAAGATATACAAATGGCTAATAAGCACATGAAAAGATACTCAGCTAGCCTGGCCAACATGGTGAAAGCCCGTCTCCATTAAAAATACAAAAAAATATAGCCAGGCGTGGTGATGGTGCCTATAATCCTAGCTACTCCGGAGGGTGAGGCAGGAGACTTACTTGAACCTGGGAGGCAGAGGTTGCAGTGAGCCAAGGCAGGCAGATCACCTGAGGTCAGGAGTTCCAGACCAGCCTGACCAACATGGAGAAACCCCATCTCTACTAAAAATACAAAATTAGGCCGGGCGCGGTGGCTTATGCCTGTAATCCCAGCACTTTGGGAGGTCGAGGCGGGCGGATCACGAGGTCAGGAGATCGAGACCATCCTGGCTAACACGGTGAAACCCTGTCTCTACTAAAAATACAAAAAAAAAAAATTAGCCGGGCGTGCTGGCGGGCGGCTGTAGTCCCAGCTACTCGGAAGGCTGAGGCAGGAGAATGGCGTGAACCCAGGAGGCGGAGCTTGCAGTGAGCCAAGATCACGCCACTGCACTCCAGCCTGGGTGACAGAGCAAGACTCCATCTAAAAAAAAAAAAAAATTACAAAATTAGCTGCGCATGGTGGTGTGCACCTGTAATCTCGGCTACTCGTGAAGCTGAAGCCGGAAAATCATTTGAATCTGGGAGGCGGAGGTTGCAGTGAGCTGAGATCGCACCATTGCATACCAGTCTGGGTAACAAGAGCGACACTTTGTCTCAAAAAAATAAAATAAAATAAAATAATCAGGGCACCATCGGAGAAGAAAGCTGAAATCCTGAGTTGGGAGAGTTCTGGCCTGAGAATTAAAGTCCTGGATTCCAGCTCAGTTTTTGTCATTAGTCAGCCAGGTGACCTTGGGCAATCGCTCGATTTCTCTAGGTTTCATTGTTGCAGTGTGGGAACAATAAAGGATCTCCAAAGTCCAGTCGATCGATCAAACAATGAACCAAATTAGATAGTGATGATGATAACATGACTCTGTTATGATACTCAAAAAAGCTATGGAATTATGTACTGTGAGAGGGTAAATGTTATGGCATGTAAATTATATCTCAATAAAGTTGTTCATAAAAAACCATTGCCCTCAAAGAGCTTACAGTCATGTGGGCATGGAAGAAAGTATGCTAAATAAGTCAGAAAATTATTCAGCTTCTTAGGTGGCAATAAGTGCTTTGAGGGGAAAAGTGGAGCAAGGAATGGGGACATGGAATGACAACTAAGTGGGAGGCAGTTATGTAAAAGATGATGGTCAGGCCAGGAGCAGTGGCTCACACCTGTAATCCCAGCACTTTGGGAGGCCAAGGCGGATGGATCACCTGAGATCAGGAGTTCGAGACCAGCCTGACCAACATGGAGAAACCCAGTCTCTACTAAAAATACAAAAATTAGCCGGGTGTGGTGGCACATACCTGTAATCCCAGCTACTCGGGAGGCTGAGGCATGAGAATCGCTTGAACCTGGGAGGCGGAGGTTGCAGTGAGCTGAGATCACGCCATTGCATTCTAGCCTCGGCAAAAAGAGTGAAACTCCATCTCAATATAAATAAATAAATAAATAAAAGATGATGGTCAGGGAAGTTCTCACTGAAGTGACATTTGGGTAAAGACTGGAAGGAGATGAGGGAGTGAGTCAGGGGAATATGCAGGGAACAGCATTCCAAGCAGAGGGAACAGCAAGTGAAAAGATGGAGGAAGGAGAAAGCCTGGAGTCCTTAAAGAGGAACAAGGAGGCCTGTGTGGCTGCATAGAGTGAAATACAGGAAGGGAATAGAAGATGAGATTGGAGGGTGATGTGGGGTAGACTGAAGAGTGGGAGGACTATGTGGGATGTTGCAGGAACTAACAACTGCAGCTTTATTCTTAGCGGGAAGCAGCAGTGGGTTTTGACCTCAGAGCCAACTTGACTGGAGGTTTTTGTTCGTTTGTTTTATTTTATTTTATTTTTTTAGAGTTGGGGTCTTGCTCTGTCACCCAAGATGGAGTACAGTGAGGCAATCATAGCTCATTGCAGCCTCTAACTTCTGGGTTCCAGTGATCATCCCACTTCAGCCTCCCAAGTAGCTGGCAATACAGGTGTGCACCATAACACCCAGCTAATTTTATTTTTCATTTTTAGTTTCGTAGAGATGGGGTCTCACTATGCTGCCCAGACTGGTCTCAAATTTCTGGCCTCAAGCGATCTTCCTGTCTTAGCCTTCCAAAGTGCTAGGATTACAGGTGTGAGACACCACAACTGATCCCGATCAATGTTGTATGGGATCTTTCTGGCTACAGAAGAGAATGGACTGAAGAGGGGTGAGAGTAGAATAGGGAGAGCAAATAGAAGACCATTGCAATTGCTGAAGCTCAAGAAGATGAAGTGATTTACTGAAAACGTCCAGAAGGAGCTTGGGGCAGCTGAGGAATGGGGTCCGTGAACCTCTTGATAGTTACACCTTTGTAGAGTCCCCTCCCATCATGAATTGATGTTGGCCTCTGACTTGCTTTAACCAGTAGAAGGCAGGGGAAGTCATGTTCTGTGCTATCTGAGCCCAGGTAGCTACCATTTCTGTATTTTGGGATGCTCTGAACCACCATGTTGAACTCCAGCTATCCTGGGAGAGGGACCATGAGGAGAGACCCCATGGACAGGAAAAGTTATTCTAATGCAGCTTCCAGGTGACTTCAGGCCCAACGACCAACGAGGTGTCTGCAATCACACAGAAGGCTACAAGCCAGACCACAGAACTGCCTAGATAACCCACATAATTAAAGATAACAAGTGGTTCTTATTGCTTTAAGCCTCTAAGGCTTTTCTTTTGCAGCAATAAGCAATTGAAACAGAAAGCTAACTGCATAACATCAAAT